>NC_000008.11:27738890-28041920 GCF_000001405.40 Homo sapiens | reverse complement strand
TTTGGGTGGGTACACAGCAAACCATATCAGGCACCTAGGGGTCAAGGCTTTCTCTGGTGGTCACTTCCTTGTATTATTTGAATATATGTTTTCTCCCTGATTAGACTGTATTCTTTGAAGAAGGAAGCATGGATTTATTTTTGTGGTCCTGTAGCTTTGCTATGCAAAGTGTGGTCCATAGCTCGGAAGACCAGCATTACTTGAGGACTGGCTAGAAATGCAGAATCCCAGGACCTTGGATTTCAGATTTTAAGATCTCCTGTTGATTTGTATGCATGTTAAAATTTAAGAAGCATTATCCTTAAAAACTCCTTCGTGCAGAGTCCAAGCCCGTGAAATGTTTGTTGAATCAGATGTCATTGGAAAAATCTGTTTTAATAACAATTGGATTTCTATGTGGATAGCTACTTCCCCAAATAACCTGATGGATTACACAGCTGAAATAAGTTGCTGAATAAGCAGAGACTGTGATTTTTAAGAAATGAAATAAGTTGCACCAGGCAGGTATTTGTTCTATTCTCTAACCCCACAAAGCCTAAAGGGGTCTGTGCACTGAGTGAGGTCTTATGGGGACAATAAAGAGAAGTCAGCTCTGAGTGATAAGCTGAATCTTGAGCTGGTGACAAGCTTAAAGAAAGCAAAGCTTCAGGAGAAGGTGCCCTTAGGGAGGGGGTGGCCTGATTCTTTTATGGTCCTTGTCCCTAGAATGAACACTTGCACATGAGTGTCCTGCGGAGATTTGCGGAAGAGAAGGTTGAGCTGCTGGAGAAGGCCATCGCACAGTGCTTCGCCTGCATGGAGCAGCCTCTGCAAGAAGGGGTCAGGACCGCCAGGACTTCTTACCGCTGCATCCTCAGAGCATGCTTGGTGGTGAGTGACCCTTCCAGGGAAAACTCAGATATTCCAGGAGGCCTGCCCGATCCCCAAGCTTCTTTTGCATCATCCCATTCCCTTCAAAAGAGGTAAAGAGTTAGCGGGCCGGGCATGGCGGCTCATGCCTGTAATCCCAGCACTTTGGGAGGCCGAGGTGGGCGGATCACAAGGTCAGGAGATCAAGACCATCCTGGCCAACATGGTGAAACCCCGTCTCTACTAAAAATACAAAAATTAGCCAGGTGTGGTGGCGTGTGCCTGTCATCCCAGCTGCTCAGGAGGCTGAGGCAGGAGAATTGCTTGAACCAGGGAGGCGGAGATTGCAGTGAGCCGAGACTGCACTACTGCACTCCAGCCTGGCGAGAGAGTGAGACTCCATCTCAAAAAAAAAAACAAGAACAAAAAACAAAAAACAAAAAAAAAGAGCCAGAGGAGGTTAGGAGAGAGTGAAAATTGCACATAACAGTTGTTCATCTGTGTCTTGAAAGGACCAAGGAAGGTACACAGTTCAGCAAAGACAGAGTGGGAATCTGGGATCTGAGGGTCTTGGTTGGAGTACCAGCTCCACCAAACATCCACCTTGTAGCCCCGGGCAAAGCCCTAGACCCATTTTTTAAAAATTTATTGGTTTTCTACTATAAAATGAGGATGCTCAATGCTTGCCCTACCTATCTGGTAGTGTTGATATCAGTATCAATGAGCTTACACAATGAGGAAACATCTTGTAACCTCTCAATTGGCATACAAGTTGTGGTTTTATTTCTTAATTAGTTGTATAGAGTTTCTGAAGGATGAAAATGTAAGTGTAAGGCAGTATTTATCTAAGACTAAGGGGTGAAAAAAGAGGCCTATTGTATTAGTCTGCTTGGGCTGCCATAACAAAATCCTATAGACTGGGTGGCCTGAACCACAGACATCGATTTTCCCATAGTTCTGAAGGCTGAAAGTCCAAGATCAAGGTGTCAGCAGGGTGAGTTCTGAGGCCTCTCTCCTCTTCTGGAGAAGGTAGATGGCCACATTTTTGCTGCATCCTCACGTGGCCTCTTCACTGAGCACGCACACTCCTGGGATCTCTTTCTCTTCCCAGAAGGACACCACACCTGTCAGATCAGGGCCCCACCCTTATGACCCCATTTAACCTTAATTACCTCCTTACCAGCTGTGTCTCCAAACACAGTCACCCTGGTGGTTAGGGCTTCGCATGTGAACCTCAAGGGTCACACTTTAGTCCATAGCACCCATTAAGGGGAAGATGTGATGGACAACACTGTATGACTTGGTGTCCCCCCGTGCTGGGAGAAGTGCATGGATGGTCTGTGGTTGTAGTTTTTAGTGGGCCTTGGAAAGTTGGAATGTGAGCAGTGGAAAATGTGTGAAAAGGTGAGTGTGATGGGGTGGTTGGCTTCCTGGAGGCTTTTCTATGTGCACCGATGATACCGGCTTTCTAGCACCTGGCCTCTTCTGGGTGTTGTTATCTGTGTGCTTTGTGTAAAAGCTTGTTTAAATGTCTAGATGAGCCTGAGTGTGGTGGCTTGTGCCTGTATTCCCAGCACTTTGGGAGGCTGAGGTGGATGGATCACCTGAGGTCAGGAGTTTGAGACCAGCCTGGCCAACATGGTGAAACCCAGTCTCTACTAAAAATACAAAAACTAGTCGGGTGTGGTGGTGACACCTGTAATCGCAGCTACTGGGGAAGCTGAGACAGGAGAATCACTTGAACCTGAGAGGCAGAGCTTGCAGTGAGCTGAGATGGTGCCATTGCAGTCCAGCTGAGGTGACAGAGTGAGACTCCATCTCAAAAAAAAAAAAAAAATCTAGATAAGTAGATGCATGTGCTGCAATTTGGATGAAAGGAAAGGAGGAGATTCTCTAGCATAAGACAAAGAATAAATGCCGAAAGAACCAAGAGTAAAGGAGGAGATAAGTTGGGGTGATTCTGGGGTCACTGGGGAAAGTGTCAGTGTGTGGACACAGGAGGATGACAGCTGGAGTGTCTTCCATGCGGTTGGGCGTGGGTAGCCAAGTATCCATGTGTGTAGTATGTACGCATGCGTGCATTCAGTCAGCAAATGTGAGCAAAATGCTGACTGTGGAATCAGATACTGCACGTTACCTTATCCCATCCTCACAGCCATTCTGTGAGGCAAACACCCTTATTATTATTTTAATTTTACAGCCTTAGAGAGACTAAATACCTTTTCCATGGCCATGCATGGACTCCACATCTAACCCAGGCCGGCCTAACTTCATAATTTGACACCCAACTCCTGCTGCACTCACCTGTTGCGTCTCCTAAACTACTCAGCAAACGATTGCAGCAACTTGTATTTGCCAACCAGTTATATAGTTTAACATCTATAAATCCCCATAAAAGTAAATTTTGCTGCATTCATTCATTCATTCATTTCTGCATGTAACAAGGACTTTGGAATACAAGGCATGGTTGCCAAGAGGCTTCGTATCCCACATGGGCTCTGGTTCGTACCTCAGTTTCCCCATCTGCCAGCTATGTGACCGGGACAAGTTACTCAAACTCTCTGTGCCTCAGGTTCCTCTGTATAAATTGAGGACCACGGTACCTATGTTATAGGGTTGCCGTAAAGATAAGTTGAAAGAATGAACGTAAAGTGATAATGCTGGGTTGACCAACGCACTCAGCATAAAGAGAGTGTATAACAAATCAACTGTTTTTCTTATTAGTTTTCAGGGATAGAAAGATACATCCCTGCTCAGAAGAGTTAAGAGAGCATTTGGGGAACTATAATAAAAGGTAGCATGCTGGTGAGGACCACAAGACAGTCAGAAAGTTCTCCAAATGTTTAGAGAAGGGAGAGCATTCTGGTGGGGGCTGTGGCAGGCTGGAATCTTTTGGCTGCAAATCAGAGTCCCTAACTGAAGCCATTCTTAGCCATGAGGAAGTGTATTGGCCCACGTGCCCGAGAGCCAAGGGAAGAGAGGGCCTGGGGGATGAGCTGAATCCAGTGCCTCCATGGGCCCCATTCTCAGGCTGCTTCTCTCATGATGGCAAAATGGCTGCAGCTGTTCTTGCACTCACATCTGAACACCATGAGCTCTGGAGCAGGGTTTGTTAACCTCAGCATGATTGATATCTGGGACCGGATCATGCTTTGTTGTGAGGGGCTGTCCTGTGAATTGCAGGTTGTTTCATCCCTAGACTCTACCCCCTAGGTGCTGGTAGCAGCCCCCACTCTTCAGTTGTGACAAAATCACTCCCGGTTGAGAATCACTGGTCTAGAGGAACAGGGGGATAGCCATTTCCGGGCCTGCTTTCCGAAGAGTGAACTTTTTTTAGAAACCTCAGCAAAGCTCTCATGGTGTTTCTTTGGCTCTAAGTGGGTCACATGCCTATTTCTAAACCAATCCCTGAGAAAAGAGAATGCCTTGTGCTGAATAGCTCAGGCCTGTGTGTGTGTCCCATCCTGGAGGCAGGAGTAGAGTTCATTTTCTCCAGAAGAGAAGGACTAGGGAGGCAACAGTGAAGCAGGAGGGATGGATATTGGAAAAGAAATCGCAGGCCAGGTTAGAGGACAGTCCAATAAACCTTCTAGAGAGGAGGTTGTTGGAGCCTGGCCCTGGAGGCTGGTGGTGTGTCTTTGGGCAGAGGAGTGGAGGGGCAGGGAAGGCATTTCAGGGGAGGAAGGCCAGAGCTCATGTGGGAGCCAGAAGCTGCCATCTAACTGCAGTGCAAGTACACAGGGCAGAGTTTTGGGGGAATAGGCTGACAGTCAGCTTGCTGCAGACTTTAGACCAGGTTGAAGAGTTGGAACATAGTGAAGTTTTGAGCAGAATAGCTTCATCAGAACTAATGCTTTGGGAAGTGTAATGCTTGGGGAAAAACTGGACGCAGAGAGCCTGGTTAGGAGGTGTCAGGGTCTAACTGAGGTCTGAGGGGAGTTGGTGAGCGAGTGGCGGGTAGCTGGATAAACGAGGAATCGTAGACAGTTTTGACATGGCTTTACTCTTTCTCTGGGCATGAGCGAGCTGTATGTACAGCGTTAGCAGGGTAATTATACCGTCTGTAGACAATAGTGGTTCTGAGCCAAGCACAAGCTCATGTGGGTGATCCTCTAATGCACCTCATGTGGCGTGGTTACATAATGTGCAGGGTTGTGCACCTGTACTCCAAACCCGCTGAGTCATGATGCTCCAGAAGACCGCCTCGGCCTACTCCTGACTAAAGCGCAGCCATTTCCCTTACAGTAGGTGCTTTGTTAAGATGAGACATGGCAAGATCTCAACAAAGGTTGTGGCAGACAGAATAGGAAGGAAGAGGTGGCTAGAAGAGCAAATCTGAAGGACATCTCAATGAGGATTATCAATAGTTCAGACATGGGGAGATGTGGGAAAGCAAGGTGGCAACATTTTTGGGGAAGATTCGCATCCAAGAGAAAGCAAATTGCTTCAATTTAAAGAAGATCTAAGAAGATTTGGGAGGGAGGAGCTTATCCTTTGGTTGGGGAAGCAATATGTTCACAACTGAAGATTATGTATTTACTGTTTCATGGAGGTGGAATATCTAATACAGTGTTGGAAATATGGAACTGAAGCCTGGAGAGAGGTGGGGCTGGAGGATGTAGCTGTCACTTGCATGGAATTGATGCACATATACCAGTGAATGGGATTGAGGAGGAGTGGAGAGAAGGACAGTGATAGGATATCTCTTCATACAAAGGCCACATTAAGGAAGCAAAAGAATAAAGAGGGGCAGGGGAGGGGCAGAGAAGGAAAAGCCTGAGAGGTAGCAGAAGAAGGAAATCGTGTAATGCCTATTTTCTTATTTTTATGCTTATTTTTAGTGTAATGCTTAATTTCTTATTTTCCAACCAGAAAACTGAAGTAATAAAGTTTGTTAAGGCTGAGTGCAGTGGCTCATGCCTGTAATCCCAGCACTTTGGGAGGCTGAGGCAGAAGGATTGCTTGAGGCCAGGAGTTCAAGACCAACCAGGCAACATAGCAAGAACCTGTCTCTTAAAAAAAAAAGTTGGGCATGGTGGCATACCCCTGTAGTCCCAGCTTCTCAGGAAGCTGAGGCAGGAGGATCACCTGAGCCCAGGTGTTGGAGGCTGCAGTGAGCTATGGTCGTGCCACTGCACTCCAGCCTGGGTGACAGAGAGAGACCCTGTCTCTTAAAAAAGAAAAATAAAGTTCGTTAAGACGAATATCACATGCTCCTGAGAAGTAAAAAACAAACAAACAAACAAAAGCAAACCAGAGCCATTGGATTTGGCCATTGAGGGTTTCATTGGTGACTGTGCTAGGCAGCCACCACAGTGGCCCCAAGGGTCCTCACCTCTGGGTATTTATGCCCTCATGGAGTCTCCCCCACGTTGAATCAGGGCTGATTTCTGAGCAAGAGAATGCTGCAGAGGTGACAGTGTGTGGCTTCTGAGGCTAGGCCATCAAGGGCCATGGAAGTTTCCATGGTGGCTCTTGGGTCACTTTCTCAGGGGGACGCCTTTGTGTACTGAAATTGAGCCACTGTGTGCAGAGGTCACATGGAGAGCAGCTAAGGCCCCCGCCTGAGGCCAGGAGCCAGCACCAGCGAGCAGCCGGGTATCTTTGGAAGCAGATCCTCCAGCCTCACTCAGATGACTATGCCCCCAGCCACACCTGACCAAACCTCAGGAGAATCCTGAGCCAGAGTGGCCAGCCCAGCCATCCCAGTCCTGACCCACAGATCCCTGAGAGATGACAGGCGTTTACTGTTTGTTTTTAAGCCACTGCACCGCTATGTTCGGGGTAATTTGTTTCATAGCAATAGATAAAGAAGTGACCTTAGATAGAGCTGTTTCTATCCCATGATTGAAAAACCCAGATCACAGAAAGTGAATGAGTGAGTGGGGGCTGAGAGGACGAAGGCATGAGGCAGAGATCACCCTGTTGAGAGTTTGCTGTGAGCAGAAGAAGCAACTACAGACATTTTCGAGCGTCTCCAGGACTTTACCCCATCAACTGTCCCATCTCATCAGCCCTTTAATGACTTCTTCCTCTGTGACTACAAACATGCCCAAGGTGCTCCTATCAAATAAACAATGTATCTTTGAGATCAGAAATTTGGGAAGACAATTACATACTAACATCGTATCATTATTTAACATAGGAAAATAACCGAAATGTCTAAGAACAAGAGAGAGGTAAAATGAATTATTTTTCATCCATATGATACTATATTAAATGGTTATTAGTACAATTTTTGGACCTTTTTTTTTGAGTTGGAGTTTCGCTCTTGTTGCCCAGGCTGGAGTGCAGTGCTGCGATCTCGGCTCACTGCAACCTCTGCCTCCCAGGTTCAAGCAATTCTCCTGCCACAGCCTCCTGAGTAGCTGGGATTACAGGCATGTGCCACCATGCCTGGCTAATTTTTGTATTTTTAGTAGAGATGGGGGTTTCACCATGTTGGCCAGGATGGTCTTGAACTCCTGACCTCAGATGATCCACCTGCCTTGGCCTCCCGAAGTGCTGAGATTACCAGTATGAGCCACTGCATCTGGCCTGGAACATATTTACAATGATTTGGGGATATTCTCATGTTGTAATACTAAGTAAAAAGAGCAGAGAAAAAAGAGAGAATTATACCAATTGTACAATGCTATGTGGCCATTCCCTTAAAACGTATATCATTGATTAAAAAATCACAGAGCTCTCTACTGAAATTTTAGCAAACACATTTTTACTCTCTTTACTAATGATTACCATCTGGCCGAAATTGATTAATGTCTCTCATAGGTCTAGCTTTATATTTTTCTTTCCTCTCATTTATGTATTTATTTCCCTGGGAAAAAAACATCGCCAAGACATTACAAATCAAATTGTATTTCATTAAAAGTTTAACAAAAAGTTTATGAAATCTGGACTATCCTTAGAAAATTCAAGACATATACTTATTGTCCGGTCATAGCACGTTGTCATTCATTCATTTATTTAGTCGTTCAATAATTGCTCATTTAGCAAATATTTCTCAAACACTACTTAAGTTATTCCCAGATGTTGAGGACATAAAGATGGATGAGACACTGTGCCTGATTTCAATGAGCTAATGGCTGAGTACAGGAGCCGGACAAATGAGTAAACTAACACAGAATCACTTCAGAAGGGTTGTGATCCAAGTGAGCACAGGGACTTTAGGAAGCCCATGGCAGGGGCACCCAGACGACCTAGAGGCGTGACCACTGTCCTCCCTCTTTTAGTTTAATCATATATTTAAAGAGCATGTTGTCTCTACACTTTCCTGTGATTCTTGGTAGTGATCTTTGGCCAGGGCAATGCAATTCTAATCCAGTGACCTTCCAGTTAATGCCTAACTCTGCTAATTTATTGTTGATTGTCTAGAGGAGTAAAGGAAACCAAGGTTTTCATCAGACCCTGAAAGCTGTTTGCCTGAAAAATGGCATCTATGCCTCCAGGACTCTGGCGAGAATTGATCTAAATGAAGCCCTCACTCAGCCCGTCTATGACCAGATCGACCCTGTTTTTGGAAGCATTTTTAGGTAAAGGATCTCTCATCTTGCACCTTCGGGAACAAACATCGGAAGAATGTGGAGCCAGTCTTTAAGAATTTAGACTTTGGATCTGTAAGTGTAAAGAGTAGCTTGTAACTGGAGAAGGAAACCTTAGTCCTTGGCAAAACACAAAAGCCTTCTTGGTTTGGTTTACTTAAAAATTTCCCATGATGACCTGGACACAGACTGAGATGCTGCTTTCAGACTAATGTTATGATTCCCATTATTTTTCAAATATCTCATACATGCAGCAGGGGATACATTTTCTTAGGGATCTGAGCCCAGGACAGGGTATTTTGATTGGAGAGAGTAGAATTAAGCAAACACATGGCCTTTAGAACTTTCTTTCTTCCTTTTTTTTAAAAAATGAGACAGGGTCTTGCTCTGTTGCCTAGGCTGGAGTGCAGTGGCACAATCCTAGCTCACTGCAGCCTCAAACTCCTGGACTCAGGCAATCCTCCCATCTCAGCCTCCCAAGTAGCTGAGACCACAGGCATATGCCACCATGCCTGGCTAACTTTTAAAAAATATTTTTTGTAGAGACAGTGCTGTGTTGACCAGTTTGGTCTTGAAATCCTGACCTTAAATGATCCTCCCCCATCGTCCTCCCAAAGTGCTGGGATTACTGGTGTGAGCCACCACACCCAGCCTCAGAGCTTTCCCTGAATGCACTGAAGATGCTGTGTCTGTTTCTGACACACTCTGCCTGCTCACATACATGATGTGGGTTTGGGGACTGTACCTCCTTGGTGCTCCCTCCTTCCCTCCTTCCTTGACCTCTAATTCTTTTTTTTTTTTTTTTTTCTTGAGATGGAGTCTCGCTCTGTCGCCCAGGCTGGAGTGGTGCAGTGGCGCGATCTCAGCTCATTGGAAGCTCTGCCTCCTGGGTTCACACCATTCTCCTGCCTCAGCCTCCCGAGTAGCTGGGACTATAGGCACCTGCCACCATGCCTGGCTAATTTTTTGTATTTTTTAGTAGAGATGGGGTTTCACCATGTTAGCCAGGATGGTCTTGATCTCCTGACCTTGTGATCTGCCCGCCTCGGCCTCCCAAAGTGCTGGGATTACAGGCATGAGCCACCGCGCCCGGCTGACCTCTAATTCTTTACTCCATCAGCAGAAACAGAATCTCCCAGTCCCCAAGTACAGCCACCCATAGTCTCTGTCCTTCCCGCTGGCATTTCACGTGGTTGCCCATTGGTGGCTGCTTGAACCATTCTCCAGCCTTTGCTTGTGTCTTACTCAGAGCCCCCATCCCTGCCCCACCTTTCTTTAAGCACGTCTTGGATTATGCCATTCCATCGATTGCACCCCCGCCCTGTTTACAATTCTGTGGGCTAAACTTCAAATCCCTTAGAACGCGTTCAAGACATTCCACCTGCCTCCAGCTTGCCTTTCCAACCTCTGCCTGCACCGCTGCCTGGTTGCAGCCTTGTGCTGTAGCCCACCCAGCAGGTGGCAAAGAGAGAGCAGCTACCTGTCCTGGCCACCAGTGCTAAGCACTTGGCAGGCATTAGCTCATCGGATGTTCCCAGTGACTCTAAGGAGTGGCTTCTGTCTTTTTACATCTGAACAAACTGAGATTCAGAAAATTGTGCATCTTTCCCAATGGCACCCAACTCATGAGCAGAGAGCTAGGATTTAAAGCTTGTGCTCTCTCCTCTGCAACCTCTCACTTCCTATTTCTGGGATATTCTGAAACGACTGTGCTTACCATGTTGTCCCATGGGGAATAATTTCTTCTTTCCACTTCTTCAGATCTTACCCAACTTTTAGGTATAGTTCAAGTTCCACCCTTTCAAGTGGACACACATTGGCAGTGGAAAGACTGTGAGTCCTGTAGTTAAAGCAGTGTTCCAAGCATGGCTCTGCCTCTTGCTAGCTGTGTGACCTTGGACACACCAGCAATCCTCTCTGAACCTCAATTTTCTCACTTGTTAAGTGAGCATTATCTCACGAACTTCATAGGTTTTTATGTCAAAGGTCTGGCACAGCACAGTGCCTGGCACATTATAGGGATTTGATAACTGTTAGATTTCATCTTCCTTCTCTTAAATGAATAAAAGGACACCAGCTAGTTTCGTGTTTGTTTCAGCCTCACAGCAGCCACCATTCTCTTAAACTTTTTTGTCACTTTCTTCCGTAGGACGGGGAAGCCCACTGGTTCAGCTCTGATGCCTCACATAGATGCTTTTAAGCAGTCCCTGCAGGAGAAAATGACAGAAATTGGGATAAGAAGTGGCTGGAAATATGATAGCTGCAAAAAAAATTTCCTGATCCAGGAGGTACGTTCCTTATAAAGTGAGGAGAGCAGTGAGGTTGGGCATGGCTTTCTTCCCAGGCCAGTTTTGTAGGTTGCCTGTCTGTTCCCTTGTTCCCTGGAGTATCCAGGGTCTGGGAGTACCTCCTAGGAGGCGCTGTGAAATACAGAACCCAGTGGGATGTGGGGACGGCAGTGGGCCTGACTGCCTTGGAGGAGGTGTGGGACATTTTGTTCCACTGTGAAGCAACTGAGAGTGCACGACAAGGTTGCAAAGTTGACTCAGTTTCCAGGAAGAATCTTTAAAGAAGCCTTAATTGTATGAAAATTTGCATCAACTGGAACCATTTTCACTAACCTATCATTTTTGCCAATGTTACAAAGTAGCATCCGATGCAGTGAAACTTAAAGAAGTCAATCCTTTTTGTTATTGTTGTTCAATTTTAGGTCAATTTTTAGTTTTGAGGCCTCAAGACTCTTGTCTGTGACCCACTTTCTTCCAGTGCCACCTCAAATTACATGGCAATGCTAGGGAAAGAGCTTGTATCTCCTCTGCCCCCCAGAGAGGGCCCATTCCAGGACGTTGCCTGTGCCTGAGTTCAACTCAGCAAATATTTATTGAGTAGTTTGTAGGTGCCAGGCACCATGGGAAGCACTTGGGGTATAAAGATGCTTAGAACAGAGTTCCTGCCTATGAGAAGCTCACAGCCTAGTTGTGGAGATGACAGACAAACAACTGGGCATCATATAAGGTGGAGGTGGAGGGAATGGTGGCCATGCACTGGGACACCTGACCTGCTTCCATTGAAGGAATTGTCACCAACGGCCTCTTTTGCCACATCTTCCCAGATAAGTGCCATCCTCGGGGGCCTGGAGGACCACATCCTCAGAAGGAAGAGGAGGATCTACGAGTCCCTCACTGCCTCTGTCCAGAGTGACCTGAAGCTCTGTTACGAAGGTGGGGGCTGCGGAGGACAGCATTTCTGCCTGCTCTGGGACTTTCTGTCAGCATCTTTCGCATCCTTTTCTGCGGCTCCCTCAAAGGCCCTGTTCTCTTGCACCCTAAGACTTTGCAGCACTCTCAGTCCACACATTGCAACCACATGACTGCAGGGTGTGAGGACCCTTCTCTGTGTGTTTTCCAGCTCTTTCTGTCTACCCTTGGTCCAGACACCCTGCTTTTTTGCATACAACATCCCAGCTGATTTAGCTGTAGAATCCAGTGTCCAGGTTCTCATTTTTGTTTCCAAGTATTCACAAATACTTGAACTCACTCACTTGTGAACTCATTTTCAGGCTCTTTCCTGTTTTGGTGGCTCTGTCGTTTGAGGGGTAGGGAGTGATTTTGCAAGTTTCAGCTTAATTCAGTCATTAGGTTTTCTGAATGCTGGTTATTATCTAAACATATAAAGTGTTATTTTTATATAAGTATATATATATTTGTTGTTGTTGTTTGTTTGTTTGCTTGGCTTGCTTTTCTTTCTAAGGCCAAAGGTTTCTTTTTTTGTTTGTTTTTTTGAGATGGAGTCTTGCTTTGTCACCCAGGCTGGAGTGCAGTGGCAGCGATCTCAGCTCACTCCAACCTCCGCCTCCTGGGTTGAAGCGATTCTCGTGCCTGAGCCTTCTAAGTAGGTGGGATTACAGGCGTGCACACGGTGCCCAGCTAATTTTTGTATTTTTAGTAGAGATGGGGGTTTCACCATGTTGGGCAGGCTGGTCTTGAACTCCTGACCTCAGCTGATCTGCCCACTTCAGCCTCCCAAAGCGCTGGGATTACAGGTGTGAGCCACCATGCCCGGCCATGGTGCCAAAGATTTCTAAGCAGGTCCTTGTCTTGGTGTGACTGTGGCTATCATTTTTGCCAGAGGCAGCTCAGATCACGGGCAAAAAAGCGTGTGAGCGGATGAAAGATGCCATCAGAAGAGGAGTGGACCGGCAGGTGGCTGAGGGCATGTTTGAAAGGGCCCAGGAAAGGATGCAGCACCAGTTTCAGCAGCTGAAGGTACTCTATGCCCACATCCTGGATCCTAGACCCCGAGAGGCTCCGGGGGAGGAGAGGAAGCGAGTGCAGAAGGTGGAAGGCATAGTAGGCATTTGGGTCCAAATGGAACAGATGCTTTCTGGGGCTTCGACTTGAGAGCTGCAGTCTTCCAACACTCTCTTGTGCCTCTCCTCTTTCCTGAGTCACCAGTAGCACAGAGACTGTAATAGCTAGACATGTGCTCAGCTATTTACATTAGCTCATTTAATCCCCAGCAAGTCTGTGAGGTAGGTACTATCATTGTTCCCATTTTATAGAGAAGAAACTTCTGGCAGCGGGAGATGTATCAACCAGCCACACAGCCAGGGAGATGCACAGCTGGGATTTGGGATTGGGAAGCCTGTCTCCAGCATGTCCAACAATAGCACGATCTCAAAACAGATTGTTTAGATAGGGAGATGTCTTGTCTACATAAAATGTCAGTAAGTAAATATCAATACACTACTCAAGGCCAGTCAGTTATGGTAACCAGCACACATTCAGCTTTAATTTTATCTACCCCCGAAGACAGTTCCTGATGGTTTCCTTGGGCCTAAATGCTTCTGCCAAGCCTACCTGGACCATCTTGCCTCTGCTCTGGGCCTCATGGCTTGCCACCCCCTTTCCCCCAAGTAGTAGAGATCCTTGAAGTCCATGCCACTGTGGGCTTCCTCCCTGGCCATGTGAGGCTCCACATTTTCTGCCTCAACCCAGGCTGGCTGATCCTGTCTCCCAAGCCCTCAGGGAAGCTGGCCTATTGCTATCTCAGTCCACCTCAGAACCAGCCTTCTTGAAACATCTCCAACCTGTTTCTGCCCAATCTCCTCTCCTCCACCGGGACTGCAGTTTTGGAAAATATCCTTCTTTACAATTCAAAGCATGTAATTCCCCTTGGAGTAGGCTAAGAGGCATCTTGTTCACTAGCAGCAGTTTAGTTTCAATCCTTTAACATGTTATCACCGTCTAAAAATTCATGGACAAGAAACTGGCCGAACTCCATAAAGCCAGTTCCCATTTCCCCATTGTGTACATAGACACTGGATCTTAAGACACCCAGGAAACTATGTCGCTTAAAAAATGTGTACGTTGACCATGTACAAATGTATCTGAAATGACAGAAACATAGGAAGTTAAAACTGGGCAAGACCATAGAGTGTTCCCATTCTGTGATTTTTTTTTTTTTTTTTAAAGAACGCCAGTTAACTTTTAGTTTTTTAAAATATTTTAGTTCTACACAATGGGTGAAATTTCTTTTTATACATAATGTTTGAAGATTTACTTTTTTTAAATTACCTCTTCGCAATAGTCCTGTAAATTAAAGAATGGAATAGTATTTTGTTGAATATACAGATTAGTCTCTGATATATTGATCGATAATGTGGCTTGCTGCTTCGTTTTCACTCTAGCGTGAGGTGACTCCTTCTTGTGGTTTAGGAGCTGTGAATCTCTCGTTCCCTGATCTTAAAGATGAGGAAGCTGGAACCTAGAGGCCTTGAGTTACAGGTTCCAGGTCCATGGCTAGAGCTGAGATGTATGCTTAGGGCTCTTGATCTAGAATCTAGAACGTTAAAGAAAAAGCGTAGGAGATCCAGCTTCAAAACTAGACTCTGCCAGGCTAGAGGAAGGAGCCTGACATTTTTTTCAAAGGGAGGCAGAAACAGAAGAGGGAAGAAAGGGGTTTTAGTTGATAAAAGGACTAAGAGTAGCAAGAAGACACTTCTCAGGCAGTTGGGAAGAATCAGACATGTACAGTAAGGTGAGTGGCACAAAGCAAGTGTGCAGCAAACATCTCCCCAGTGAGCAGATGCATGGACGAGAGGATGGTGGGAAAGTGACCAGCTCTTTCCCTCTTTTTCCATCTCTGTGATTGCCATTCTCTCCGCCATGCCTTCATGCTTCCCCATTAGCTCCTGATTTGATCAGCTGGCACCAGAGCTGCAGCCCCCCACGAGCCTGTAGGTGGGGAGGGAGATGCTGTACAGATGGGAGCCCACAGAAATGTTGTCTTGCTGCCTCCTGGGCCATTTGGTGTCCTTGAAAATGTTTCACCGTTTTGCAACTGGGTTGCAAAGCCTGACTTTGGCAACCCCAGTCTGTACCTTCCGTGGCTGGGGGACTGGGTGGGGTCCCTTTTATAAGATCCACTTTTCCTTGGGCTGCACCATCCTAACAGACTGAATGTCCTTGTTGCATAGACTGGAATCGTGGAGAAGGTGAAGGGCAGCATCACCACTATGCTGGCCCTTGCTTCGTCCCAGGGGGATGGCCTCTACAAGGAGCTTGCAGGTAAATACGCCAAAGCTTTGTATACAGGGTGATTGTGCAGACAGCCCTGGCTGTGGTTACTCCTTCCTGAATTTAAAGGTATTAAACTTTAAATTTTAGGAATTTAAGTTAGGAAGTTAGGAAGAATTAGCAGGGCAAGGAATGGAGATGATGACGATGATGATGGTGATGATGATGATGATGATGATGATGATGATGAAAACAACAGCCCTACCCTTTGCCCAGCACCCAACTGACAGCAAGCATTATACTCAGGCTTTGTGCTCATGGTTTCACTGAATTCTCACATTACCTCCCAGGGATAGATGTTGTTGCTCCATTTTGCAGATGCAGAAATAGAGACTTATATTAGGAAATGTGCCCAAGGTCCCATAGCTGGAAAGCGGCTAATTTAAATCCACAGCTCTGCCCTGCTCTCTCCATAAAGTCTTTCTTTTAAGTTGATGCCTCCTTAAGAAAAATTTCATGGTCTGGTGATGGTGGAGAAAGGCTTCTCTTAATCCACCTATAGCCTGGGGATGCGGCCCCAGCTGTGGACCTTGGTGTAGGCAACCATGTCCCTTTCAGGCCATGGGCTCCATCAGGCCCCCGGTATAAACTGGAGAGGGTAACCTGGTACAAACAGCAATTAAGTAATTTCTAGCCAAATTTAAAATGCACATATCATTTGGCGCAGCAACCCTACAGATATCCTTATATGGGGGGAGGGTGGCATATAGACAAGGTTATTCAGGGTAACATTCTAAAGTCAGAAATGGGGACAACTCAAATATCTGTAAGTAAAGCACTGCTCAAATTAAATTAGATACACAAGGAGTGGAGGACTGTGTAACTGTTAGAAAAAATAAAGCAGCTTTATAGGTAGTGGCATGAAATGATCTCCAAAATATATTACAAAGTGGAAAACAGCAAAGTGAGTAAATGTATATGGTATGTTGCCATTTGTGAGAGGGGAAAAAAGGAAATACATATGTATATGTTTGTATGTGCATAAAAATCTCCATGGGCTACATAGAACACTGGCAGTACTCGTTGCCTCTAAGGAGGGGAACTGGAAGGCTGGAGGGTAGGAGAGGGTGGGAGCCTTGCTCTGCACCCTGTATATTTTGTGCCTTTTATATTTTATACCACATCCATAGTTGCCTGCTGCAATGAACAGATCTGATGCCATTTGAGTTTGCCAGGGTGAAAGTAGACAGAGCTGTTCCCAAAGTCAAAGCCACAATGGCTGCTTCTAACAATCCGTTCTGCACTTCTCCATCTCTCTGGGAATCTTTATGACCCATTTATGGCTGGTTAGATGGACCTCTAACCTGATCTAACGGACTCCAGGGAAGGAGATACAACACCCTCACACTATAATGTACTGGACTCTCATGACCTTCTGTCCAGGCCTTTATAGGAATCTAAGTTTTAAGATGATAGTCATTCCAATGTGCCTGCTTTAAAGAACTCCCGCTTGCCAGAGATCTTGACCAGCTTCAGTGAAGCTTCCCCGCATCCCAGCCCTGAATAACCACTCTGTCTCTGAACTTCAAGAATTATAGCAGGTGCACTTGACAGATGGTGCTCCCCTCAGTTTGATGTCAAGTGCAACTGCTATAATTTAAGCCTATTTCCTTCTCTTCACCATCGACAGCAAATATACATCATGTCAGGGGGTCATACTTTATAAAGAAATCTAAAAGGCAGTCCCTGTTGTCAGGGCCTTACCTGGTTGGTAAGACAAGATGTGTAAGAATGTGCGTTGTAAGACTGGGGAGTTTACATTCACTCAGCAAGCGATTCTGATCACGTCCTGGGTGCCAGGCAGTGTTCTGGGTGCTGAGGACACAGTGGTGGCCAATACAGGCAAGAGTCCCCACCTTCATGGAGCTCACAGCCCAGTGGGTGGAAGGCAGGCAGTCAGCAAACTAATAAGTGAAATATGTGGCAGGGAAGCGAAACACAGAAAGGGAAGAAGGGATGCTGAGGTACGGGACAGGGTGGTGGGACAGGGTGGTAAAGGAAGGTCTCCCTGGGAATGTGACACTTAAGCAAAGCCCTGAGGGAGGGAACCCACTCAGACTTCAGATCGTTATTCTTGAAGTTCAGAGACAGAGTGGTTATTCAGGGCTGGGACGCGGGGAAGCGTCACTGAAGCTGGGTCCTGGGGGAAGCCTCAAAGGTTAGGTTGATTTCAGAGGCAGTGGGGAGAAGGGAGGCCTTCCAGATATGGGACAGAACAAAAAGACTCCGGGTCCTAACTCCCCTCTGCTCATGAGTCCCATCCCTGGCCAGGCTCAGGGCCAACTAACCTGAGTCACCCTCGGGCACAGAAAGCCAAGGGGGATTAGAAAGGCATTCAGGGCTCAGTCTGAAGTGTCCCTTCAAAGGGGACTGCAATTAGTCAGCGTCCTCCAGATAAACAGAACCAGTAGGATGTGTGGATAGATAGAGGAAGAGATTTATTTTAAGAAGTTGGCCCACACGATGGTGGAGGCTTGGTGAGCCCAAAATCTGATGCAGGGAGGCCCACAGGACAGAGACTCCAGAAAGAGAGGCAGTTCGAGTCCAGAGGCCATCCCTGCAGAACCAGGCAGAGTCGATGTTGCAGACAAAGGCCCAACCAAGGCTTGGCCGGGCACGGTGGCTCATGCCTGTAATCCCAACACTTTGGGAGGCCGAGGCGGGTGTATCAACTGAGGTCAAGAGTTCGAGACCAGCCTGGCCAACGTGGTGAAACCCTGTCTCTACTAAAAATACAAAAAAAAAAAAAAAAAAAAAGAAAGAATTTAGCTAGGCGAGGTGGTGGGTGCCTGTAATCCCAGCTAGTTGGGTGTCTGAGGCAGAAGCACTTGAGCCTGGGAGGCAGAGGTTGCAGTGAGTCAAGATCATGCCATTGTACTGCAGACTTGGTGACAAGAGCAAAACTCCATGTCAAAGGCCCAAGGCTGTCACTGGAGCATCCCTGTTAAATGTGAATCTCATCCAAAAACACCCTCCCAGAGGCATCCAGACTCACGTTTAATCCGGTTTCTGGGCCCTGTGACCTAAACAAGTTGACACATAAAACTAACCATTGTGAGAACATGGTTTGATTACAGATCATGGGATTAAAACCTGAGATGCCAGAAAGAGAACATTCACTGAGAATGGGTTGTGCTGGGAGGATAGGGATTGGGGTGGGGGGAAGAGGGGGAGCCGCCTGGAGAGGAATTAGAGGAGGTGTTATTGTGCAACATGCTTTGTATATCACACACCTGTGAAGCCTTAATACAGACCCAGTGACTTCTCAGGGTTTTTCTTATGGGTAGGTTTGGGTTTCTTTTGAGGGTGACCCCATGCTGAGAAAGCTTTCTGGTAAGAGGAGGAACACCTGCTTTGATGTCTGATCTGTAAGCACCACTCCAGATCTCATATTCTGGGACAAGTGACAGGATTGTTGGGGGATTTGCTTTCTGGAGACGTTTCTGCAACGGACACCAAGTCCTGATGTGAGCTTTCTGCTCTCCTGTAGATGTCGGGAGTGAATACAAGGAGATGGAGAAGCTGCACAGAAGCCTGAGGGAGGTCGCGGAGAATGCACGGCTGAGGAAGGGCATGCAAGAATTCCTCCTAAGGGCATCCCCCAGCAAGGCTGGCCCCCCCGGGACATCACTGTAACTCCTGGGGCTTAGTCCCAATGGATGAAAAATCAGCCCAGAGCCAGAGAATTAGAATTACTTTTTTTGTTCTTAAGAGACAAGATCTATCTACCTCTGTTGCCCAGGCTGGAGTGCAGTGGCACCATCACAGCTCACTG
Source organism: Homo sapiens (assembly GCF_000001405.40). Lineage (NCBI taxonomy): Eukaryota > Metazoa > Chordata > Mammalia > Primates > Hominidae > Homo > Homo sapiens. The sequence continues at coordinate 28,023,177 of NC_000008.11, read as the reverse complement.
CAGCCTCGAACTCCTAGGCTCAAGCGATCCTCCAGCCTCAGCCTCCAGAGCAGCTGGGGCTACAGGTACAGGCCACCACACCTGGGTAATTTTTTTTTTTTTTTTTTTGAGACAGAGTCTCGCTGTGTCACCCAGGCTGGAATGCAGTGGTGCAATCTCGGCTCACTGCAACCTCCACCTCCTGGGTTCAAGAAATTCTCTGCCTCAGCCTCCCAAGTAGCTGGGATTATAGGCGACTGCCACCACACCCGGTTAATTTTTATATTTTTAGTAGAGACGGGGTTTCATCATCTTGGCCAGGCTGGTCCTGAACTCCTGACCTCGTGATCCACCCATCTCTGCCTCCCAAAGTGCTGGGATTACGGGCATGAGCCACCGTGCCCGGCCCATACCTGGGTAATTTTTTAATTTTTTGTGGAGATGGCATCTTGCTCTGTTGCCCAGGGTGGTCTCAAACTCCTGGCCTCAAGTGATTCTCTCCCACCTCAGTCTCTTGTGCTAGGATTGCAGGCATGAGCCATTGTGCCTGGCTCAGAATTCTTTCTGTTTTGTGAAATCTAATAGAGGACATTTCTCAACTATTTGGACTTTGCATGCAATATAAAACTAGTATGTTTACTGCATTTTATTTTATAGCCCCAAAGAGTCATCTTCAATACCTAATGGAGTTCTAAAGCTTTAGGGCAAGAAACTTTTGCTTCCGCAAAAACATCTAAACATCGCTGGGCATGGTGGCTCACTCCCGTAATCCCAGCACTTTGGGAGGCTGAGGCGGGCGGATCATGAGGTCAGGAGATTGAGACCATCCTGGCTAACACAGTGAAACCCCATCTCTACTAAAAATACAAAAAATTAGCCAGGCGTGGTAGCATGTGCCTATAGTCCCAGCTACTTGGGAGGCTGAGGCAGGAGAATCGCTTGAACCCAGGAGGCATAGGTTGCAGTGAGCCAAGGTCGCGCCACTGCACTCCAGCCTGGACGACGGAGTGAGACTATGTCTCAAAAAAAAAAAAAAAAAAAGAAAAAGAAAAAAATATATATATATACACACACACACCCATACATAAAAAAACTTAAACATTATAGAAAAAACATTGCACGATATAAAACAAGCCATAAAAAGAAATTCATCCTTCAATAAAGAAAAATATCTAAACGTTGAAAAACTTAAGTATTATGGAAAACATTGCAAAATAAAGCTTTTAGGAATCCAATTCTGTTTTTTATTTTAGTACTGATGAGACTTTGGGTAAGGAGGCAACATCGTATCCTGGAAACAAAATGGGTTTGGGAGCCAGATGAACATAGACCCGGCTTCATCACTTCTCAGATGTGTTATCTAAGGCCAGCACTTCCTAAACATTTTGATCTCAGGACTCTTCACTTTTAAAGGACGCTGAGGAGCCTTTGTTTATGTGGGTTATGTCTGATGATATTGACTATTCGAAATTAAATAGGAGAAAATGTAAGTAATTATTTACTAACTTTTTTAGAAGTAACAATAATAAACCCATTACGTGTTAACAAAAATAACCCATTGTTATGTAAAAAGCTATTTAAAAAAAAGGTACTGAGAAGAGTAACATTGTTTTACACTTTTGCAAATCTCTTTATTCCCTGGCTTAATAGAACACAGCTGGATTCTCATATCAGTTTCTTCATCTACTCTGTTGCAATATATTGTTTTGGTTGATGTATATGAAAAAAATTCAGTCTCACACAGATATACAGTTGGAATACAAGGAAGTATTTTAATAGCTTTTTCAGGTAATTTTGGGATATATTTTGATTCTACAAAGGCAGATGGCAGTTTCTTAAAAGTTAATTGTGGTGTGGATCTGAAAGCATTATCAGTGAACATTTTTCAAATGCTATTACATTAAAGTGCACTGGTTGATTTTGTACTTTGAATGATTTTTTTTACTAATGCATGATTTTGTGATATCAGGCATTGCTCATCTTGAAAATATTTATTCGCTGAGTTAAGCAAATATTCCAAGTGTTGATGCATTTTATTGTATACTACCATGAAATCATTTTGTTAGTGTCTTCACCAATCTCATCAGGAAAGTATTGCAGTATTGGGAAGCTGTCAAGCTCACAGTGAAAAATATGTTTTACAAAATTCCATCTCCCCCCCAAAAGCTCATCTTATCATTGATGACAAATGTTGTCAGTTGCTTTCTTTGAAGTGATAGATTCACTTTCCTCATTTTTAGGAAAGTGTTTACTATATAACTGTATATGATGAACTATAGTTTGTCAGTCATTATTTCAAATAAAAATGATGTTCCAAGAAAAAAGTGTCAAGTTCAGCCTGAAACTCAGACACTCAAGGAAATGCTTTTCTTTGCAGAAGTGCTTTAAGTGTATTTCCCATTTTGTCCCACAGAATAATAAAATGACATCTACATAGATGTCCATAATTAATACAATTAATAACATACTGTTTCATTTAGAACATTTTAAAGTCCAACTGGCTTTTTAAAAGCCCTGAAAGTTCATGACGGTGAAAAATACAAGAGTTTTGAATGTAGTTTGGTGCCACTGCTTTGGTTCATGCCAAGGTGCAAGTTGTTTTACCCATCTTTGCTTTTACACCTTTAGTACAAGTGTGAACATGGTAGAAAAGGAAAATAACATCTTAGTATTATTATAAAAACAGTTTAACCCAGCAGACCCCACAGAAGAGTTTCAGGGACCATATTTGAGAACAGCTGTCTTAGACAAATCATTTAAACCCCCTGAGCTTCAGGTAATTTATCTGTAAAATGGTGACAATGGTAGTACCTACCCTGATACTGCTAGGGTTGTCAGGAAGTTTAGGATAATGCTTACAAAATATGGACACATTGTACTTAATAGTACTTGATAAATGGTCACTATTGTTTATGGGCAGAATGGAAATAACATGGTTCAGTGGCTTGTCTGTTGGGAAACTTGGGTTCTGATCCCAGCTCTGACCAATACTAATATGACAATTCCTTAACACCTCTGAGATTTTATTTCCTCATATACAAAAGGAAAGAGAGGAACTGGATGATTAAAACATCTTTTGCTCCTTTGAAATTCTAGGATTTTAAATTCTTTTCTTTTTGTTATAATACCTTTTGCCTAAGTAGGAGAAAAAGGGATTTAGCCATGTGGTTATGTCTCAGTGGTTCATTTTCACATTAAACTTCTAAACACATAGCGTTCTATTGCAGTTTGTATAGTTCACTTTTCATATTTCACGAGAGGGATGTAGAGGACTTCCACCTCCAGCCATGGTGGAGTAACAGGACCAGATTTACCCTCTGGTTAAACAACAACAACAACAACAAACAAACAAAAATTATGAAACAGCAATTTTTAGATATGGGAAAATAGTGCAACACAGTCACCCCTGAAAGAAGGGAGGGAGATAAGGTGAGGCCTACAATGCTTTATCTTATGACTTGGTTGAGTTTCCAGACCACAGCACAGGAAAGGGAAGCCCCAAAGGAACTGAGTGTTCTCCCTGAGTTGAGGGGACAGAGATCAGAGTTTGAAGAGTCCAAGGTGATTAGAATTCACAGGGAAGATTACCATGGAGAAGAGAGCAGGACAGAGAGCTCCAGAGATGTGAAGTGGGTCTCCTTTGATTCTTTATCTGAGTACTGATAAGCATATGCCTGTGAGGAAACTACCAAAAATGAGGAAAGAACCCCTGGAATGAAGCCAGCAGAAAAGTCCGCAAAGCTCAGTTCAAGCTAGGTTAGCCATAGTGGAAGACCTTACACCTGAAGCATCGAGTAGACTGATCAGAAGAATATTGCCTTAGTAGTGGGGTCAAAATAGTCCTCAGTGAAAGGCTGTTAGGCATCCACCTAATAAAGGTTTTAAAAAAACTTCAGAAGAATCATACTGTTTCCAAGTAACTTAACTGCATCCCAGAAGAAAACATGAAAACATTTAGGCATAAAAAATTCCAGCGCTCAACAATGGAAAATTGACAATGTATGGCATCAAAACAAAAACTTCCAGGCATATGAAGAAGCAGGAAAATATGAACAATAATGAGAAAAATCAATAGAAATAGACCCAGAAATAACTCAGGTGATAGAGTTAGTAGACAAGGTTATTAAAATTGCTATAAGAAATTTACTCCAGATGCTCAAGAAGATAGAATAAAGCATAAACACAATGAGAAGAGACATGGAAGAAATTCAAGACTCAAATAGAACTTGGAGAGATTTAAAAAGTCTCAGTGTCTATATGGGATTAACAGCAGACTAGGTAGGGTAGAAGAAAGGATAAGTAAACTCAAAGACAGAGCAATAGAACTTACCCAAAATGAAACACAAGGAGGAAAAAAATGAACAGTGCATCAATAAAACATCGAGCACCCTAAAATATACATTACTAGAACCACAGAAGAACAGTAAAGATGTGGGGATATAGGAAAAAATATTTAAGAGAATAATGTCTGAGGTTTTTCCAAACTTGATAAAAATTATAAACCCACAGATCCAAAATGCTCAATGACTCTGAAGCAAAAGAAAAATAAGAAAAAATACACCAAAACACATCATAATCAAATTGCTGAAAACCAGTGATGAAAAGAAAATCTTAAAACCAGCTGGGTGTGTTAGGGGTGAAGGGGAGGCTGCAAAGGCAGTGGTGGATAATACATCCAAAGGAATAAAAACAATGACAGCAGACTTGTAAGCAGATGACAAGTGGATAATACATCCAAACGAATAAAAACAATGACAGCAGAAACGATGTAAGCCAAAAGTCCGTGGAGCAACCTTTTTAAAAATTGAAGGAAAAAAATGTTCATCTAGCAAAAAACATTTTCCAAAAATGAAGTGAAATAGACTTTTCAGACATACCAAAGCAAGTACCAAAATTAGTAAATATGTGGGCAAATATAAAATACTTTTTCTTATTTTTCTCAAATCTATTTAAAAGGTAGTTTAAAACAAAACCAATAACAATACATTGTGGAGTTTATAGCATGTAGAATTTAAATGTATGACAAAAGCACAAAGGGCAGGAAGGGAGAAATGGAAGCATGTTGTTGCAAGATTTTTATACAATATACACAGTTATATAATGTATAAGGTAAACTGTGGTAAGCTAAAGATATACACTAGAAACCCTAGAGCAACCACTAGAAAAACAAGAGAGTTATATCTAGCAAACAACTTAAAGAGATAAAATGTATATTTAAAATGCTCAAATAATCCAAGAAAGGAAAGAATAGGAAATAAACAAACGATAGAAGGTACAAACAGAAAACAAATAGCCAGATAGTAGATTTAAATCCAATCATATAAACACATTAAATGTAAATGGTGTAAAACACTAATTAAATAAGGCAGAGGTTACCAAGTTAGATTTTTTAAAAAGAAGCCCTCAGTATATGTTGTCTGGTAGAAACCCACTTTAAATATAAAGACATAAATATGTTAAAAGTAAAAGGATGGAAGATAGATATTTGTAAATACTAATCTAAAGACAGAGTTTCTATATCAATATTAGACAAAGTAAATTTCAGAGCAAGGAATATTACTAATGATAAGGAGGATCATCACTGCATAGTGATAAAGTGGTTAATTCATCAAGAGGACATAATAATCCTAGTTATGCACCTAATAAGTTTCAAAATGCACAAAGCAAAAGCTAATAAAACTCAAAGGAGAAATAGCCAAATCCATAATTATAGTTGGAAATCTCAATACCCGCTCTTGATAACTGATAGAACAAGTAGAAAAACTCAGTAAGGATATTAAAGAATTGAACAGTGTATCAACTAACTTTACCTAATTGAGACTTATAGAATACTCTGTAATCAACATCAGAGTGCACATTAATTTCTAGTGTACATGGAACATTTACCAAGATAGACCATATCCTGAGTCATAAAATAAGTCTCAATAAATTTTAAAATATGGAACTCATACAGAGTATGTTCTCTGACCACAGTGGAATTAAATTAGAAGTCAATAACAAAAAGAAATCTGGAAAAGTCTTCAAATATTTGGAAACCAAACAACACACTTCTAAATAACCCGTGAGACAAGTGAGGGCTGTGGACTAAGATCGTGTTAGATTTATATCTCTCTGCTCCAAATCTTAGTTTTCACCAAATAAAATTACCTCCTTGGTATCGGAAGCCAAGGAGTTAACTCCAGCCAGAGCTTAGAAAGTCAGAGCTGGCACTGGCAGTGGGGCTGTGTGTTAACTGCCTGAAGAATGCAACGCAGAGCTGTCAGTCAGGAAGGCTGCACTGGCAGAGTGGAGCAAAAGGGGAAGAACCTGGGGCAACATCTTGAGTCCTGGTGAGAGGCTTCAGGCTGATACTGACATAAATCCAGGACAGAAATTCAGACCAATGCAATAAAAGAAGAAAAACCTCAAAAGCCAAGGGTAGAATCAAGAGGATTCAGGAACCAGAAGCAGGAGATTCAGGATAAAGGGCTGCTGGATCAATAGGTTAAAATTGCGAGCAAAAGTCTTTTGTTGTGATCCTTAATGTGCCCCAAGGGCTCCGTGGTGAGTTTGAAGTCCTAGCAGGTTCATCTTCCCAGGAAAGAGGGGTGGACTGGCTAGAGTGAGAGAAGGTTGGGAGGTGGGCAGGATTGTGCCAGGGAAAACAATGTTTTTTTGAAACACAGCTCTAAATGACTACACAGTATTTTCCTATATACACGTGTTATTTATTTATCCTTTGTGCTATTTTTGGACACTTAAATCATGCTGTTTTTCTCCATTGTAAATAACATCATAGAGAATATGCTTAGATATAAATCTCTGTCCCTAGCTCTGATTTTTTTTTCTTTTGGATAAGTTTTTAAGAATTCTATTACAAGGTCTGAGTCTAAAAGCATTTTAAAGTCTCAAGTTGTTTTTCAGAAACACTGTCCATTTACGAGCAGGGACGAGAGTTCCTGTGTCACTGATTCCTCACCAAAAGTGGTTGTTATCCTTTTCTGCAGTAGGTTAATGGGATGAGATTTTAAAAAGTACCACCTTGCACTACTTGGTTTGTTAGTGGTGTTGAACATTTTTCCTATTATTTGAATTGCTTCTATTTACTTCTTTTTTTTTTTTTTTTAACTCCTCTAGTTTCTATATGAATTGCTTCTATTTAAAGGGTCCTTCCATGATCTTTTCTTTTGGAGTTCCCCATCACTTTCTTTTGATATTTTTCTTTTTTCTTCAAAAGAATTTCAAACTTACAGAAAAGTTGCAATAATAGTACAAAGAACTCCTACAGACACTGTATCAACTTGTTGACATTTTGCTACATTTGCTTTGCTGTATCATTCTTTGCCTGTCCGTGTGTGTCTATTTGTGCATACTTTTTGTGCATACTTTTTCTGAATGATTTCAAAGTAGGTTGCATATGTCATGTTCCTTTATCCCTTAATGTTTTTGGGTATTCCCCAAAAACAAGTACACTTTCTCACATAACCCTAGTATGATGATCAAATTCAGAAAATTCAACATTGATTATGGGTAAGATACTATCATTTTATCTATAATCTGCATTCAAATATCATCGGTTGCCCTAGTTATAGCCGGTATTGCCAACATTTTCCAGTAGAGTATCCAGCCCAGGATGCTGTGTTACATGTATTTATCACGTCTCTTTGATTCCTTTAATCTAGAACATTTCCTCAGCCTTTCCTTACCTTTCATAACATGGACATTTTTGAGAGGTACAGGCCAGCTGTTTTATAATATGTGGGTTTGTCTGATGTCTCTTCGTGATTGGGTTTAGACTATGCATCTTTGGCTAAAACAACCTCATCAGTGCCCCCTGTCCCTTTTTCATAAGAATAATAATAAAAAAACACTGACAGCTTGACAATGAGGGAGGAAACTAGAAACTAAAGACCCACACGGTCTATCGTGGGTGCAGAGAAGAGTCCCTCACTTTCTGCCCTGAGGGGTGATCTTTTGTAGCCCAGGAGGTGAGTATGCAGGGCAGGGAGGTTGAGGACAATCAGTGACAAGTCTCTCAGCCATTTGGCCTGGAATATCGCCTGTTTATGGCTTCCAGGGGTCAGGGTGGCACGACCAAAGATATTTTTTAAGTGTGGGTGGAGGAGGGGAGAAATGGGGTTGACGCTTAACTGCATTTCAGCCTGTGGCAATCAGGAAGCAAATACCTTCCCATCTCAAGCTTCTCTGTCTCCCTAGTCTGGCTGAACCACCGAAGGGCCAGGTGGCTGTTTCCCTGCACAGCAGGGGAGGACAAGAGCCTGGGCCCTTGTGGCTAAGGAGAGGAATCTCCCAGGCTGAGACCTTCCAAGGCTATCTTTCTCCTGACCGCTCACTGTCTCTGCTCCTAACAGCCCCTCTGCAGGTCTCCTGCCCGGGATCCCCACGCCCCTTGCTTTGGGAACTCTACCCTTCTCCATCTGTCAGTGGAAAACTCCAGAGCTCAGGCTTTGGCCAAAAATCAGTGGAGACCCTCCTCTGTCCAGGTTTGTCAACTCTGACATGGGAGAAATGGACTCTAATCCCATGGCTTCAGCATCTCCAGCAAGAACTGTGGCTTTGTAGGTTATCTGTGGGCAAGCACATCTCTCCAAAGCAATTATTATTATCATTTAGGACACAACACTGCCTCGTCCTGTATGAGGAGGGCTTACTCTTGGACCCTGTTTCTCGGCATGATCCTGCTAAGGGGCCTCTTCTCCACCCTGTTCCGGGCTGATATCACTAAAGCCACCACTTAAACAGAGATGGGCCCTGTCTTATCCATCTCCACGGGGTGGTGCAGCTTAGATAAATAACAGCTTAGAGTAGCTCCTTTCTGATCCCCGGTCTCTCCCTTGGGAGATGCCACTTTCATCCTGCACAAGTACCTTACAATCATCATAAATGGTGACTCTTGCTCATTTCCAATGTTAAATTATAACCAATAAGCTCTGCTTAAGAAAGGAGAGGAATGATCCTTGTTGAGGACACATCATCCAAAGTGTAATAATAAAAAGCACCAGATGACATGAAGGAATGTGTTGTCTGTGGAGCATGGCTGTAAGGCTGGTTAATTGAAGTGTTATTATATTATTAAAATACAACATCAGCATCTCCATGCCAAGGAGAGCATTGAAAAGAGCGCCATGTTATCATTTGCTCTGAAGGCATCATACCATGTGCAGGCAGCGTTAGCAGCTGACCTTGGGTTCTTCCTTCATTCCTTTTCCCTTTCTTTCCATTCCAATTGAACTGCCCAGAATAAGATGAGTTTGTGTCTTTTTCTTCTGTCTGAGTACCACCCCATAACTCAATACACCCCACTTATCTCAACCACATACTGTGATCTGATTAGGGACAAAGAGAAAATTGATATTGATCTCTGAAATCTGGATGGGACGGCATTCTAGATACCCTCTATGATCAAAACCATGTTAAGTCTATATTTTCAAATCTTGCTGCATTGTGTCTGCATTCTAGATACCCTCTATGATCAAAACCATGTTAAGTCTATATTTTCAAATCTTGCTGCATTGTGTCTATAAAAGTTCTTTCTTTTATTTTTCCCTCTGGAAGAAACGTGGATTCTTGATGCTGGAAAGAGGACAGACAAGTTGACGGGTTATATGGCCATGAGCTTTTGTTATGGCACCACTGGGGAGGAAAGGCAGATGTTGCCTCAAGCTAGAAGACAAGAAAAGGCCCTGTTTAGCTGGTAGGGAGGAAGCTGTCACTGCTGCCTGAGACTCAGGGCCCAAGGCAACTGCTTCCTCTCTCTCACTGTCTCTCTCTCCTTGCCCCTTCCCCCCTCCCATTTTTTCCTTCCTTCTCATTCTCCCTCCCCCTCTCTCTTCCCCATGTCTCCCTTTCTCTCTCCCTCTCCCTCTTTTCCCTCTTTGCCCTCTCTCTTCCCCCTCTCTCCCTCCCTGTCTCTCTCTTTCCTTCTGTCCTTGCTCCCTCTCTTCCTCCTCTTTCCCTCATTTCTCTTTCTCCCTCTCCTTCCCCATCTCTCCCTCTCCCTCTCTCTTCCCTCTTTGCCCTCTCTCTTCCCCCTCTCTCCCTCCCTGTCTGTCTCTTTCCCTCTGTCCATGCTCCCTCTCTTCCCTCTCTTTCCCCCCTTCTTTCTCTATCTTTCTCCCTCTCTCTTCCCCATCTCTCCCTTTCTCTCTCCCTCTCTCTTCCCTCTTTGCCCTCTCTCTTGCCCTTTTCTCCCTCCTTCTTTCTCTTTTCTTCCTTCTCTCTCTCCCCCCATCCTTTCTCTTTCTCTCCCTCTCTCTCCTGTCTCTCTCTTTGCCCTCTCTCTTCCCTTCCCCTCTTTCTCTTTTCCTTCTCCATCCCTCCCTCCCTCTCTCACTTTCTCTCTCTCTCTGTCTCAGAGAAATCAAAACCTGTGGTAAAAGAAAGAAGTTTATAAAAACCTGGTAGAATTGTTGAAAACTCTGGAACTACTAGTGTCTTAGAAAGAGTTCAAGATGAGTTAAAGATTCCTACTCAAGCCCAGTTGGGTGGAGCCAACATCAGAAAGCAGGGATTGATGACAATGGAGGATTGTGCTTAGCCACACATTTCTTTACACCTCACTGAGACTGCTCCATTCTTATAATTTTGATAATGGCATTTATTTGCTGTATTTGTGTGTATCTTAGGGCATAGTTCTCAACCTCGGTTGCACTTTTAAAGCAGTTGGGAAGCTTTTTGAAATCCTCATGCCCAAGTGGATCCCACTCCAGACACCAATATCAGAATCTCTGGGAGTAGAGCTCAGACTTAGAGTATTTTTTTTTTAATCACTGCTTTATTGTAACATAAATTCAAGTTCTAGAACCCCATGTGTTCTATGCTTTGGAGACCTTATAATTCAGAACCCTAAAACTTGAGAAGTTCTCCTATAAGCAGCAGACTGTGTATGTGGATCAGGGATGTGCAGTTACGTTTTTAACAGCCCACTGAGAACAGAGAGACACTGAGCACTTCCATCCTTATGGGCAACCTTTCAGGCCATGAGAGAAGAGAGAGCAGTCGGTGCCCAGGCAGGGTGGGGCATAAAAGCAGAGAGAATGGAGAGGTGGGAAGAAGGAAAATGGGACAAAAGAGAAACACCCAGCTGGAGAATTTCCCTCAAGCCACCTTAACCCAGCACTCACCTTTCACTGGTTCTGAAACTGCCTTTGCAAAATTATAACTGAGGGAATTATGACAGTGAAAGAAATCAGACCTAACCAACTCTTTCTTGCTTCTAACTGTTAAGCTGTCCTTGTTCATTCCTGGGCATAGGCTGAACTAACTTTGGGAAGGAATTTAGTTCATGGTTTGACTGTGAAACAAAACTGCTAACAGCCCTTTCCTGAAAAGACCCTCTTCTTGCCTGGGGTCCAGTCTGCCTTTGCAGGACTAACACATTAGCTACAAGATTAGAAATTACCATGTGGGGGTCATGCAGCCTCTGGCTCCAAGAGTCTGAACCTCCCCAAATTGCTCCTGGGGATAACAACACTATTGTAAAAACCTAAGATCAGTGCCTGAGATATTTTGCAAACCCTGCACTCGATGGATCAGTTGACACCACCCAGACCAGTAATCTGGTCCAAACCAGTTCTGCCATCGCACCCAGGAACAGAAGACATTAAGAAAACCTCACTTTCACTCCCTATGATTCCATTTCCAACCTGACCAATCAGCACTCCCCACTTCCCAAGCCCTTACCCACTAAATTATCTTTAAAAACTCTGACCCCTGAATGCTCAGGGAGACTGATTTGAGCAATAATCAAACTTTGGTCTACCACACAGCTGGCTCTGTGTGGATTACTCTTTCTTTATTGCAGTTCCCCTGTCTTGATAAACTGGTTCTGTCTAGGCAGTGGGCAAGGTAAACCCATTGGGTGGTTACAGTTCAAAATCTCTCCTCAAAGGTTAACCCTGAAGCAGTTTCCAGTGATGGAGGCTGAGGCTAGGCTTGGCTCAGGCTTTCTTAGAGATTGAAGTGGAAGCAGAGAGAGGGGACACGGCGGCCTTTGCTCTGCCCCACAGACCTTCAGAGAAGTGGGGCACCCCTGGTGCCCCTGCCCATCCCTCCTCCATCACTAGCTACTGGCAAGAGGCCTCCTCTTTTCCCTTCCTCTTACCTAGTTACCAACTTCATACCTAGTCAGCAAACCTTTAATTTAAATTCTCTCTGTTAAAATAACTGGTGAGATTTATGTCTCCCCGGTGACACTGACTGATTCCTTGGGTAACTGGGGCAGGCAGGAGATTTGGCATAGGAGGGAGGTTGATGGGTGTGGCCCCACCCCCATGGCCTGATGGGAAGACACCCTGTAACCACCTGATGGGTTCTTCCTGCCTGCTGCGCAAACAAAGACCACAGCATTGCAGTAGAAAAAGAGTTAATTGACACGAGGCTGGGCATGCCACATGGGAGATGGCGTTATTCCTCAAATGAATCTCATCTCATGGAAGGCTTGTAGTTTAGGAGTTTTTAAGGACTGTTTGAGTGTAGGAGTGGGGGTGGCTAGGCAATGGGTGCTTGCTGCTGATTGGTTGGGACAGAGATGAAATCATAGGGGGTCAAAGCTGTCCTCTTGAGCTGAATTGCTCCTGGGTGGGGTCACAGGAGCCATTGGTTGGTGGGTCCAAGTAGAACCATGGGTGTCAGACATGTAAAAAACCTGAAAAGATATCTCAAAAGGCCAGTCTACAGGAGTGACACTATCTGTAGCACCTCTGGAATAATGGTTGAGAATCATTTATGTCTACACCTTGGCAGAATTCAGGCTCATCTCTTTGCCCTAGCTTGGTGGTCTCTCATTAGCTTTTCAAAGGCTGTCGAGTTTGGGAGGAGGGCTATTATTTAGGGCTATTATTTAAACTATAACCTAAATGTCTTCCAAAGTTAGCTTGGCCTAAGCCTAGGAGTAATTAAGGCAGCTTGAAAGCTAAAGGCAAGAGAGTGGGGGTTGGCTAGATCAGATTTCCCTCACTGCTATAATTTTCTCACTGACATAATTTTGCAAAGGCAATTTTAATCCTGCTTACCCATGTGTGTGGGTGAGGGTTCTACCCCTTGGTGACTGATGAAGGCTGAGGCTCAGTCTAAGCCTGCCCAATTTGGGGACACTGGGAGGAGAAGAGGTGAAACTTAGAACCTCAGATGTGGAAAGAAACTAAAGGTAACCCCCCATTTCCTTAGAATCACACCTGATCTCTAAAAGAGATAGTTAGGCAGGGGCCATGAATGTGCTTACCACCAGCTACAGGGGAGCAGGGGCAGATTGCCCAGGACAGGGACAGGCCATCCCTTGACTAACATGGATCACGATTAAAAAACAAAAACAAAACTAGGGAGGGGCATGCAGAGAAATAAAAAGGAGCCATAAAACAGAGTAATAACTTGGTAATACAAACAAGACCCTTACGGTTAAGCGTAGCCATGCGTGCAGTGATTATAGGCACCGTGACTGCCATTTTGTTTGTTTGTTTGTTTTTTGTTTGTTTGTTTGTTTGCTTTTGGTGAAAAGTGCTGTTCTCCTGGGCATAGAGCTTTAGAAATATTGGCAGTGGGCTGATGGGCAACAGACCAAATCAGACCCTAGACTAGGTTCTCTAGCTGTAAAGGAAATCTAATTATGCCTGAGAGAAGGAGTTTACAATACTCTTGATTGAAAAATATGCTAATAAAGAGCTCAACACATGGACACAGGGAGGGGAACATCACATACCAGGGCATGCCAGGGGGCGGGGCACAAGGGGAGGGAGAGCATTAGGATAAATACCTAATGGATGTGGGGCTTAAAACGTAGATGATGGGTTGATATGTGCAGCAAACCACCATGACACATGTACACCTATGTAACAAACCTGCACGTTCTGCACATGTATCCCAGAACTTAAAGTAAAATTAAAAAAACAAGAAGACTTCAATCATAAGACAACTGGATGCATTGCAGATTCTTTTCCAGTGGGGAAAAAACTACTTAGGTTTTGTGCACAAACTCCTACATCCTTCTATCACTTGTTTATAATAAATCAAAAGAAGAAGTCTTTCCATCCAGTTCCTCACAGGAATGGATAACAATGGGTAACTCCCAGAGAAGGAGCTGCTGTGAAGTCGGAATTGGGTTCATCATGCATGCTCATGGGTGCGTTAGTCAGCTCGGCTGCTGTGACCAAGTGCCACAGGCTGGGAGGCTTCAGTAACAGAAATTGGTTTTCTCACAGTTCTGGAGGCTGGAAGTATGAGGTCAAAGTGTCGGCAGGGTTCGTTTCTCCTGTGGCCTCTGTCCTTGGTTTGTGGACAGCTGCCTTCTCCCTGTCCTCACATGGTCATCACTCCACATGTATGTGTGTGTGTGTGTGTGTGTGTGTGTGCGTGTGTGCCCCTGGTGAGCTTGTGTGTGTCCTAATCTCTTGTTATGAAGACACCAATCCTATTGATTAAGGTCTACCCAAATGGCTTCAGTTTACCCTAATTACCTCTTCAAAGGCACTGTTTCCAAATACAGTCACAGTCTGAGGAACTGGGGGGAACTTCAACATATGACTTTTGGGGGTAGAAAATTCAGCCCCCAACAACTGCTTGCTGTTCCTAGAACCAAGGGAGGCCCAGGGCAGAGGTGGACAAGGCCCTACTGCTGGCCCCTGGGAAGAAGCAGCAGCCTGCACTCTAGCAGGGATGAGGAAATGACATCTGTCAGCCAAAGCCAAACCAAGAGCAGCATGAAGAGCAAAGGGGCGTCTGTGGGGAGAGGGTCTGGTTGCCCGGGAGCTGAGCCTCTTCCTGCAGAACCATGCCTCTGGGAGGCAGGGAGGGAGTTCAGCTGTTGGCTCTGCGGGGTTCAAGTTCAAGGCCTCTTCAAGACTCTTCTGACTCTTCTGAGGTCTCCCCTCTCTGCAAAGGGTCGTATTCTTGACGTCAAGAGGGTGAGGAGTGAAGAGGCTGTGTTTGTGTCAGTCAAGTGTCCAAACAAACAATTGCATAAGTCAGAGAGGGGACTACAGAGTCACGTTTTCCCAGGCTTTCGTGAGCCCGTCCCACAGACGTTCCTTCTGAGCCCGTCCACCTGGAGGGCAGCGTTCTCCATATGAGCAGCTTTGCAAAATGAACACACCTTAGTCCTCCCTCTCCTCCCCATACATCATATGTCCTTTTCCTTCCAGAATGCAGGGAATGCGGGTTATTTTAGAAACAAGAGTGTGTTTAGAGGGCTGTATCCTTTCTTCCTGGGTGTGGTTAAGGATCAGTCCTTCTAGAACTTTTACATGCAAGTCACCAGGGTGTCTTGATCAAAGGCTGGTTCTGATTCAGCAGGTCTGGGGCTGGAGCTGGAGAAGCTGTGTTTCCAGCAGGCTCCCAGGTCTGCAGCCACACACAGGGTAGTGCTGCAGAAGAGGAAGTCAGGAGTGCCGGATCTGGGCCCTGCCTCCGCCTAGGATGCACAGACAAGTTATCTCTTCAGGCCACAGCCTCCCTATCTCCAAAGTGGAGGAATGGATGCCATAAACCCAATGGTCCCTCTGGCTCTCACATTCTAAGAGACTAACTTGAAATTTGCCAAAAGCGTAGGGCACAGAGTCCCAAATGACCACGGGACTGGATGAAGAAATGGGAAGGAAAGAGCAGGTAGAAAACTGCGCAGCCGTAGGGGGAGCAGTTCGCAGCAAACACAGTGTGAGTGGTGTCCCCTGGATTTGTGTGATGGAGCGTCCCTGGGTTACCAGGCAAATCTTCTTAACTCTGTTCATTCCTTTAGCTCTTGACTTCCTGTAAAAGCTCATTTCCATGTAGAATACATTGACAACTCTTAGGAAAACTGCTGTGTACTTGAAGGATTCACTATTCCTCCAACATCCTGCTAATGACAGGTCCCCTGACTCCCTGAGAAGTGCTCTATCTGCTTCATCAAGAAGCGTGAGGCATAAAGAAGGCCTGGTGCCTGGAAGGGGAAGCTTGGGAGCCCCCATGGAGTCTTTGCTTGTGTGCCAAGCTATTTTAGTAACATGAGACTGCAGGCTTGGGTGTGCTGGTCTGAATGCTGGAACATTAGCTCCAAAGAGGCCTGGGAAGCCTGCAGGGCTCAGGGAGGCCAAGGGTGTGGGCTTGGCGTGTTGGCACCTGGATGCTTGGGTTCAACCGTCAGCAGCAGGCCTGTGGTCTCCCAAGATTCTGCCGTCAGCCTGCAGATCAACTGTGCCCTGGAATGGACTCTGTGCATGCCCAATTTTAGGAGATGTGGTGGGGAGAAGTCCCCTCAGAGAAGAAAACAGGAAAACAGGCCTTGCTTCCAGGGAGGATGGTTTCCAAAGGAGGGGTCCATCCATCAACCTGCAGGTGGGGACACGTAAGAGTTGGAAGGGACCGGATAGTTTTTCTTACTGGCTTTTACTGATTCAGAATGCGCATGCTGGGATCACAGCACGTGTGGAGGGCTGTGGAGGGAGAGGAGCCTGGAGGGGCTTTCTCTTTCCATCTGCTGTGGCAGTGGATGGCCACCCAAGGAAGGGGACCAACTGGAGATTCAGCAATGCTCCCATGCTCATGGCACCTGCTGGCTGCATTGGTGACACATGGGGACGTGGGGACACTAGGGTGGAAGGGCCATTGTTACTCAGGTGCAGTTTTCGGGACTCAGCCCCTACCTCCAGCTGAGATCTGGTTGCTGGGTCCCTGGCAGCTGCCCTGTACTCATTCAAGGAACTGGCAGTTTCCAGGGGGAGACAATGAGATTCATGAGCCTGCTCCTGACACGTGCTAAAATCCTGGTGCATGCAGCTGCCCTGTCAGGCACGTGTTGGCATGTGTGTGGCAGACAGCCAGTGCCTGCTGAGGAGGCAGCCAAATGTACCCACCCAGAGCGAGAGAAATATGACCTACAGCACAGGATGGTCACTCACTCTTGCCAGCGGCCCCTTTTAGCTTATCTCCATGGTTCGTAGGAAACAGACACTTAATTCCAGCAGTTCTTCATTCTAACTCAGTCTTGAACTCTGATTTGAGGTTTTCATGCATAAGAAGTTGCAATAGGAATTAGGAGACTAGGGAAACTATTGCTCTAGGAACGGATCTACCCTGAGAAGTATACACACATGCACACACTTCCCAAGGAACATACCGAGGAATACAGGGATGTAATACTTTAATGTTGACCATCCCCTCTGTGCTGAACTTCTACTGCCTCCCCAGGGGAATCTCCAGTGCTCATGAACAGAAAGGGCTTATAGGAGTTGCCTGTGGAAATAGTAGCCACGCTTTTTCTTTTCTTTCCTTTTTTTTTTTTTTTTTTTGAGACAGGTCTCACTCTGTCACCCAGGCTGGAGTATAGAGGTGCAATCACGGCTCATTGCAGCTTCAACCTCCTGAGCTCAAGTGATCCTCCCACCTCAGCCTCCCCAGTAGCTGAAACCATAGGTTTGTGCCACCACGCCTGGATAATTTATTTTTATATTTTGTCTATGTTGCCCAGGCTGATCTCCAACTCCTGGGCTCAAGCAACCCTTTCACTTCAGCCTCCCAATGTTCTGAGGTTACAGGTGTGAGTCACTATGCCTGGCCATGGCCAGATTATTCTGACACTTTCTTCTCTTCTTCTTTTGGGTGAGTGTCATGAACAGTGAGGCAGGACTTCTCTGAGAGTCTCACAGGCCCGCCTTGAATCAACATTAGCTGAAGGATAAATACGCTGTGTTTGTGTTTTAACCATGCCTTTTATCTTATGGGTTTTCCTGCCTTGACATCTAGGGCCTTGCTAACCCTGAAAGAACTGCCCCTGATAGGGCTAACCAGTTCCTAGAGATAGTAACTTTCTCTCAAGCCAAAAAAAAAAAAAAAAAAAAAGCATGCTTTTCAAATGCAAATTACCTTTCCAGCTAGAGTAGGCTCAGGGAGACCACAGCATAGCCACGTGGTGGAAGAAGATTTATGGAGAGAAAGATAAAAGTGATGTACAGAAAATGGGAGTAAGGTTCAGAAACAGCCAGTTTGGTTATAGCTCGGTGTTTGCCTTATTTGAACATGGTTTGAGCAGTTCGCCCCCTTTGATTGGCCAAAACTCAGTGATTGGCACAAGAGTAGGTTGCAGTCTGTTTACATCTCCATTTAGGTTATAGTCTGCGTTGTATAGAGAAAGCTTTAGGCTGAACTTAAAACATGTAAGGAGGCAGCATTAGGCTGA
The DNA here is from genome assembly GCF_000001405.40 of Homo sapiens. NCBI lineage: Eukaryota > Metazoa > Chordata > Mammalia > Primates > Hominidae > Homo > Homo sapiens. The sequence goes on along the minus strand of NC_000008.11, from coordinate 28,005,053 downwards.
ACTTCATTTAATACCAGCCAACTCCAAAGCTGCTCACCCTGCCTCATCCATTCTTTCTGGCTCTTGACTGTAGCTCCCCCATCTCCCTCTGCCTCCTGACCACCTCTGGTGCTTTCCTGTGTGGTCCCCTGTGGTATGACATGCTCCCTTCTCTAGGGAACTGTGAGTAACAAACTACCTTTTCAATAGAAGTTGTCTCCTGATCTATTGGCTTTACTATAGCTCACATTTTCTATTAATACAGTATGTTCTGAAACAATTTCCATACACACAGAGAAGCAAAAAGATTCATGCCATTCCTGTGGTCATGATGAAGAAATATAGGCTGAATGCCAAGTAGCTACAAGTGGGATTATAAGAGCTGGGCACAGTGCCCAGGGAATCAGCATCCAGCTGGGGAGAGGGGGCTGGTGGGGTTGCCTAGATCTTTAGTCCTGAGCTTTACAGAGTATCGCCAGTGGTTTTGTTGTAGCAGATTGCAGGCTGATACGAGTTGTAAATGACACAAAGCTGAGATTAGCTAATACTAAGAAAGCACAATCAGAATTCAAATGATATCAACAGGCTGGAGTCATGAATGGAAGCTGTACTAGTGTGTTTTCATACTGCTATGAAGAACTGCCTGAGATTGGGTAATTTATAAAGGAAAGAGGTTTAATTGACTCCTAGCTCAGCATGACTGAAGAGGCCTCAGGAAACTTACAATTATGGTGGAAGGTGAAGAGGAAGCAAGGCAACTTCTTCACAAGGCGGCAGGAAGAAGTGCCGAGCAAAGGGGGAAGAGCCCCTTATAAAACCATCACATCTCGTGAGAACCCACTCGCTATCATGAGACCAGCATGGGGGAAACTGCCCCCGTGATTCAATTACCTCCACCTGGTCTCTCCCTTGATACGTGGGGATTATGGGGATTATAATTCAAGATAAGATTTGGGTGGGGATACAAAGCCTAACTGTATCGGAAGCTAACAAGATGAAATGTAACTGAGGATAAATGTAGAATATTCCATTCAGGGTCCACAAGCTACCTGCACAAGAGCAAGATTGGAATAACAACAACAAAAATCCACTTGGTTTACTAGTAGCCTGTGGGTAAAGGTGGCTTGGGTAATGGGCTCAGTATAAGTCAACAGTGTGGAGTTGCAGTTAAGCAATGCCATTTGGCCTCAGGCTGTGACAGCAAAGAATTTCCTCCAGAACAAGGGGGTAATTACTTCACAGTGCCATATATCCCTGGACCTGGGTTCAATGTCAAGTGGTCCATTTTAACAAGTTTTTTGAAAGAGAATAAGGTGTCCAGAAAAGGGTGGCCAGCCTGGTGAAGGGTCTAGATACAGCCATATATAGAATGATATAAAAATTAATTAAAAACAATCATGGATGACACAATCACAGTAACGAATTAGTGTAAAATTATATGACTGAAACATTTTTAAAATTAAAGAAGTAAATGGAACTTTGGGTTAAATATGAAAGTCAAATACAACCAGTTATCTCTTCTGCCTTTAGAATCCCACTAAAACAACTGTAAACTTGGTCAAAGAGAATGGTTGAGACAAGGCAACAAAATTCTTGAAGCTGAAAAGCAGAAAAACAAGTGCTAACTGACTTGGCAGACTCAAGAAAAATTGAATCCTAATTTGGGAGTTGGCAAAGTGGAGAGACTGGAGAACAATCTAATTTGAAAACTAATCTGACCGTTGTAAAACATAGCCCCCAAATTCTTTGACACCCCCCCACCCCCAGTAATAGATGACATCTATGTCTTCTCCCCTTGGATGTGGGCATGCCCGAGACTTCCACCATCCATAGAGTGCAGTGGGAAGGATGCTGTAGAACTTCTGGAGCTAATTCAGAAGAGGCCATGCATCCTCTGCCCGGTGGTCCAGAAATGCCTGCTCTGAGGATGCTCCCTCTCAAATCCCCGCCATCCTGCCAGGAGAAATCCAGCCACATGGAAAGCCCATGTGCAGGTGGTCCAGTAGACAGTCCCAGCTGAGTCCAGCCTTCACGTCATAGCTGAAAAATGATCTAAACAAAAGGATGATCTAACTCTATGAGGAGGATGGGGGAAGGCATGTGTATGGGTGGGAAATAGAGTAAAAGAGAGATAAGTCTTTTCCTTACAGTTGGAATGGATAATCATAAGACTGAAAAAAGAGAAAGAAATAGCAGTATAATTATGTTATTTAGAAAAGTGGAGATAAATATAAAAAGTAAGACTTGAAGGGTTGGAAATTGGTGCCTATGGGAAACAGGATATGGGTTTGAGAGGCTGGGGAGCTGTTGCTTTCATAATAAGCCTCATAGAACTATATGATGATGATGATCATGACGATGACGATGATGATAATGATGATGATTACAGATGGGATCTTGCTGGAGTGCAGTGGTGCAATCATAGCTCATTGCAGCCTTGAACTCCCGGGCTCAAGTGATCCTGCTGCCTCAGGCTTCCTAGTAGCTAGGACTACAGGCGCAAGCCACCCCACCCAGCTATGGTTATTTTTTAAATTATTAAAAATACATGCATATCTTTGATAAATATAAGATCTAAATTAAACAAAGAAAACCTTCACTTTGCACTAGCCATGATATGTGTTATGTTTCAGGAAGGAAGAGAAGGAAATAAGTTATATGACTTTATATTCTGATTCCTCACTGTTTTCCTCCATTTCCTCTTTCCTCTCTCCCTCTCCCTCTTTCTCTCTTTTTCCATTTATTTGCCTTATTTTCCTCTCTTTTATCTCCATCATTCCTTCTCAATTTTTCTTCACCTTTATTTCTTTTTTTTCTCATTTTTTTTCTCTTTCTGGTATAATCTGCCGCTGAAATATATTTGTTAGTATTACTTATTAGGTTTATTGAATATAATATTTCCTGTTTTTAGTTCTTGCTATTAAAAACATGCATGGAATGTTCTTTCTTTTCCCCAACCAAAGCAAACTAAACACAAAGTCAGTTGTAAGCTACTTTTTATCAAGGTGGAAAAAGTTTTCTTCTAATGGCCTTCTTTGACCTGGGAGAGGCATCGGGGTTACTGGGTGCAGGCAGCCACCCAGTGCGGGAAACTACTCTGTGAGACTTCCATGCAGTACAGATTACCCAAGCTCTGATTAAGCAATGCCATTGGTAGGGAATTTCCAGGCGTCAGCCAGGGTTCTGGGGTCCAGACAGCTCAGTGGTGAATAAGAACTTCTGTATATTTGGTGGCATTCCCCCCTCCCTCTAGGATAGTTCAGAGAAAACTTACATCTCTGCATGACAGCCCTTCATGTATCTGAGAACACAGTCATGCCCCGTTGCATAGTTTCTTCTCTGGGTTAAGCACTGCATTTTGCTGTTGTTCTCTGGACCCTTCACCAGCCTAGTCACTCTGGTGGGCACCCTCTAAGTTTTGACTAAATCTTTCAGAAGAACCTAGAACTGAGCATACTACACCAACTGTGAGCTCATTAACGCAGGGCTCAAAGGCTCTGTATCCTCAATCTTTCTGTTCATCCTGCTTTTACTAATGCAGCTTAAGTTTTGAAATGCAAGTTGAGTATCCGAATCTGAAAATCCAAAATCTGAAATGCTCCAAAATTCGAAACTTTTTGAGTGTCAACATGACACTTAAATGAAATGCTCATTGCAGCATGTAGGATTTAGAATTTTCAAATTAGGGATGTTGAGCTGGAATCTAAAAAAATCTGAAATCCAGGCCAGGCACGGTGGTCCAGGCCTGCAATCCCAGCACTTTGGGAGGCTGAGGCGGGAGGACTGTTTGAGCCCAGGAGTCTGAGACCAGCCTAAGCATCATAGCAAGACCCTGTCTCTACAAAAGGTAAAATCATTAGCCAGGCGTGGTGTTGCGTGCCTGTAGTCCCAGGCTGAGGTGAGTGGATCGCTTAAGCCTGAGAGGTCAAGGCTTCAGGGAACTGTGATCAGGCCACTGTATTCTAGCCTGGGCAACAGAGCAAGACCCTTTCTCAGAAAAACAAACAAACAAACACACAAACAAACACCCTGAAATCTAAAACACTTCTGGTCCCAAGCATTTTAGATAAAGGTTACTCAACTGGTAGCTGTTTTCCCCAACTGTTTCTGACTTCCATCAACCTCAAAGCCATCTCCAATGTAAGATTTTTTCTTATATGCCTGGAGAAGCCTGGTGTTCCATATCCTGTATGTGAGAGGTGTCTTTTCCCAACATGGGTGTCTATTTTGCCCCATCCCACTAAATTCCTTCTTACAAGTTTTGGCCCCAAATCTTACCCTGTTTTGAGAAGTTTCTTATGATTCATTTGAATAAACATGTTTGGCTACCAATTACAAATTACCCCCATTAAAATGATATCATAATCTAATTCTCAAATTTTACATCATCTCAACTCCAAGAGAGATCCCTTAAAGGGTACCCTGGGTCATTGAGTCTGACAAAATAAGCAGTTCCAGTTAAGGCTGGCTCTTGGGTCTCTGGGCTATGAACGTGACACGGAGGAAGCTCATTGACTTTGCTGTCTACAACCCTGGACCGGTGTCAGAAAACCTGGGCTGTCTCACGGAATCCATCATCCCCACACTCTGGGAAAAGAATTAAAATGAGCCAAGCACATCGAGACGAAGCAGATGGTTGGGTGGATTCCATGACGGCGCAGGGAACTCCACAAGGCAGAGAACTTTGCTCCCGCTGTCTTGGACTCAGTGCCAGCTGTCAGCAGCTGGACTCTGGATAGGGAGCCCCATCATCGTGATTAATACTCCATTTGTCAGGGGCTGCTAAGTCTGAAAAATAACAGTAAGGCTGACATTAGAGAAGAGCTTCAGCATTTTCAAAGTGCCTTCGCCTCATAACCACCCTTGAGGTGGATGGTAAGGCCGGGAAATAGTAACCCGGTAGTACAGCATGTGAAAACTCAGGTTCAAAGAAGTTTTGTGACTTGCCTACCTCACAGGGCTGAGGAGGGTGGAGATGGGAGTCAAGACCAGGCTTCATGGCTCAGAATCCAGTGTTTGCTTCACGAAGCTTCTCTGAAGTCTACCATCCATATCACCAACCGTTCTGTGGTGAGCAGGTCTATGCAAACCTACTGCCATGTCCTAGGTGGGCACAAGATGAGATGGTAGAACCCCACACCAACACCCCCTATCCCAGGGCTTATATAACACAGGGAAGGGGTATAACATGGATTTGCTAAGGGCAGGATTTACGTCAAGGTTGTTTAGACCCAACGGCAGGATTCACGGTAAGTATGTGAAAGTAGAAATCTTAGAGGCATTCCTGGAACTGGGGTGAATTGGAAGTCAACATGGCGGGTCAGCATCCAAGATGGAGTTCCTTCAGTCTCCACACCAACTGGTCAGAGTGGGCTCATTATCTGCTCTGGGCCTGTCACTGGGCTAGATGCTGAAGAAGGAGCCGCAAGGGTAGAACATATGGACCAGGCCTTTAATGAGCTCAGCGCAACCAGAGGCATGTTGTTCAGGCCCTTCAGCAGGTGGTCAGCCCTTAGCACTGGAATTATCTAGGGAAGCTGAGGCCCAGCTGGCAGAGGAGGCTCCAGAGGAGAGGCAGAGTCTGAGCTGGCCTTGAAGGGTGAGCTGTGCTGGGGAGTCTGGAAGGTGGTGGTGAAGGGCAGGCAGTGCCAGAGGCTCAGTAGGTGGGCATGGGGGTGAGAGGGACAAGAGAAGGAGTGTGGGTGTCATGGTGGCAGAGGACAGGATGGAGGAGGCTAGTGGGCAGGGGTGGCCCCTGGCCTTGAGCAAGGTGTTCAGGCCACTCGCATTTATAGGGCTGAGCTGCAGGATGGGAGACAATGACAAATGGGACGTGGCCCCTTCCTCAGGAAGGGGACAGGTAAGATGGCCTTACTGCCCTCTCAGGACTGATGGCTCCTCCTCAGACTCCACCAGTGTGGGCGTCTTTTACGATGTGGCACTTGGAGCAGTAGGCCTTAACATTTTTCTAAAATTATTTTCAATGATTGAGAAAGTCATCTCTACTACCAATTTCAGCTCAGAATTTCCCTCAGTGCATGCTGTGGAACACTAGCCTTATTCTCTGTTCAAGTGAGAATGGAGAAGCCTTAACACTACATCCCCCTCTTGGAGGATTACCAGGCTCAAGAGCACCTTAAAAGCTCTGATAAGTCCTGCAATAAAGGCATGCTTTTGGCTTTCACCAGAGAATCCTTTTTCAAGGGACTCCTAGGACCATCTCATGAGGTTTGTCAGTGGCCTCTCAGCCACTGTCTAATCCCACTGTCTATTCTGTGATATGGAGTTATTATTTTTATGTCCCGTGACAACACAGAGACCAAGAAGCTTAGCGATTGCCCAGTGATGTGCATTTAGGAATGATCAGATTGAAGTCCAAGACTTGACACTGTAAGTGTAGGGATTTACTCCTAATTCAGCATTTTGTGACAGTGGCATTTGTTGCTGACATGCCTGCTTTCCTAGCTAAGCATATAAATTAGTGTGCTGAGGATAAATAATCTGAGTTATCTTTTTATGAGGTTACTGTAGTTTTTTCTTTTTCTTTTTTCTTTTCTTTTTTTTTTTTTTTGGGACAGAGTCTCACTCTGTCGCCCAGGCTGGAGTGCAATGGTGCGATCTCAGCTCACTGCAACCTCTGCCTCCCAGATTCAAGCGATTCTCCTGCCTCAGCCTCCTGAGAAGCGGGATTACAGGCGCCCGCCACTACGCCCAGCTAATTTTTATATTTTTAGTAAAGATGGGGTTTTGTCATGTTGGCGAGGCTGGTTTTGAACTCCTGGCCTCAAGCGATCCTCCCACCTCAGCCTCTCAAAGTGGGATTACAGGCATGAGCCACCGTGCCTGGCCATTTCTTCTAATTAATAAAGTACTCATAATTTTGAGGGGAGAGGGGAATACAGAAAATTATAGAGGAGGAAATCCAAATAAAAATGTTAAAAGCTGGGCTGCTTTCTGACTTGGAGGCCGCTTTTCTCAGATCTGTTTTTCCTCCCTGAGATCTAGCTACTGCTGGCTGGGGTTAGCGACCTTGTGGGTCAGGGTGGTTGACGGATTTCAGTTCAGACTGGATGAACAGACTTCAGTTCAGACTGGATGAACAGACTTCAGTTCAGACTGCATGGATACTTTGAGATAAACAAGATGACAAATCAGAAAACATTTATGTTATTGATTGAATACAATTTTACAAAGGCTAAATTCTTATTTCATGTGTACAATTATTTTTACCAAAATGAACTCCTAAACAAGATCATGTTCATTATATGATTAAATGTTACTTTTTAAAAATGATAAATACAAATTTTGAGTTTTGAAAGATTACATACTTTTTTTTTTTTAAGACAGAGTCTCACTCTGTCACCCAGGCTGGAGTGCAGTGGCATAATCTCAGCCCACTGCAACCTCTGCTTCCAGAGTTCAAGTGATTCTCCTGCCTCAGCCTCCCAAATAGCTGGGATTACAGGCGTGAGCCACCATGCTCAGCTAATTTTTGTATTTTTAGTAGAGTCAGGGTTTCACCATCTTGACCATGGCTGGTCTCCAACTCCTGGCCTCAAGTGATCTGCCTGCTTCGGCCTCCCAAAGTGCTGGGATTACAGGCGTGAGCCACCGCACCCAGCTGATTACATACTTCTCACCAAGATATTTTTACAAAGCTGAACAATAATAAAAGATAAACACTGGTTTGTAAACGATGGACAAAAATTGCTTTTGAAAAGCACTTATATTTCATGTGAACCAGATTAAAAACTAACCAAAAAGAAAATACTAAAGGTAAACATTTTCGAGTGTATTTTTGCAGAGTAGGCCACAGATAAAGAAATAGCAAGGTCCCTGGGGTAGTCAAATTCAAAGAGACAGAAAGGAGAATGAGTGGTGCCAGGGGCTGGAGGACAGGGGACGGGGAGTTGTTGAATGAGTGGAGTTTCAGTATTGAAAGATGAAAAGAGTTCTGGAGACTGGTTGAACATCAATTCAAATGTACTTAACACTACTGAACTATGTATTTAAAAACAGTTAGGGCTGAGCATGGTGACTCATACCTGTGATCGCAGCACTTTAGGAAGCTGAGGCGGGTGGATCATTTGAGTTTGAGACCAGCCTGGCCAACATGGCGAACCCCCCGTCTCTACTAAAAATGCAAAAATTAGCTGGGCGTGGTGGTTCACCCCTGTAATCCCAGCTACTTGGGAGGCTGAGGCAGGAGAATTGCTTAAGCCCAGGAGGTGGAGGTTGCAGTGAGCTGAGATCACGCCACTGCACTCCAGCCTGGGCCACAGAGTAAGACTCTGTCTCAATAAATAAATAAATAAATAAATAAATAAACAAACAAACAAACAAATAAATAAGGGTTAGGATGGCAAATTTTATGCAATGTGTGTTTTACCACAATTAATTTTTTTAAAAAGTTTAAACAAGAAGTAGCAAACTATAATGAAGAAATATGTAAAAAAAAAAAAAAAAAGAAGCAAAAATATGAACAGTACAGGATCGATGTGTTCCCTGGGAGAAGATAGAGACAAAAAAGAAGGGCGTGGCCTCAGCTCCACTCTGTGCTCAGGGTGAGACCCAGGCTTCCCTCTCCCCTGACCTCCTCTCTCTGGCCACTGCATCCTCTGTGCTCTGGCCACTGGGCCTTTCTCTGCCCCTCCGGCATGTCCAGTGTGTTTCCATACTGAGGCCTCTGAGCCTTCTGTTCCCTGTGCCTGATGCTGTTTCCTCAGATTGTCACACAACCAATATTTCTGGAGCGTGTACTGTGCGCCAGGCACCCTGCTAGGCATTTTGAAGCACTCAAGTGAGCTGCCTTCCTGGAGCTGCTGTTCTAGCAGACAGTAAGCAAAACCAAGCAGGGTGAGGGGGACTAAGAGTGGCAAGGGGTGTGTAGCAATTTTATTTATTTATTTATTTGAGATCAGGTCTCGCTTTATCACCCAGGCTGGAGTGCAGTGGTGCAATCCTGGCTCACTGCAGCTTCGGCCTGCCTGGTTCAAGTGATCCTCCCACCTCGGCCTCCCGAGTAGCTGGGACTACAGGTGCCTGCTACTGCACCCAGCTAATTTTTGTATTTTCGGTAGAGACAGGTTTTCACCATGTTGACCAGGCTGGTCTCAAACTCCTGACCTTAAGTGATCCTCCCGCTTTGGCCTCCCAAAGTGCTGGGATTGTAGGCGTGAGCCACCATGCCTGGCCTGTGGGTAGGAATCATTAGGCTCAGCAGCATGAACAAAGTGACATTTGAGAAAAGATGGGAATGAGGCAAAGAAGTTAGTTGTGCAAACATCTGGTGGAACCACTCCAGGCAGATGGAACAGCCAACCCCAAGCCATAGGGCAGGACCTGCTGGTGTAACGGGCCCAGAGTTCAAGTCAACAATCAGACTTAATGACATAATTAAAGGTGCTCAACTTCATGAGTCATCAGGAAAATGCAAATTAAAACCACAATATGGCACCTCTACAATGCACCAGAGCAGGGAAAATGGAATAAACATCACTGACACTGACAAGGACAAGGAATAAGTGTAGTTTCATCCCCTGCTGGATATAAACTAGTACAACCACCATAGGAAACTCTTTGGCAGTGTCTACCAAAGCTGAACACAGGGCCATCCTATGCCCTGGCGATTCCATGCCCAGGTATATGCCCAAGAGAATGGCATTCATATGTTCCCCAGAAGACACACACAAGAATGTTCACAGCAGCACCATTTATCAGAGTCAAAAATGGAGTCTGGACATGGTGGCTCACACCTGTAATCCCAGCACTTTGGCTGGTGGAGGCGGGAGGATTGCTCGAGGTCAGAAGTTTGAGACCAGCCTGGGCAAGATAGCGAGACCTCATCTCTACAAAGGATTTTAAAAAATTAGCTGGGTGTGGTGGCATGTGCTTGTAGCCCCAGCTACTCAGGAGGTTGAGGTGGGAGGATCACTTGAGCCTGGGAGGTCGAGGCTGCAGTGAGCTATGATTGTGCCACTGTACTCCGACCTGGGTGATAAAGTGACATCCTACCTCTAGAAAAAACAAACTGAAAAAGCTTGGTCCCTCCATTTCAAATACTGAGATTTCATAGATGAAACTACTTCAGAAGTCTATTGAACCCTCCTCTATCAAGGCAATCACATTTTCATTCAGCTTCTGGGGGGGAAATGCCTACTACAAATGCCATCCGTGATTGAATGGAAGCAAATCATTTTGGGGACAATTCTGATTTTAGTGGCAAGGAGGTATCTGAGCTAAGAGCTGCCGGGAGGACTCTCACCCATGAGAAAACCAGCCCTCCAGGTCATTCCTATACTTCACTGTCAAATCTCCCTTTGCCTGTTCCGGCAGCTTTATTCATAATAGACAAAGATTGGAAACATCCCAAACCCCCTTCAGCAGGAGACCGATATACACATTGTGTGTGGTATGTGCCTATCACGCAATAGGACTCAGTGCTTCGAACAGGGCGGGAGGTGGGAGGACAAGCGAGGATGAGCGTGGAGTCCTCACATGGCAGAAAGGCAGAGGATCAAGCCAGCCCACTCCTGCAAGCCCTTTCTACGGCATCCCAAATACATTCATGACTCAAATACCCCCACAAAGGCCCCACCTCCCAACACTGTTGCAATAAAGATTACATTTCCAATGCTTGAATTTAGGGGGACACTAACTACCACATTTCTTGCTAACATACACATCTCTTTAGGGAAGGTCTTTGGACATCACTTTTTTTTTTAAGACAGGATCTTGTTCTGTTACCCAGTCTGGGGTGCAGTGGTGCGATCACAGCTCACTGCAGCCTCAAACTCCTGGGCTCAGTTGATCCTCCCATCTCAGCCTCCCAAGCACCTGGGACTACAGGTGTGCATCACCACGCCCAGCTATTGTTTGTATTTTTTTTTTTTTGTAGAGACAGGGTTTTGTCATGTTGCCCAGGCTGGTTGGACATCATATTTTGAGCACATTTCTGGCTGTTTTTAAGATTACATTCCTAGGAATGTTGGTGAATTGATGGGGGACAAAAACATTTGTTTCCCCTTGAGAGGCAATGGTACAGGGGAGGGGTTAAGAGCATAGACCCTAGGATCACATTGCCTAGGGTTGAATACTAGCTCTGCCACTTACTGGCTACAAGACCCTGGACAAGTCACTTCCTCTCTGTCTCTGTAAATGAGCATAATAGCAGCACCTGCCTCAGGGGGTTGTTGAATAGGTTCAATGAGCTAATATATAAGAAACACATGGTATATGCTATAAAGTGTTGTCTTCTTTTCCTTCTCCTCCTCCGCTCCCTGGGATTATTACCATAATGATACAATTATCATTTGTTCTTTCTGTAAAATGGAGTTTGATGTTGGAGCTGCTTCCTAGGCAGTCAGGCAGGGCAGTCACTGAGAATGAGGACGGCGTTTCTGACTCAGCTGTGGGCGGGCAGCTGCAGTGACACAGCTGAGTCTTGGCAAACACTTTTCATGTACGAAGCCTGACCCTGGAGTCTTGAGGCTGAACTTTTCACCAACAAACAGGAATGCATTCATGAATGTTACCTCTGGGTGCTGTCCTCTGGAAGCCATCTGCATAGCCTAACTCTGCCACCCTGGCTTGGACAATTATGGTGATTTCTCTGATGCCCCTGATACTACCACCTCAATCTGAATTTAGCAGCTCCCTTCACATATGGTTAGATTGCCTTTAAAGAGATTTTTTTTTTTTTTAGAGATGGGGTCTCACTATGTTGCCCAGGCTGGTCTTGAACTTGTGGGTGGGCTCAAGCAATCCTCCCACCTCAGCCTCCCAAAGTGCTGGGACCACAGGTGTGAGTCACTGCACCCGGCCTAGATGTCCTTTTTCAAACGTAAGCAATCATGCTCAGGTTTAGGATTATTCGTGCCTGGGTCCCCCTCCCATACTGAATTGCTATGGACAGCCAGCTAGTCTTCATCCTGCACCCCCCAGCCCCTGTGCAGCGTTAATGAGCCAGAAACGCTGATTCTGCTGCTGAGTTCCGTGGAACCCCCTGGGGCATTTTCCTGACTACCCCCAGTGTGGCCAATCCGTGTCCACTGAGGATGAATGTGACTCCAGGAAAATACATGAAGTAACTCTGTGCCAAGCTTGGTGAATGAATTGAGCCATGCCAATTCTGTGCTATAAATAAATTTACAAGACTGGTTTTCTTGCGTGGCTCATAAGCCAGGTCTAGCTGCCACTCCCCCAGAAGTCTTCCAAAAAGTATTTTGAGCAGGACCTTTAGACTGGGGTGTTGGAGTCCCAAGGCCAAGGCCGACCGCGCTGCTCTGGGCCCAGCGGGCGTTCCCACACGGGGCTGTAATGCCACGATTGGCCGCAGGAGGGGGGCCGTATTCCAGACCCCATTGCAGAAGCCTCCGCAACTGCTCCAAGAACTTTATTTTATACGGACTGGCGGCGAGAGCAGCTGCAGTTCGCATCTCAGGCAGTACCTAGAGGAGCTGCCGGTGCCTCCTCAGAACATCTCCTGATCGCTACCCAGGACCAGGCACCAAGGACAGGGAGTCCCAGGCGCACACCCCCCATTCTGGGTCCCCCAGGCCCAGACCCCCACTCTGCCACAGGTTGCATCTTGACCTGGTCCTCCTGCAGAAGTGGCCCCTGTGGTCCTGCTCTGAGACTCGTCCCTGGGCGCCCCTGCAGCCCCTTTCTATGACTCCATCTGGATTTGGCTGGCTGTGGGGACGCGGTCCGAGGGGCGGCCTGGCTCTCAGCGTGGTGGCAGCCAGCTCTCTGGCCACCATGGCAAATGCTGAGATCTGAGGGGACAAGGCTCTACAGCCTCAGCCAGGGGCACTCAGGTGAGTCTTGGTACTAATTTTGTCCTATCTCCTGGGCATGCTGTCTCAAAGACAGCTGGAGGAGACTGGAGTGAACTGGATGGAGAGGAGTACAGAGTTTGGGAAACTTCAGACCTAGAGCCTGGAGGTGCCTTCTCCAGGTGGGAAGGTCCCCGCCTGCTGGGCCCGCAGATATCTGCCGGGCCCTCATCCAACTGCCTGGGCTGGAGAGAATGTGAGCCTGCATTTGGGGTGCCAGAGGGAAGCTATTGCCTTGGTGGCTACTCCACCTGACTCATGTCACAGCTCAAGAGCCTACTCAGGGTGCAGATGGCTCAGGTGACAGCTCCTCTCCATGGCTTCGTGTGTGTGCATGTGTGTGTGTGCATGTGTGTGTGTGCATGTGTGTGTGTGTGCATGTGTGTGTGTGTGCATGTCTGTGCGTGTGCATGTGCCAGTGGTGGGATATATGTGGGGAGAGGTTATTTCTAAAATATCTGTCTCTGTCCAGCTTTGGGTTATGATTTAGCTTAACTAAGTACAGTTAGAGGAGGAAAACATTTAAAACCTCCTTAGTGATTCTCTCTTTGGAGAAGGGCCACACTCATGTGATTTTTTTCCTTGGTTTTGATGAGTTTAAAGTGAGGTAATCCAAAGAAAAGCCATAAACCCTGCAGAGTTAGATGCGGGTACCCAGAGAAACTGACTTGGTAGCAGCAAATGAGGCTCGTGCTACCCACTCAGAGGAGGAATTAATGGAGTCCTTCTGATCTCCAGAGAAGGATTGAAGAGCCAGGGTCCTGATATCAGCCCTAGAGTGCATTCGCGATTGCCTTTTACAAAGGGAACTTCAAACAGCTTTGTTTCTGAGACTGGCTAGGTAGGAGGGAGGCCTTGGGAACCTGGACACCCCCTTACCTGGCTGCCAGGCAGAGTCAGAAGATGCTGGGGGATGCTTTTTCTCATCAGACTGCCACCAGCTCCCCTGAGTGACCTTGTTCATAAAGTCATGCCACATGCATTATCTCACGGGAGGCTCACAGTGATCCTGGGTGACCAGCAGCTACCCACCTTCCCATCTTAGAGGTCATGTACCTGAGGCTGAATGAGGTCAGGTAATTGAGCCAAGTTCCCCCAAGAAACCAATACGCAGAGGAGCTAGGATGGGAGCCCTTGGCTTCTGTGTTCCCTGCATTCCTGCAGAGAGCCAGGCCTGCAGGGCGCAGATGGCCCCAGGGCACAGGGCTGCAGGGCACAGATGGCTGAGGGCTTTTCCAGCTCTAAAATGCAGAATCTAGAAGCAGATCCCTGGCTCTGAACCTGCCCTTCTAAGTGCCTTGGGTGAAATTGTCTGGAAGTAAATCATGATTGCCAAGAGGTTAGTGGAGAGGGTGACACCTCCCTGTTAGAGCAAGACCTCCCTCTTTGAGTTGCAAGTTGAGGTCCAGTCTCCTTGGGCTTCATCCACAGGTCACTGTGGCTTCCACATCTCGCCCATGTGCTTCAAGCTCTCAGAGCCCTGCCTCAGTCCCAGGATCCCCACCTGCTGGAGTACACTGGCTGGCAGTCTGAGGTGGGATTCTCTTCTCTGCCTGATCTGGGGCCCAGAAAGTGGTCACCAAAGGGGCTGACATGCAATTCCCAAACAAAGCAACCCTGCAGCTGAGCCAGTGCCCTGTGTAGGAAAACTGTGCCCGGGGCCTCTTCCCGCTCTGATATCCATTCCTTCCTTTGCCTCTTTGGTCTGGGATGGCTTATGTTTAAAATGGGAGGGACGGAATGCAAATGCCATCAGCCTACCCCCAACACAGTGCTCCTGGGAGGAGCACTTGCCATCAGTTTCATCTTCTAGAGCACAGACTTGGTCCAAAGACAGTAAGATCCATGATCTGAGGGTCCCAATGCCTGCTTCCTCCCCCAAGAAAGAAAAACAGCCCCCAAGAAACCTTGGGCAGACAGAACATGCGTAGGTTTCAATTCCAAGTAACAAACATGAGTAGAGTTGTCTGAGCTTTTCCAAGCCCTGTGCACTCACATCTGGCCCCGCTCGGCCCCAGTCCCTCTCCCCAGCAGATCCCCTGGGCTCCTGCTGGACCAGCTGAGGGGTGGGGAGGAGGAAGGAGACAGCTGCCCTTCACACACATTCTGGCTAACAAGCCGTGCATTCCAGCCCCGTCCCAGGAGCTGACCAGAAGAGGAGGAAGGTGGAAATGGCAGTGGGGCCTCACACCTCCACTCCCCAGGGGCAGCGCCCTGTCTGGCTCTGTGTGGCCTCTGGGAAGCAGAGGCTATTGCCTTTGGCAGAGGGAGGGTTATTGCAGGCAAAAGAGACATTGGCCTCCTGCTTCACAGCCCCGCAAGGAGTGAAGCCAGAGGGAGGGCTGCCGCACACAGTGCTCATGAAATGAGGGAGGGTCCCTTGCAACTTAGCAGTGCTGGAGCTGCCCGCGGCCCCACCTAGAGGCCCTGCCTGGGTGGAGGCATTGGGTGGAGGGCCGGAATTGGGAGCCCAGTGAACTGGACACCACTGCAGCACAGGGAAGCCAGAGTGGGTGGTGTCTGGGGCAGGGAGGAGAGATCCTGGCAGAGCCGAGGACCACCCCCTGTTCCATCCCTCCCATAGGCTGGAGGAGAGGCCCGCAGATACTGGGAGCCCCAAGGCTGTGTGTGTGCACATGCGTGTGTGTGCCCGTTATGGGGGATGTACAGAAGGGCTAACAGCAGAGGCGTCCAGCCCTCCTGGGTCATTAGAAGGACATGTATACAGTGACTGGTCAGTTCTGGTCTCTTCTCAGCCCAAATGTCAGAGGTCTGTGGAGGCCAAGCTCAAGTCATGAAAATAGGGGCTTCAGCTGGGTGCAGTGGCTCACACCTGTAATCTCAGCACTTTGGGAGGCTGAGGCCAGTGGAGCGCTTGACTCCAGGAGTTCCAGACCAGCCTGGCCAACATGGTGAAACCCCATCTCTGCAAAAAATTAGCTGGACATGGTGGCTTGTGCCTGTAATCCCAGCTACTCAGGAGGATGAGTTGGGAGGATCACTTGAGCCCGGGAGGCGGAGGTTGCAGTGAGCCAAGACTGCACCACTGCCATCCAGCCTGGGCAACAGAGTGAGACCCTGTCTCAAAAAAAAAAAAAAAAAAAAAAAAGAAAGAAAGAAACAGAAAAAAAAAAAGAAGAAAGAAAATACGGAATTCTTGTTTTGCTCTGCTGCAGAGCAACCCCGCCAGCCGCCTTCCCTGATTATGTCTATTTATGAAAGTTGCCACGCCTCCTTGCCCACCCTCCCTCTGAAGAGAAACTGATTGACTGATCTCTCAATCAACAGGCATTGTCCCCCCACTGCCACCTGCCAGCCCTGCATCCTCTCCTCCCAGCCTCCTCTGGGTTGAAGGGTTGAGTTTGCTCCATACTGGGCCTGGGACCCATCCTCATGGGGCTTTTATCTTCTAAAGGATGCTGTTCTTTGGTTAAATGTCCAGATAGTTAAAGAGAATCAGAAGCAAAGGTCAAGATAAACTCATGGCTGGAACCTTGATGAAAGTAGAGAATAATTTGTAAAGTCACTGAGCATTTATGTGACAAAAACAATATCAAGAAATTGATGTATATACTTTGTAATTTGGCTTAAAAAACAGATTCTTCTCATTACATAAGGAATGTAAATGCATCATAGAAAACCCAGAAAATCTGAAAGCAAAAAGGAATATTAAATCCCCACAATCCCTTCCAGCCAGAGTCCTGTAATACATTTCTCACCCGGAGCCATCATAGCGTCTTACATCCACACGCACCTTACGCGTGCATGTCTTACAAAATGGGATCGTGTTGTACACATTGTTGCGTCAACAGGCTGTTTCCTTTCAAAGAGCATAGGATTCTCCTAAGTCAATGTATATGCTCCTGGACCATCATGGCGTAGACCCAGAGACCCAATGAGTCAGCCTCTGGGGGCCATGCAGACAGAAGCCCTCCCTGGCCTAAAGCTGTCCAGATGCTTAGTGCCTGGGTGTCCCTTCAGAGGCTCCCTGCTCCTCGGGCCCCACCACAGTAGATGAATCCCTGCTGTGGTCCTACTGAGCCAAGCTCCTTCCAACATGCCAGCCCCGTTGGATTTGGGAGCAGTCCTGGTCTGCTCAGCTTTGTTTGCAAGTGGACTCTGTACCCCCTCTGAATGCCCCTTCATATCTAGTTTCCTTCCTTCATTTCCAACACAGAACAGAAGCTCAAGTCTCTCTGGCATGCCCCGGGCTTCTGAGGGCTCAGAGCCTGCTCTCAGGTTACCTTTTGAGTCAGCAGGGTTCCCTCCTCCTGGCCCCACCCAGTGTAACCCACAGTGACCCCAGCTCAGGATTCCAGCCCCACTGAGAGTTGTTGAAAGGAATGGACACATCCCACCATCAGAAAGGCCCAAGGGCCTTGGTCTTCTGAAGCCCTGAGGAAGCTGGGAGTGGGGGCATCACGGCCCCAAGGACCTGGAGGATGGCACCTGGGTCCTGGTGATGAGCAGAGGGTCCCGGTGTTCAGGCTTAGGGTCAGGGGTGGGCACCTTGTTCTATCCATTTGCTTCTGTTTCCACCTACAGTTGATTCTCTGTCTCTCTCCCGGCCTTCGTCCTCCCTCTCCTCCCCTCTTGCCTTCTCTGCAGCTGTTGCAGGGTGTGATGGAGAACAAAGCTATGTACCTACACACCGTCAGCGACTGTGACACCAGCTCCATCTGTGAGGATTCCTTTGATGGCAGGAGCCTGTCCAAGCTGAACCTGTGTGAGGATGGTGAGTGCAGCTGGCTCAGACTTGGGGCACAAGATCTGGCCTGGGGGTGGGGAAGGAGCCCTACCACCACCCAACCTTGGCATTGCCTTTAAGTGCTTGTGACCTCCTCATGTAATAGTGCATATATTGAACTTTATGCTTTAAAAGGTCTTCTCCATGGGTTTTCTCATTCATTCACTTCCACAAACCTGTCAGCAAGATGAGTACTCATTTTACAGATGGACAGATTTCACAGTCCATCAGTCTTATGGTGGTCCAGCATGGAGCCTCCTGACTCCGAGGGCCATGCTTCTGCTCCTGAGAGAGTGAGACTCGGGTCAGGCAAGGGCCTCTGAGCCAGTCAGTGCAGACCCTCTCAGGTGAGGAGAGGGGCCTCCCACCCACTTCCTGAAGCACTCGTGAGGGGCAAAGAGCTCTCCAAGGTGCTCATCCTGCCCCTGGGTGCAAGGCCCTGGTCTTGCCACAGAAAGGGGTCCCCAGGCCAGTGACCCAGAAGGCCTTGCATCTCAGGGGCTGCTTATTTGCTAAAACCCTGGAGATCCAAGTGATGCAGCTTCCTTTGGAGGAGCCCAGAGCGCTTTTCCACCAGCTTGGCTCCTGTGCACCCAGTAGATGACTGATAAGTTCTTGCTGCATGCAGCACATGTCAGAGAGGAGAGCATTGCCCCCACGTCAAAGAGAAATAGAATGAAGCTTACTGAGGAGCCTTGCAAAGACTTCCGGCCAAGGAGAGACAGGCCTTTTCCTCTCTTGTTTTGCTCCACTCTGCCAACTGCCTCTTGAAATTACTCAAGAGCAATGACTCCACTCTTCTCTTCCTCCGACCCTGCATTCCTCCCACAAGGCGCTGAGTGTAGGGAAAGAACCGTGGTGGCTTAGAGTGGGGAGAGTCTCTGCAGGCAGAGGACACAAGGAGATTTGGGCTTCTGACCAATGAACCTGCTCACCCAGCCCTAGGATTGTCCACCATGGTGGCTCTTCTTCTGGATTCCAATTGACAAACATATTTTGAGGATCCACGACGTGTCAGGCCAGGGTGAGCAGCCAGGGATTCTCCAAACACAAATTAAAAAATCTCTGTCCTCAAAGGGCTTATGATCCCAGTAGAAGAGGCTGGCATGGGAACAACTGCCTATAATATACAGTAGGCCAAAATGTGTGTGAATAATAAAGTCAGGCGAGCAGAGGGCTTTCTGGAAAAGGGCTGGAAGACTGAAGGAGATTGTCTAAGAGAAGATGTGGGAAAGATATTCCTATTTGTGTGACACCAAGCTGGGTCAGGTTTCTGTAAGGCTCACACCAGTCAGGCGGAGGAGAAGGCCTGGGGTTCTGGTCCCATGCAGAGCTCCCATCAGTCCATCCGCAAAGGGGAAGGTGGCATCCATATCCACTGGCACATCAGCAAAGGGGCTTGGTTTGGCAAGAAAGACTGGGTACAGCACAGTGGGGTGATTGGAGAGGACTATCAGGGCCAGCCTGGGGGGCCTCAGGGGTGGGAGGGGTCAGATGTCCCTGGGACCACCATACCCACTTCCTAGTACCTCATCTTACTCTCCCTTTTTCTGAACCCCAGATTGTTTTTTTAAAAAGCTCATTTGGACCAGAACGACTGGAAATTAACAGCAACCCTAGCCACTGCGCCTTCTGGGCCCCTCCTCTGTGGGGAGCTCTGTCAGAGGGCACTTTGGGAGCCATGCTAGCCATGTCCTGTCCCAGGGTTCCCTGATGCTAGGGCCCAGGTGCAGGGCAGACAGCAGAGGTTGAGAGGTGTGGAGTCCAGGCTGATTCGTGCCTCCTGGGCCTCTGTGGGCCTCAGTGTACTCATCTCAGGCTGACTCGTGCCTCCTGGGTATGTGACCCTCTGTGGGCCTCAGTGTACTCATCTGCCAAATGGGGATGCAGGGGGTTATCTCTGAGGTCCTATCTGGTTCTAGAATTCTGTGTGTAAAATTGGACCTGGCCATTGAATTAGGAGTGTGGCCCTTTTCAACCCCAAGTTAGAATATGATACTATGCTGGGCAAAGCATGGCTGTGGCTCCCACTTCAGCAGGAGTGAAAACTCGGGTGCTGACAATGTGCCCAAGAGGTCCTGTGCCTCTCCCCTCTGTGCTGCCCCAACCTTGGCAGGGAATCTCTGACTTGCTCACCTGGGTCTTTTGCCCTTAGAAGGGTGCTTCCCTGGCATCCCCCAGTGTGCATTACTGCCCCCTCCCACTTGGTCCATGCTCTCACCTCCCCCAGGACTTAGCTCAGCTCCCACCTTCTGCGAGGCCTGAGTTTCCATCCCCCTTTCCCTGACTCTTTTTTCCTTTCTTCCGTGGTCTGACTTCCTCATGACACTGTAGTCTCCTTATTTACATGTATCATTTATTATCCATTCCCTGAGGCAAGAATATAGGCTGGACCACAGTAGGCATCTCTGTTTTGCTTATTGATGTCTCCTGAGCCCAGCATACAGTAAGTGCTCACTAGGCATTTTTTGAATGAATGGATGAATGGGTGGATGGATGAATGAAGGGAATAGATGGATGGATGAATGAATGGATAGATGGATGAATGAATGGATGGATGAATGGGTGAATGGATGAATGAATAAATGGATGGATGAATGAATGAGTAAATGAATGAATGGATGGATGGATGGATGGATAGCTGGATGGATGAATAGATGGATAGATGAAAGGATGGATGAATGGATGGATGAATGGGTGAATGGATGGATGAATGAATGAATGGATATGTGAATGAATGAATAAATGGATGAATAATGAATGGATAGATGGATAGCTGGATGGACGGATGAATGGATGGATGGATGCATGGATGGATGGGTGAATGGATGGATGAATGAATGGATGGGTGAATGAATGGATGGATGGATGCATGGATGGATGGATGAATGGATGGATGAATGAATGGATGGGTGAATGAATGGATGGGTGAATGAATGGATGGATGGATGAATGAATGGATAGATGGATGAATGAATGGATAGATGAATGAATAAATAAATAGATGAATGAATGAATGGATGGATAAACAGAGGGGTCCTCGAAGTCTAAATGTGGCAAAGCATTCACCATCTACACCTGATTGCCGAATTCTCTGGGTCCATCTTCATTCCTGGCTGCCAGGTTGGGGGCTGGAATATGGGGAACCCAGGCAGAGTAGAGTGTTGAGATGAAGCCAGTGACTTCAAAGCTTGTGGGCTTCCAATTTGATTTTTCCCCCTTTTCCTTTCATTTCAGAGAGGAAAATGATGAGCTTGACTTGGGGAAATTCAAGCCAGATTTGATCTGTTTTAGAAACCCTTTAGAAGGGTTTTGCTGCATCTTTGATCCTTATCTCTGCGGAGTGAAATGGGAGAGGAAGAGGAAAGGGTGGGGCCAGGCAGGGAGGGAGGAGGGGGAAGTTGGGAAGAGATGGGAAAGGAAGGGAGAGCCAGCACCCTGAATCCGGTCAGGGCCGCCCTTGAGCCTTTATTTAGTAAATGAAGACGGTGAAGTGTGAGGTCCAGGACAAGCTCCAAGTCCCTTACAGGTCTTCCTCCTTCAATGGAGGGCGAGAGGTGGGAAGAGGGGAGGAGAGATGGCACTTCTTGTTGGAGGCTGGCCATGGGGATAGTGGGATCAGGGGAGGCAAAGTCCCAAAAGTACAGCCCTGACATGAAGGTAAGATGCAGCCTTCCCTGGTGGTGGGACCTGCTGAGTCCCGGGTCCGGTCACTGGCAGGCTCCCCAGTGTTCCTGCTGGGTGTGATGAGCTGCCCCACTCTCATGGCCCATGTGCTGTGGAGTGCAGGACTCATCTTCACTGAGACCGGAGAGGTCAGGACTGTGTTTTGCTCCTCTGGGAATTCTTTCGGGACCTTGTAGGTGGCAGATGTCCCAGAAGTCTTTGTGATTGTTGGTAAATGATGTGGTAAGTCCACTCAAGTCATCAGTGGTGGAGCTGGAACCGGACTCTGAGTCTCCTTACCTGAGATGCAGGCTCCTTCCCAGGATGGGGATTTCACGGGGTTGGACTGATGGTGCCAAGGAGTGACTCCCCTCACTTCTGGATTTGGAACCAATTGGGAAATAGACAAGGAGGCATGTGGGAATCCAAGTGCAGAATCTGCCTTAAGCCTGGAAAAGCTCTGTTCACGATGTGGCTGCTGGCACCCCCAACAGACACTCACCCAGCCAGCAAGCGTGAGTGCCCCTGTCCAGGCACCAGCCTTCACCTGGTTCACCCACACACGCCCTCCTGCCCATCCACCTGAGAAACAGGGACAAGAAATGCCAGGTTACAGACAGCTCACCCATTGGACAAGGTAGCACTTCCTGCAGGCAGAAGTGCTGAGGAGTCCCTCTTTTATGGGCTTGGGCAGGTGGTCAGTCCAGAGATGAAAGGAGCTCCCTGCAGCCACCACCAGAGGTGAGAGCAGGAAAAGCAAGAGAGGAGGTGAGGGGACACCCTTGGGGTATGGGCTGAGTGGGGGCTCGATGCCCAGGGAGCTTCCTCAGCGCAGAGGAAGGGACCCTCCTCTAGCAGAGCAGCTCCTGCAGGCACCGTTCCACTCCTGCACCGGACCTGCTGTTTTTTTCTCTTTCCTTCTCGCCCCTCATTTCTCTTCACCCTCCCTGCCTTTATCCCTTCCCTTTCTTCACTTGCCAGGTGAGATGGGAAGAGGAGGGACTGTTGGGTGCCTTGGTTCTCTGTCCCCTCCCTGAGCAGCCATCTTGCCCAGCTCCTCCAGCTCGTCCTGTCCCTGCATCCTTCAAGGCCCCGCAGGTACCCCTTGCTCTCTGATGCCTTTAGAGCCTCCCTTCTCTGCATGCCTGGGCGGGGCCACCTCTGGAATCTGCCTCCTCCCTTGCGTCTTGGCCATTGCTGTCCTCCTCGGGGCCCACTGTTGATGGAAGGCCCCATCCTCCTCACCTCGTGGATCCTGGGCAATAGCCGAGCATCCTCCTGTGGGGCTGGAACTGCTTGGAAGGGCCAAGCCCAAATAGGACCTGGAAGGTTCCTGAGCCAAGCTGCCTCTAGCGGCCTCTGATGGATGCTCACTCACACCACCCTCTGAACAGAACCCCAGGCACCGGTGATCTGGCCTCCCTCCTCCCGCCCCCCACCCCACCCCCACCTTCCTTTCTCCCGCCTTGGTTTCCCCGATATGCAGCCGGGGCCTCTCCAGTCTGGCGCCAGGAGGTGGAGGAGGAGGCCGATCTGGGAGTGGGTGGGGACTGGCTGGGCCTGGTTCCTCCACAGCACTTTCCGAGGGCCAGAGAGAGGTGTTAGTGTCAGAAAAATACTGCAGTCCCATTCGCCCCCACGGCCCCAGCCCCCTCCACTCGTGGCGTCATCCATGGCCGCAAATAGGACCTGGGGGTAATGAGTTACACATGCTCCTGGCAGCTGCCGACGCCTGCAGCCGGGCCGCTCGCTGCCTCCAGGCCCGGCCTCCCCATTCCTGTGTTCCTTCCCCATAAAATGAAAATATCCTCCTCATCTACCTTCATATCCGTCAGATCTCCCCGGTTCACTTGGCGCAGCTGAGGGCTGCTGGGCTGCTGCCCAAAGATGGGAATGGATTTCCTGGGAGGGGCTGGCTGGGGCCTCTGGAAGAGTCACCGCCGTTTACAGGTTGCCGCATCAGGCTCTGGTGCAGGAGAGGGGACTATTAACCCAGTTCAGAGCTACAGCCCATGCCAAGCAGAGAGCATGGCTCTGTTAGGCAGGTCTGTGGTCCCCGGGGGAGCCAGTGGCCAGGCGTGTTCCAGGTCTCTCTTGCCCAATGGGCTGTCCCTCTATAAGATGGGAGTGGCTTGGTGACACGTGTTGCAGTGTGTCAGGGCTGGATGTGAAACCATGGTGCACACACGAGTTGTGTTGTCCTTGCATGCGTGAACTCAGACCCAGTGCAGGGGGTTCTGTTTGTCCCGCCATCCCCACGTGCCGTACACTGTTCTTTACTCAACTCACGGGGGAGCCCCGGCAGGAGGTGGGTGAGGGGAGACAGGGAAGCTGGAGCACTTACTCCTCCGGCTTCTGCCCTGTGGAGTCACCCAGGGCTGCTCCTGTCCCTCCACCAAAGACCACAGCTCCTTTAAAGCTGCCCTGTCCACCTGGGCTTTTCCCCTTCCAGGTTCTGGCAACTGCTCCCATCCCTGACCCTTTGGGCCCAAGGGTGGTTACAGCCCGCAAATGCTGCTCTGTCCTTCTGGGTGTCACACCCTGGCCACACCTTTGAGACATTCCTTTTATGAAACCCTGTGATGTGTCCTAATCTGAGGGAGCCTTCTGTTTCTGCCAGGGCCCTGACCTGCTAATCTTGAGTGTCCTTGTCTGCAAAGTGAGAATAATGTTACTAACCCCACAGGCATTGTGGGAGGATTACATGATATAACCCGGGTAAAGCGCCTTGCACACAGTAGCCCCTCGATCCACATTTATTTCCCTCCCTGGTCTTTGGGAGTCCCCTGCAAAGCTTGCAGAGGTGGGGAAGAAGGAGAGGGAGAGATGAGGAGGTAGAAGGAGCTGCTGCCACCCAGGGACTCCCAGGAAACACCTATGCCCCTTCTCAGGGACCCTGGCCTGGAGAGTGTTTTCGGGCTGATCCTGGCCTTCTGCTGAAGAAAGCAACATTCTGGTTACTAGTGGGATTCTCATGAGGCCTAGATACTCCAGGAAATTGAGCAAGTTCCTTTAGTCCTGTTTCTCGAATATTAGAAATACTGGGCCCTGAGGGCTCCTGATTCTATGGCGTATGTGTGTCTGTCCCTTCATCATCCTAATTGGAGGCACTTTGCTCCCAGGGGCCCCCTGAGGTTTGCTACCAGAAGAGCCAAGGGATGTGTTTCCTTGTCTCAGGGTAGAGGCTGCTGTTTCCAGGAGGCGTTGGGAAGAGGAGGGAGGGGGTACAGAGGCACCAGGGGCGCCTTTCCATGCAGACGGGCATGGCCTGGAGCATCCCCTCTCTGTCTTCAGCCAAAGCCCCAGCCCTAGGCCATGCCATCTCCTGTGTGGCATTACTCTAGGGATGGGGGCAGTGAGGAGGGTCTGAGGGGGATGCCACCGACATGTCCCACTAGCCTGGTACAGTCTGGAGTGGATGGGCTTGAAGGAGGCCCGCAGTGAGGACAGAGCCC
Source organism: Homo sapiens (assembly GCF_000001405.40). Lineage (NCBI taxonomy): Eukaryota > Metazoa > Chordata > Mammalia > Primates > Hominidae > Homo > Homo sapiens. Next base: position 27,980,370 of record NC_000008.11, on the reverse strand, counting down.
TGGGTGGGCAGGTGGGCTTCTGGTAATCCCTGGAGTAGAGGGGGTGATGAGTGGCCAGGGCAGTTATTCCTTATGGCATCCCCCAGTTCTCCTCACCACAGACCTTGCTGTCATAGCTCCTGGCCTCTGCTTCCTTGCTTGCTCATTCATTCATTTCTTCATCTTCATCTTCCAGCAAAATATATTCAGGGATCCTGCAGGTGCTGTGTGCAGCAAGGGGCACAAAGAGGTGTGAAATAGGGCTCCATGACTTCTGCAATTTACCATCGCTCTAGCTGGTCTGTCCTCCCCTCTCTCCTCCCTCCTACTGCAGACCAGCACAAGGCTGGCTCAAGTGCAAGGTTACCTAAATGTGACTCAGTGGGCCAGAAATTCAGGGTGTGGGCACGTCATTGGTGCAGACCCGCACACAGCCTCACTCGGCTCTGATACCTGAGTCTAAAGTGCTGAAGTCTCACCTTCTCTGTTGTGGGGATGGCTTTGTGTGGTGCTTAAAAAGACAGGTTCTGGGGCCAGGCATGGTGACTCACACCTGTAATTCTGGCACTTTGGGAGGCCGAGGCGGGTGGATTGCCTGAACTCAGGAGTTTGAGACCAGCCTGGGCAACATGGTGGAACCCTGTCTCTACTAAAATACAAAAAAAATTAGCCAGGCGTGGCGTGGCGGTGTGTGCCTGTAATCCCAGCTACTTGGGAGAATGAGGCAGGAGAATTGCTTGAACCTGGGAGGCAGAGGTTGCAGTGAGCCAAGATCATGCCATTGCACTCCAGCCTGGGCAACGGAGTACAACTCCGTCTCAAAAAAAAAAAAAAAAGTCAGGCAGGCTCTGCAGTTGAACAGGCTGGGCTCACACCCCATCTCTGCTGAGTGCTGGCTGGGAAAACTTGAACAAGCTCTTATCCTCATCTTCCCCTCCTCTAAGAAATGGGAAACCCGTAGCGCCTGGCTCATACGCTTTTGCAAGGGTTACGTGAGTTATTCCACATTGAGTCCTTCCAAATGGATACATAGACCACACCCCAAAAATGTGAGGTCCTAGGGTAGAGTACCCTTGCGTCCCTTCAGTATGTCTGCTTCTGCTCCTGGGCCTGCCCTTGGGGCTCTGAGCAGTGCTTCTGTTTTTTCTGTCAAATAGGAAACCTAGAGTGAAGAAGAGGAGCGAGTGGGAAGTCACATCTGGGAGAGGCAAAGAGAGATGATGGGATGAGGGAAAGGTGGGAGCCCAGGGATAGCCAGTGCCCCTGGGTCTTTAGGCTCTGAGTTTAAATCAGCCCCATTGGCATAGGGGCGTGGTTTTCTTTTTCCACCTGTGCTCGACTGTGTGGGTGGAATTAGACCTGACCAGGGTTAGAGTTTCCCTGTGCAAGTGTGAGGAAGCAAGACAAAAGTGAGGAGTGGGAGTGTGTTACCTGATAACGTGGATCCTGGAGTGGAGTAGGATAAGAGAGCCAGCAAGGATAGGAGGGTGTAAGAGGGTGGAAAGGCAGTGGGATGCATGGTCTGTGGGAGGCTGGGGCACCCCAGAGTCAGAGACCTGAGGGACTGCACTAAGAAGATGAGGGCGGGCACCGTGGCTCAAGTCTGTAATCCCAGTGCTTTGGGAGGCCGAGATGGGAGGATTGCTTGAGGCCAGGAGTTCAAGACCAGCCTGAGCAACACAGAGAGACCTCCAACCTACAAAAAATTTTAAAAATTAGCCAGATGTGGTGGTGCACGCCTGTAGCCCTAGCTACTCGGGAGGCTGAGGCCAGAGGATCTCTTGACCAGGCGGTCAAGGCTGCAGTGAGCTGTGATCACACCACTGCACTTCAGCCTGGGCGACAGAGTGAGAGCCTGTCTCAAAATAAATAAATAAATAAATAAATAAGATGAGCCATGGCACTTATAAAGTGGGACACTTGAACATGGGATTTAGATTTCAGTGATTGGTGAAAAGCCTTTCTAGAGCAGCAGAATCCACTAGAAATGAAAGGTGAGCCACACATGAAATTTTAAAGTTCTTAGCAGCCACCTTAAAAGGTGAAAAGACACAAGAATCTGGCCAGGTGTGGTGGCTCACACCTGTAATCCCAGCATTTTGGGAGGCCAAGGTGGGCAGATCACCTGAGGTCAGGAGTTCGAAACCAACCTGGCCAACATGGTGAAACCTTTTCTCTCCTAAAAAAAAAAAAAAAAATTAGCCGGATGTGGTGGTGGGCACCTGTAATCCCAGCTACTCGGGAGGCTGAGGCAGGATCATTGCTTGAACCTGGGAGGCAGAGGTTGCAGTGAGCCAAGATCGCGCCACTGCACTCCAGTCTGGGAGACAGAGCAAGACTCCGTCTCAAAAAAAAAAAAAAAAAAAACAAAAGACACAAGAAACTAACTGAAATACACTAGTGCACTTTAGTGAATCCAGTATATCCAATATATTATCATTTTGACATGTAATTGCTATAAAGTTTGTTGAGGTATTTATGTATTTTTCTCTCATGCTGAGTCTTCAAAATCCAGTGCGTTTTTTACAGTCGGAGCCCATCCCTGCTTGGGCCAGCCATGTTTCCTGTGCTCGAAGCAAATGGCCCAGGCCAGGGAGGCTGGAATTAGGTAAGGAGGCCGGAAGGAGTGATACCCGGGGATCAGGAGAGCCAGGGCAGTGATAGGGATCCCGGGAGGGGAGGAGCAGGTGGCTCTTAACCGGGAGGTGCAGTGTCAAGTCTTATGACAGTGAACACAAGTGCTGGGGGTTTTTAGGGAGGAAGGAGAGGGAAAGTTCTAGAAGGAAGCAAAGAGAAACATCTACCGCCCTGGCATATGACTGGTGTATGAGGAGAATGGGAAAAGAAAAGTCCTCATGGGAAAGGTTAGGCAGGCAGGAAGCAGGTCTCATTTAGAACAAGAAAGTAGAAGAAACGCCTACAGCAGAGGCTGAGGGAATGAGGTTTCACGGCTGATCCGCTGGGAGTCCGGTGGCAGATGCAGGAAGGTTTCAGGAGTCAGGGAGGGAGATAGCATGAAAGGAGGATAAACACAGCTGTTTGGGATTAACAGTGGGTGATGGGGGGGCCTGGGGAGTCCTGGGTTTTCTGTGGGTGCAATGGACTGAATGTTTGTGTCCCCTCCAAATTCCTATGTTGAAATCCTAATGCCCAAAGTGATGGGACTAGGAGGTGGGGCCTCTGGGAGGCGATTAGGTCATGGGGGTGGAGCCCACGTGGGTGGGATAAGTGCCCTTATAAAAGGGACCCCAGCGGCTCCCTCACTCTCTTGCTGCCATGGGAGTATACCGTGAGGAGTGGGGCGGCTGTGTAGACACCTGATCTGCCGGTGCCTTGGTCTTGGACTTCCAGCCTCCAGAACTGTGAGCAGTACATTTGTGTTTATGAGCCACCCTGGCTGTGGTACTTTGCTGTGGCAGCCTGGACTAAGGCAGGGGGGCTGGCTAAGCCAGGACTGAGGGCTCAAGCGATCCTGCTGGGTGGCCTCAGGGCAGAAACTGCTGGTGAGGCTGTGAGGTTTTGTGGGGAGGAGTTTTTCGAGGAGCACCCAAAGTCCTAGGGCGCCTCATCCCCATCCTCTTTGCCCCGACCTGCTGAGCTCCCTCCTCTGGCATGGCCTGCTGTGTTTTTCGTGCGTAAGTAGCAGAGCTGGAGGCTTCAGGGACACGGATGACTCAGTCCTCTACAAGTGGCAGGGGAGGCTCTCAGCATTTCTGTCTCCCAAGCCAGACACCCTTCCCACTGAATGGTGGTAGGAATTGGGAGAGTGAGACAGGTGTATTCAACTCATTTGTTTCTGCCCAGAGAAGAAACCAGTTCATCAAACCAAAGTGGACCCAGGAGGTGGGCGGAAGGTTGCATTAGCATCCCAGAAAGAGGAGTGGTTTAAAAATGGAACTAGCTGAGACCTGGCTTCCAACTTGCAGACATCTTTAAGGGACTTATTGTCATTGACAAAGGGCCAGGAGGGGAACTGGGAATCTTCTGAACAAGGAGCTGGGGCCACTCTGTATGGGGAGGGTCTTTTGGCCTGAAATTAGGCAGAACCCTGAGCCTGCTGCTTGAGTCTCACTGCATTGATGCCGCATAGCTTCTAATCCGTGTACTGTGCATTTGCAGCGTGAATAATGGCATCTTTCACCAGCCCCAGGAACCTCTTGTTCTTCCTGGGGGGCTCTCAGGCTCTCTCCCGCATGGCTGCAGTGGTGTCCCAGCTCACCTTGGCCACCCTGCCCTCCCCTCCCCCAGCTTCCTCTCTCCACCCCTCAGCCCCGGCTGCGGAAGAAGACGCACACCGGGCATCCCTTCCCAAAAACAAGCACACACACCCTTGATTGTTCTCAAGAATTTTTATGCAGAGTAACTTGGGACATGGATGGGGGTGGAGGAAAAATAACACACATTGTATGAAAGTGACAAGATGGAGAGATCTCTGAAAGTACTGAGAGAATCTGTCCCAGACCATCGTAAAATCTGCATGGAATTAGCCCTGGCTGTCTCTCCTTCCCGTGCTCTCCTGTACTTAGAAGTGGGTGTGAAAGGCTTGGGTGCATCTGGCCCTGTGGAAGACCAGGCTCCTACCCCGGGTGCCCTCGCTGAGCCGTCTGCCCTGAGGACTCAGGCCTGGGATGCAGCAGGGCAGAGGTCACTGGTGTTCACTCTACCCCAGTTGGTTCTGGAGAGAGGAAAAAAAAACCAAAATGTTTTTTTCTATTCGCTCACTCATCACAGAATGCTTCACTTCAGGTTACCAAAATCGATGAGGATTTCTCTCCATCAACAGCCAATTCTGCAGTGGGTTCTCTAACGGATGCCAGCTGGGTGTCCTCTGGTTCAATTCAATCCTGATGCGATGCACCTGGTGGTAGCCTTGGATTCCCACAGGTTGAGGGCCCAGTCCCACAAGACTGCTCCCACCCCGCACCCACTTCCTTTGATTGACTGGCTATAAATCGGGGTTCCCAGGACTCCCACCCTGAGTTTGATTAATTTGCTAGAGTGCTTCCTAGAACTCAGGGAAACACTTTACTCACATTTACAGGTTTATTGAAAAGGATATTACAAAGGATGTGTAGATGAATAACAGAGGGAAGAGGTGCACAGGGTGGGTCTGGGAGGAGGGGTGCAGACCTTCCATGCCTTCCCCAGCTGTTCTGCCCTCCAGGAACCTCTGCACATCCAGCTCTCCAAACCCAGTCCTTTTGGGTTTTTATGGAAGCTTCATTATGTAGGCATGATTGATTAAATCGCTGGCTATTGATGATCAACTCAACCTTCAGCCTCTCTCTTTTCCTGGAGGTTGGGGGTAAGGCTGAAAGTCCCAACTCTCTAATCCTGCCTTGGTCATTCCAGTGGCCAGCCTCCATCCTGAGGCGATCTAGGGGTCCCCAGATCCAGTCATCTCATGAATACACAAAAATCACTCTTATGACTCTGGAAATCCCAAGAGCTTTAGAAGATTTTTTTTTGCCAGGATTCAGGATGATGACCAGGATGATATAGACTTCACAACATCACAGTTGTTGAGGACCCTGCCAGGCTCCAGGGAGACTTGTTTCCCTGGGTCCGCTGTGACTCCAGGCAGGACTCAGGTGGGTGGCTCTCGGTGGCAGTGCCCCTGCTTCATACTTTCCTTCCCTCCCCTATGGAGTCCCCATGAAAGCCAGAGAGTGGTGGCAGCTTCAAAGACAGGTTATTTGTGGCTGCCTGTTACAGTGAACAATGTGAGTGATGAGTAACCATTGTGAAGTCAGACTTGGGTGGGTTTCACAAAGCTCCTTGGATGAGCTGAGCTCTGAGGTTCCTCCCAGCAATAAAACGCTATCTCTACCTGCTGTTTATGAGCTGTGGGACCAAAGACAACAAGAAGAAAGTAGCTGTTTGTTGCTGTTAAAACTCAAGGAGGTAACAATGGAATCATTGCCTTCTGTTTTTTTTTTATGTTCAGAGCCAGTTTCTTTGGAAATAAACACTCATTTTTATCAGATCCAATTTGTGAGTTTCTTTTAAAATGGGAGGGGGGAAATAAATTTGGATAACTCCAAAATGCTCTAAAATTATGACTAAGAAACTGAAATATTAGTTTTTCAAGGAAAGGACATTTTGATGAAGGGGACTGCTGGAATACTCGCTCATGGTTCTCACAGTTAATGCATGACAGAGGCAGGCTTTGCGTTGACTTCCACAGAGCCCCAGACCCATGCTTTTCCCCCGAAGCACTGTGAGAGATGCTGCCTGCTTAATACAGGGAAAGAGGGCTGTAGAGGTTCAAGGTTCTCTCCACAATGTAGCCTGACACTGGGGGACCCTCTCCCTACTCATCCTCAGCTCAGGGTGCCAGGGTTGTGTTGTTTTTATATAAACTTTCCTGTTCTTTAATGTCCGTTGCCAAACATCTCCCTACCCCCAGGATAGAGTATCTTAGCAAAAACTCTTTGGGGTATTCTTGCTCCCGGTTTTAGGAGGAAGTCTTCACAATGTTTACCTCTAGGAATAATACAATCTTTTGATACAACCCCATTTTCGATGTGTCCTATTGAAAAGAAATCAAGGAATTTTTTTCACCCCATAAGTCAAGCTCTTAATAATAGTAAGACTTTTCATATGCTTTCCAAGAATGTGTCTTCACCTTCCCTTTTGATATGACAAATGCCTTGCTGCAGAGCTGTGGCCTCCGTGCCATGGATCTGTGATTTCACCACTGAATCAGAGAGTGAGCATCCAGGGGCAGGCTCAGGCCTTGGTATGACTAAGAAGCTCCATGTGTGATTTTGACTTTCAACCAGGAGTAAAGTATCTATTCTGTTCCAGTGATTAGCTTCTACAGTTTACCTGCATGGGCACAAAGAAGCAAGCAGAGACCCTGGATATGCAAAGAAAGCCCAGCTTTTAATTAATTAATTAATTTATTTATTTGAGACAGAGTCTCACTCTGTCACCCAGGCTGGAGTGTAGTGGCGCGATCTCGGCTCACTGCAATCTCCGCCCCCTGGGTTCCAGCAGTTGTCCTGCCTCAGCCTCCTGAGTAGCTGGGATTACAGGCCTGCACCACCAAGCCTGGCTAATTTTTGTATTTTTAGTAGAGATGGGGTTTTTTCATGTTGGCCAGGCTGGTCTTGAACTCCTGACCTCAAGTGATCTGCCCACCTTGGCCTCCCAAAATGCTGTGATTACAAGCATGAGCCACTACACCCGGCCCCAGCTTTTATTTTTTCAGACCAAAAGTTTGCTCTAAAAATGTGTTTTTCCAGCCAATTAGAGTTTGTCAATTATTTGCATACGGCGAATGTAATAGACAGTCTTTGCCACAAAAATAACTGTTCACATGTGTTTGCTTTGCTGTTCACTGGCTGACAGGGAGACACACCTTGCCTCAGAGAACCTTAGAGACTAGTGGGGTCGCCAGAGAGGTAAAGAGATAATGGTTGATAATGAGGATGGTGTGAAAGATGCATGCAAGGTTCTGACATGGTTCTTTCAGTGGTACTTAATTCTTAATATACTACCTTCTAGAACTTTTTTCTCTTTTTGGGAGTCAGGGTCTTGCTCTGCCACTCAGGCTGGAGTGCAGTGGTGACACAGCTCACTACAGCCTTGAACTCCTAGGCTCAAGTGATCCTCCCGCCTCAGTCTCTTTAGTAGCTAGGATACAGGCACATACCACCATCCTAGGCTAATTAAAAAAATTTTTTGTAGAGATAGGGTCAGATTATGTTGCCCAGGCTGGTTTTAAATTCCTGAGCTCAAGCAATCCTCCCATCTCAGCCTCCTGAAGTGCTGGGATTAAGTCATGAGCCACTGCCTGGCCTGAACCATGTTAAAACTTGAACATCTAAAATTTGGTTTTTCTTCTCTATAAATGAAATTTCTTTGGTGTGTATCAACTTTCTTCTTGCAATATGTCACTGAACTGTGACTTAGTTACTTTCATTAAAGTCAGTGTTTCCCAGGATGTGGCTACATACAGCATAGTGGTGTTCAAGATGCCTCTGATACACAGGTATAAATCTGTTAAAGTGTCTACTTTTTTTGTTTTTTTTTGTTTTGTTTTTTGTTTTGTTTTGTTTTGTTTTTTTGAGACAGAGTCTCACTTTGTCGCCCAGACTGGAGTGCAGTGGCAGGATTTTGGTTCACTGCAGCCTCTGCCTCCCAGGTTCCAACAATTCTCCTGCTTCGGCCTCCTGGGTAGCTGGGGTTACAGGTGCCTGCCGCCATGCCCAGCTAATTTTTGTATTTTTAGCAGAGACGGGGTTTCACCATGTTGGCCAGGCTGGTCTTGAACTCCTGACCTCAGGTCATCCATCTGCCTCGGCCTCCCAAAGTGCTGGGATTACAGGGGTGAGCCACCGGGCCCAGCCAGGTATCTATTTTAATGTATAATAGGAAGATACTAATTTTCCACTTACGATGATAAAGTTTCCTTCCAAAGAAATTTAAGTTTAAATGTATTTAAGTGGAGTGATGTTAAGAAAGTAATAGCCCAGGGACACTCTGCTATGGCAAGATTGTGCAGGCTGTATGCAGGGGAGGATGCCTACAGAGGAGAAACCATCTACCTGCTGCTCCCAGCAATCATCAAGCAGCCACGTGCTCCACACCGAGATGAACAACGTCTCCCAGCCTGGCATTCTGGGCTCTTCTGGCAAGTCACTGTTCATTTCTATTTATTTGCTCAGAGCCACTGGCCTTGCCCTCTCTAGACCTCTTGGCTTCCTGACCTTCCAGATGCCACCCTCACTTCTGGAGGCCACTGCAAAATGGAAGAATCTTTCCCATGAGTCTGTTTGAGTTTGGGAGAGTTTTTCTTCTTCCTGTTGTTGTCGTAGTGGTTGTTGACCATTTTCTCCAGCGCTCTGGTCTTGTGTGTGCTTGTGTCTGCAGACAACCTGTTAATCATGAACAGCTTTGTCTGGTACTTCCTGCAGATGGTTCACACAGAGAGGAAGACTGTTTGCTCCTTAAAGTCACTGTTTTCAAATTTATAAGTCCTGTACATTGGACTCTGAAGTGAAGACAAAGAGAACAGAGTTCAGCCCATCTAGAAAGGGCTGTCCTTCACACCCTGGTGAATTGTGGCCTCCTCCATGCAGACTCTGTGACTACCTCTGGCACCGAGTGCATCGCCACCTGTGCAGGGAGCACTTTGCTTGTGTCACCGCTCCCTTCCGCACCAACCTCATTCTTCCCTGTATTGCAATTACCGTTTTATGCATCGTCTTCCCCTCCCAAGGCTGCATCTGAAAGGCAGTGGCTGCATCTTAATCTCTCAACAAATATTTTGAGCATCTGCTATGTGCCAGGCAGTGGCCTGGGAGATGGGCAGTTGGAAGTGAATGACGCTAACAAAGTCTCTCCTTCCCACAGTGTGTCATCTTTGTATTCCCCAGCATCTATTATAAGTGTGTTAGTTATCTATTGCCGCATAAGAAATTACCCTAATACTGAGCAGCATAAAACAAATGTATTCCTCTTGCAGTTTCTGAGGAAGTAGTGGGTTTTTTTTTAAAAAAAAGCCAAAATTTTGTTAATTTTTTCAGATAAATTTTGCACACACATATGTCTATATAATCTGGGAGGACTCCAGGGACAACTTAGCAGAGTAGTCCTGGCTCAGGCTTTCTCAAGAGGTTGTGATGCAGGAGGAGCAAGCCCCAAAATTGGAGGGTTCTTGGCTTTGCCCAGGAAAGAATTCCAGGGTGAGCCGGTGGTGTTAGTAACTTTTATTGAAGTGGCAGTGCACGGCAGTAGCAGAGGTGCTGCTCCCTGCAGAGCAGGGCTACCCCATAGGCAGTGTGACCAGAACAGGAGCTCAGAGGCAGTTCTAGAGGCCTATTTATGCCCATTTTTAATTATATGCAAATTTTGGGCAGTTTATGCAGAAACTTCTAGAAAAAGGGTGGCAACTTCTGGGTTGTCAGGTTATTGCCATAGAAAGGGGTGGTAACGTCTGGGGGTTGCCATGGCAATGGTAAACAACATGGCACTTTGGTGGGTGGGTGTGTCTTATGAAAAGCTGCTCCTGCCTCGTCCCTTTTTTAGCTAGTCCTCAGGTTGGTCTGGTGTCTGAGCTCTGCCTCTGGAGTTGAATCTTGTCTCCTACCTCGGTTGCAGTAAAGATATTGGCCAGGCTGCCATCATCCGAAGCCTTGACCTGGCAGGAGGATCTCCTTAGAGGCTCACTCACCTACATGGCTGTCAGCCAAAGCCCTCAGTTCCTCACCACATAAGCCTCTCTGTGGGCGCTCATGACATGGCAGCTGGCTTCCCCTCAAACAAAGGTTCCAAGAGAGAAAGGGTGAGCCAGAAGGATGCTGCATGTCTTTGGTCTCAGTTCAGAAGTGACACACCATTACTTCTGCCATGTTTTATTGGTCACACAGGCCAATCCTGGTACAACGTGGAAGGGGGTTGATTGCAGAAGGTGCTGGGATCGTGGGGGCTATTTTGAAGGCTGGCTACCAGAGTGGGGCTTTTCCACAGTGGATGTTCCATAAATGCCTGTTAAAGTTTTTACCCCTACAATCCTTAAGTCAAAAGCTCTACTTTTATTTTTAATAGACTTTGTTTTTTAATAGTAGTGTCAGATTTATAGCAAAGGCAAATGGAAAGTACAGAACATTCCCATATACCCCGCCTGCCACCCTTCCCATGCACAGCCTCCCCCTCTGTCAATATCCCCACCAGAATGGTGCATTTGTTACTATCAGTGAACCTATGTTGACACATCATTATCTCCCAGAGCCCATCATTTACATTAGGGTTCACTCTTGGTGTTGAACATTCTGTGGGTTTGGCCAAATGTCTAAGGGCATGCATCTACCATTACAGTATCATACAGAAGAGTTTCACTTCCCTGAAAATCCCCCGTGCTCCGCCTGTTCATCCCTCCTGCCCTCCCAATCCCTGGCAACCACGGATCTTTTTACTGCCTCCATAGTTTTGTTTTTCCCAGAATATCACATAGTTAGAATCATACGGTATGTAGCTTTTTTAGATTGGCTTATTTTACCAAGTTAATTACTCATTTAACATTCCTCCATGTCTTGTCATGGCTTGATAGTGCATTTTTAAAAAAATTATTTTTAACAAAAAAGTAGGCATACGTTTTGCCCTGGCTTTGCTGATAGGATCATTTTGGAGTGTTTGTAATCTTCTGCTAAGTTTAAATAATTTGAAAGGTTTACCCAGCTAACATGCTTCTGCCACTTGGAAAAAAAAAGTCCATAAATGTGTTTTGGGCAGCCTTTGTGACTTGTCGTTGTCTTAAATTGTCTTCTTTCCCTTGCAATCATTCTCTAAGGGCCTTGCCAGATCATTCATGTTCTGCTTGTCTAACCATTTGTGGGAAACCTCTATTTGAAACCCTCATTATGTTCTATTTAAAATATACTTGGTTTAATGCACAAAGTAACCAAGTCTTGCTCAAAGAACTAAACTCTCTCAAAGGAAGGTCTGTGTTCTGCGTGTTGGTTGACTAAGGCACCTGTCACAAGTAGGTGCTTGCTATTAAATAGAAGCCTCAGGTAGAGGGCAAGGGAAATATTCTTTTTAATGGGGAAAAAATAGACATCATTGCACATTGACCCACTCCTACAGTGAACTAGCAACACATATGAAGATGACAAAGGCAAACTTGAAGTTAACTGTGTTCACGGCTGTGTGATTTTCCTCCTCCTATTCTGTCATGAGGCTAAGGAGACAGCAGGGCTCAGAGCAGGAGAGCTGAAACTACCACCATGAGAATGAAACCAGTAATTGTATAATATTATTCAATGCTATACCTCCTACTCTGACTCTTGAGAGGAACAGAGTTTTCTCTGGTAAGTTGCAACCAGACAGCTAGTGGCTCTCACCAGAAGGAAAAAAATAAAAGAAATGCTACCAGGAGCCTACATATTTAGGAGCAAAACCCTTTGTAGAGCCTAGTGTATGGTAAAGGATGGAAAATCCCAGAAAAGGTTTAGGGTGAGTTAGAAAGATGTGCTCTATTTTGTCTTAGCGGAAAATCAGCTCAACTCTTCAAAACTTGCTAATGTAAGGATGAGTGAGAATAGTCATTGACAACTTGCTCGACACTGCACCCAATGTCTTATGGAAATATTATGTAATAGCTCTGTTTAGCTGGTTTAACAGCAGTATTTGTAATAAAATGAAGTCAATGAGTGAGAAAATGTTCCTTATATAACAATACCTCTGGGGGACCAGGGCAGTGTGGATCGTAAGGTACCAATAGTCACCACCATTTTCCTTGTGGTCATAAAACCTCCTGAGGCCAAGGAGGTAGTAATGATACCTGGGAGGCGATATGTAACCTTTGAGGTATCCTTGCAAATGGGAACCTATGAAGGAATTGCAAACATGGTACTATCCTTCAGGATGTTTTCTAAATATCAATTATTTTAGCCTCTCTTGACAACCTTTTTCTGCCCACTCCAGTTAGTGACACTCCTCTCCTCTCCTTTCCTTTTTCCTTTCCTTTCCTTTGACAGTCTTACTGTGACACCCAGGCTGGAGTGCAGTGGCGTGATCTCAGCTCACTGCAACCTCTGCTTCCTGGGTTCAAGTGATTGTCCTGCCTCAGCCTCCCAAGTAGCTGGGATTACAAGCACGCGACACCACGCCCAGCTAATTTTTGTATTTTTAGTAGAGACAGGGTTTCACCATATTGGCCAGGCTGGTGTCGAATTCCTGACCTCAAGTGATCCACCCACCTTGGCCTCCCACAGTGCTGGGATTACAGGTGTGAGCCACCGTGCCTGGCCTTAGTGACACTCTTGAAGTGGGGACAGTCCTTCTGGAGAGGGGTCTTACCCACAGGGGGTAAGGAACAAGCATTAAAGGGATAAGCATTTTTTAAAAAAATGCCGTCCCCCCGCCGCCCCCACCCAGTGATTCCTACATGCCCTGCTAACATCAGGGAGAGGATCCCTTCTTTCCACTTCCAGTCAACAGAGCAGCTGGAGATCAGTAAGCCTCTTCATGGGCCATCTGAGAAGGCCACCTTGAAGGACCAGTTCAGCTAAAAGATCAACCTGGGTCCTGGGGCCGGATTTGCTGCTAACTGACATTTGACATTCTTTATCTGTACAACAAAGGGGTTGAATTACATGGCCCAAAAGGCCACTACAGCAAGGATATTTCCCTGTTCCATTTTGAGCAGAAGCTGAGGAGTGTCACAGGATGAGGTTACCATGTTTTCTAGCAAATCTAAATGCAAGGTTGCAAGCTGGTCAGAACTGGCTTACAGATGTGTTTTGTTTACACTCCCCAGTGTTTTGTGTTTGATGAATTAGTTGCCAACCCTTAAAAATAGATGTAGAAAATTCTGGATCTGGCCACACCCACCACTCATCCCTGCATAGTAGCCTCTGCCAGAGCAGGCACGTGCCGTTGGCCTCCCCACAGTCCCACTGGGCCCATTTCTCTCATTCCCATACCTTCCCAGCCACTGTAGAAGTTTGAGTTTGCAACTCCTGTTTTAATTTCTCTTTATGTTCCCTGGATCCCATGGGACAATGACACTTTTTAAAGCCACATATCCAAGACTATTTCAAGGTCTTTCTGCTGCTTGGACTAGCTCAAGAAGAGTTGGTTTTTGTGAGCATGTGAGCTGTGGACATGTGATCTGGCTTGATCATGAACACAGAGAGTGGGAGGAGAGCTAGAGGCTGAATGTGATGGTCCTGGAAAGCTCCCCATCAAGTGGCTGCATTCTAGACATGCAAAAGGGATGTGAGAAGTTCAACATGAACATCTGCATGCATCAGGGAGAGATGAGACCAAAAAAGAAAAGAGCTTATGGGGTTTTTAAGTGTCTTCTTTCCTTCCTCCTCTTACCCTTATTGTCCAGGTCCATGTCACAAACGGCGGGCAAGCATCTGCTGTACCCAGCTGGGGTCCCTGTCGGCCCTGAAGCATGCTGTCCTGGGGCTCTACCTGCTGGTCTTCCTGATTCTTGTGGGCATCTTCATCTTAGCAGGTAAGAGCAGGCCATTTTTGTCCTGGTCTTTTGGGATGAGGAAGGAAGACCTGGAGCTTCCACTCTTCATTCCCACTGTCATGAGCCCAAACACTGCCCTTGTCACCATGGAAACCATAGAGGAAGAAGGAAGAAGCTCTTCAGTAGTATTGCTTGTTTTGCGTGGGAGTAGCTGGCAGGGGCTATGTGAGCTTGTGGAATCAAAGAGACCAGCAGTAGAGACCTAGCTGCTTGGAGTGGCTTCTGACTTTTCCTGCATCATTGTGGGGCATTGTGCATTACACTGGGCCTCCCTGGGCCTCTGGGGTATGGTTTGCTCTGAGAAGGCTGGGCGTTGTCTAAGCTTCTGGTCCTGGGGTGCCATGAAAATAGTTGTGAGGCACTTTGCTTCCTGGTAAACCTGCTGCCCTTTGCAGTTACTGTAGGTAGAATGGGTTTGCCCCAATTCAGCCAGGCTCTCCTTACCAATTTCTATCTTTTGAGATGGGCAGGCGATGGGCTAGGGCTAGCATGTTCTCCAGCCATGGAGAAGGAGAGCTCATGGACTCAAGAAGGGATGGAACAGGAGCCTGTTGGCCCCAAGCTGTGAGCAGCCCAGCTCATCATCTATAGGTAGTCCCTATGAAGACAGATGGTGAAGCAGATGGCTGTAGTGGTCTTCTCCTGACTCCCTTTGAAAGGAAGGGCTGCTCAGTTCCCACCTTTCTCAGTGGAGGTAGGTAGGACTGGACGCAAGTAAGGCTGAGAGATCAGTTTATTTCCACCCAACATGTCTCACATGAGTACCTGCCTTGCAGCAGGCTCCATGCTAAGATTGGGGGCACAGCTAAATAGGACCCAGGGGCTTCTCTCAAGGAGCTCCCAGCCTAGGAACTGAGGGGGTCATGCAGATAGAGCCCTGCCTCAAGGCAGAATGCAGCGGGCACTGTGATGGGGTGTAGCCCAATGCGATGGTGACAGAGCAGGCACATAGAGGGAGGTGCGGCTGCTGCATGAAGCAGGTGGAGTTGGTGGGAGCGAGGCTGCTGGCCAGGCCGAGCTGACTTGGAGCACTGAGGGAGGGGCCCTCGGGTGAAGCCCAGGGCAGGAATCTGGAGGTCCAGCCCTTACAGATAGATGACCTTTTGCTGGAAATTTTGAGGCAAATGGCCAGGACCTCCCCGGTCTTGATTCACTTTCCGTCAAGCGGGACTAGTCAGTTGGGTGATGTAATGGGGTGTTCAATGCTGCCTGAGCCTTCAGGTTTCCACACTCAGGGCAAAGACATTGGGGTGGAGTCTGTCCCATCAATGAGCAACCTGAGGGGCAGCCAACAGCAACAACGAGAGAACCTCATTATTCATCCCTGGGACCAGAGGACAGGGGCCAGCAGGGTCCCTCGCAGGCCGAGTGGGCCAGAGGAGGATTTGAACATGTTCTCGGGCTGCTTGGTGAGAGCTTGGGATCTGAGTTTTGTGGGTTTGGCTGCGAGGACCATAACAAATTTCTGGAATGTTCAGAAAGCATTCCAGCCCAACAGGAAACCAGAACAGGGACTTTTAGGTGACAGATACAGAAAAGCTCTGCAGAACAGGAACTTTTAGGTGACAGATGGGGGTCTGGAGGAGAGGGACCAGGCTGGTGGGGGGTTTGGGGCAGGCCTCTGGAGGTCCTGGAAGGGCATCGTCTCTTGGGGAAGAGAAGACTTGCAGTGGAGTGACGGTTCTCTTCTGGTGTCTGGATGGCTGCCATGTGGAAAGGGTAGACATACTCTATGTGACCCCAGAAGGCAGAGCTAGGACCAACAGGTGGATGTTATTAGGAGACAGATTTCCATTCAAAATAAAGGACAGTTTGCTAACAAGTAGTGCCGTCCAGTATGATGAAAAAAAGGCTTTCTCCTGGCTTGGAGATTGAATGAGGTTTATAATAATGTCCTGGAAGCTTCAGAAAGGAGGGTGGAACATGGTTTCCCAATCTAATAGAAATGTTGCCATACCTCCTTAATTGTTCCAGCATTTTTCTGATCATTATAATTATCTTAGAACCTGAAGTTTCTGGGTACCACATTGCCTGTGTTGAACAAAAATTTGGGGTGGATTGGGACGGAGCTGGTGCAACAATGTCGTACCTGATCTCTTGGCCCTGGGTGTGTGGCCGCTCTTACCTCCCCAGATTCTTGTCTGGAGAATCATGCTGGCCTCTGGGGGAGGTTTGGTGAGGGCAGCATAGGAAAGGGACTTGGCAAGATGGTGGACAAGTCTGAGGTTCTTTAAGGAGGCTCTGTCTGATCTTAGAGAGGTTTCTTAAGATTGCCTGATTGAAGACCTCAGCGATGCTCCTTCTCAGAGATACCAAGATCAGGGGTCAGGGGAGATCCACAGTCCAGTGTGAAGAAGAGCTTGCCTGGCCTTCTGTTGGGTGTCCTGCCATGGGAGAGGGCTTCCCCTTCTTGGGTAGAACTCACTGCCTGTGCCCAGAGAGGTCACCTTGCACAGGAGATCCATTTAAACCATTCTTAAAACCTCCTTGTCAATGCAAATCTCATAGCTCCTACAACTGGATGACAAAATTGTCCACTGCAACCCAGTGCCATATCTGAATATGGGATTAGCAACATCTCGGTGTGCAAATGCTTACTCTTACTGTTTCCCAGTATGAAAAATCTGTAATCAAACTACACCAAAATATGAGTCTTATAAGCCCCACATAGGACTTTTCTCAATTCATCTTCTTGCCCAAATACTGAAAGTAAAAGGCAAACATGTACCTCACGTTTATGCATTATCCAAGTTTACCTGTTTGAAGGTTAATCCGGCCACCACCCAAATTATTCTATCAGTTGGATTCTGCCCATCATCCAACCTGACCAGTGTCCTCCTGGGAGCTTTACTCCAATAATCCCATGCTGGCACTGGGTTCTCTTCCCTTAGCTCATAGCCTGTCATCATCTCCCAAGGAGACGGCAAGAGCCTCCTCCTACCTCCAATACCTCTAAGCTTTTCTATCTCTTCAACACATTTTGATTATTACCTTGGCTGACCGTTCCCTATTATGTTTTCATTCTGTTCCCGATTCATTTTTGAACAGTAGAGACCATCAGGTTTAAGTTCATGAACTAAAGAATTGAGATTGCCTGGTCGTGTGGCCAGGGGGTCCTCAATCCAGCACTTCAGGCAAGATGTCCTTTGCAATAGAATTAAGGGGTCAGAGGGAGCTCAGTCTTACCTATGGCTCTTCTAGGCAGTCACTGTGGTGACTGGGTGTGGTCATCAGGAACCATCTCTTCTTCCCCTTTCCTGAGACAGCTCTGTAGATAAGTCTGAATTCTCACTGTGGAAATGAAACAGCAGAAAGGGGAAGTGAAAAGATCTGGGATTCGAATGTGGGGTGAGGCTGCAGCATCGCAGCAATGTAGCAAGACCACTGGTCTACAGGGAGAGTCCCTAGGGAAATATGGGCTCCTCCTGCACCTTAAATTAGTTCTTTTCTAACAGCACCATTCGGTCGTTGTCATCATCATCCTCAACAAGTGCTGAATTTGTTCATGAGTGTTCGGTGAGTGCAGGGCAAAGGGACAAGCCCTAGGAATAAAACGTCATGAGATGTAGGCCCTGCACAGGAGGGTTTAAAATCATGAATACATACACCCATTGTCGGGCAATGTGACGTAGTTTCTGCTGTTGCCAAATTATACAAAGGAGAGCCCAATCTCTGAGGGCTGGAATGGTTGGGGAAAGGCTTGGCCTGCGGAGAGTTGTCCACCTGGCTTTGAACTGAGTATCCCTTTTTTGGATCACCTTGTTTCAAGCAGGTCTGTCCCTGGACTTTGCAGGAAAGAACAATATGCTCAGAGCCCATGTCCATCTACACTGTAGCTTCCTGATTCTATCACGCATCTTGGGAATAGGAGCATAATGCCATCAACCTTTATTGGGACACTGTCAGAAACAACCCTGTGAAATTTCACCCCTTGTGCTTATTGTAAGAATGATGTTGAGGATGTTATTTGTTGCATTACACAATGCTGTACTCAGGGGACCCATGCACCAATTATTTTCTGTCTCAGTCATAGAAGGAGTTATGTGTTCCTCGAGGAATTTGTTTTCACCTTATGGAGACTGTGAATCTGAAAGTCTTTAAAATTACTTTCAAGGAGGTAATTAACACAAACTTAAGAGTCAGCTGTCATCCCTTGTATGAGGATATGTGAATTTGAAGGTCATTAAAACAAAAACCTGGGGACAGAATTGTGGTCCACCTGCAGCAAGTATAGAGACTTCAGGAAAGCATTTTTGTGTTAGTCTCCTTCCTGGCTTCATTCGGGGTCTCTCTACTTGATCTTCTTTACCTGCATCTCATCTACTTTAATCTTAGTGTAGTTAATGTATCCTTGTGAATTGCCTTAATTCTTTACGGAACAAGGAAGGGTATTATGTACAGTTTTATCTTTACAAAAATTTCTGCCTATTCTACTTGATTCTTCAAATGCATGATGTTTTTAATATGTGAATGAATGACAGAGACAAGGGAATCTAGAAAATATTTGTAGAAAAAAAAGATGATTATTTCAGTTTTAACCAAGTACCTAATTGAGATGAATATGGAATTGCTACCCAGGGACATTTAGCTAGTAGAAGTGGCAGGTGTGTGATTATATTAACACATCTACCATGTTATATACTGCATTGACATTACAGCATTTAAGAAGAATATTGAGACAGGCAGGACCGTGTAGACTTCACGCTGGTTACAAGTAGGGACTTTGGAGCCAGCCTGTCTGAGTTGGAACCCTGGCTTCTCTATCACCAGCTATGTGACATTGGCCGAGGCACTTGGCCAAGAACTCCCTTCTCTGAAAACGGGGGAAATCAGCGTACTCCCTATATTAGTCTGTTTTGCATTGCTAAAAAGGAATGCCTAACATGGGATAACTTATAAAGAAAACAGGTTTATTTGGCTCATGGTTTCGTAGGCTGTACAAGCATGGCACTAGCATCTCCTTGGTCTCTGGTAAGGCCTCAGGAAGCTTCCAGTCATGGCAGAAGACAATGGGGAGTAGGCACGTCATGTGGCAAGAAACAGAAAGGAGGAGGTCCACCGTCTTTAAACAACTGGTTCTCATGTGAACTAATGGAGCAAGAACTCACTCATTACCATGAGGGGGATGCCAAGACATTCATGAGGGTATCCACCCCCATGGTCCAAAGACCTCCCACTAGGCCTCACCTCCAACACTGGGGATCTGACTTCAACATGAGATTTGGAGTAGTAGCTATTGTTATTGCTGGCATTGGTATTACCACTATTATTAGCATCGTCACTCTTACTTTTTCTTCGTTTTCTTTGCAGTCAATTAACCTTGATAGCATAACCTAGGGTTTAGCCCCAGGTTATCTGTGAAGGCTCTGTAACCTTGGGAACATCACTTTGCTGTCTGAATGGGAGTTCACCCATTTGTAAAGTGAGCAAATTGGGCAAGATTGGTGGTCTCAAACATTTTTTACCATGACCTACACAACCAGTACACACACATAAGCATAGCTGAGATAATACTTAAATTTGTAATGCCTTTCTACTCTATTCTATTTATGTTTTTTTAACATGATCACAACTCATTTATTTCATAATTCATGAACAGGATATAAGCTGTAGTCTGAAAAACAATGGGCTACATGATACTTCTATTGTTCTCTGTGTCTTTCGAGCATTCTGGGAGTAGCTATATTCTCTTCAGGATATGGACTTTGAGGCCAGACTTCTGGGTTCAAATCGAGGCTGTACTATGGAATGGCTCTATCATTTTGAGGCAAATAATTTAACCTCCAAGGGACTTGGTTTTTTCATCTGTACAATGGGTTGATCGTGGTGCCTACCCCATGGGGCTGTTGTGAGGACTGAATTAAATAATACATGAAAAATTAAAACTCTTTCACTGCCTGGCACGTAAGTACTCAGTAGGCTGGGACAGTGGCTCATGCCTGTAATTGCAGCTCTTGGGAGGCCGAGGCAGGAGGATTGCTTGAGCCTAAAAGTTTGAGATGAGTTTGGGCAACATAGTGAGACCTCATCTCTACGAATAATTAAAAAATGAGCCAGGTATAGTGATATGTACCTGTAGTCCCAGCTACTCAGGAGGCTGATGTAGGAGGATCACTCGAGCCCAGGAGTTCAAGGTCGTAGTGAGCCATGATTGCATCATTGCGCTCCAGCCTCAGTGACAGAGCGAGATCCTGTCTTTAAAAAAAAAAAAAAAAGTGCTCCAGAAATATTTGATATTATTATTCCCACAATCAGAGACAGTTTGCTTTCAGAATAGCAAAGGATTACAGACCTACTTGTTTAGCCTGAACACCCAGTAACTTTGTCTATAAACAGAACTAGGCTCAGTGCAGTACGTGTCCATATGCACATGTTTCCAATAAACACACAGGGAAGCCTGGAGACATTGTTGGAGAGGTCCTTGAGGTACCGTGACAGCGCAGGGCTCAGTAAGCCAAGAAACAGGAACAGAACAGCATTTCCAGGATTGTAGCTCTTTAGGGGAGGGAGCGATGGAGCCAGCAATGGCTCCACCCATGGCACGGAGATGCTTAGCTTCAGTGGGCATCTCCTACAACCTCCCTCCCGACTTCCCAGACAGACATGGTGTTGTGCTTTTCCCAAAAAACAACTGCGAGTCACAGAAACCCCTTCCTTGTCCTCCTTGACTTTCCCATACACTGTTTCTAGTTCTTCTTGCCGGAACAAATCATATCATAACAAGGCATTCTCCTCATCCTCACGATTGCTCATCAGTGAGTTGGTAACACCAAGGAAAGTGAACCCAGTTCCTCCACCTTTGTGTCTTTGGGCCCCGGTCTTCACACTCACCATGCTGTATTGCAATGATTGGTTTCTGTGCTGGCTCTCCTCCTAGTCCGGGAGAGCTCTTTCATGATAGGGCACCGCACCTTGTTCACAGCTGTCCTCCCACTGCCTACCATCATGTGCCACATATAGCAGGTAATTAATGGAAGGATCAAATTGAATGTCTCAACAGAATAGCCATCCTCCCAACAGGCTCCAGGTGTGAGTAGTCAACAGAATTAGACACCACTCCTGGGGTGGCCTAGCCAGGGGGGAGTGTGCCAGGCTGTGACCATGGATGTTGATATTAGTTTAAATTCTCATGAGACTTACTATTTTTTCTTTTTCTTTTTGAGACAGAGTCTCACTCTGTTACCCAGGCTAGAGTGCAGTGGTGCAATCTCAGCTCATTGCAACCTCTGCCTCCCGGGTTCAAGCGATTCTCCTGCCTCCGCCTCCTGAGTAGCTGGGATTACAGGTGCATGCCACCAAGCCGGGCTAATTTTTGTATTTTTAGTAGAGACAGGGTTTTGCCATGTTTGCCAGGCTGGTCTTAAACTCCTGGCCTCAAGTGATCTTCCTGCCTCGGCCTCCCAACGTGCTGGGATTGCAGGCATGAGCCACCGCGCCTGACCTCTCATGAGACTTTCTAGTGACACTCATAGTGATACACGACCCTACATCCAAATGATGGAATACCATGCAGCCCTCAATGATCAGGTCAGATCTCCTCCTCACCCCATCCCCAGATCTCTTTCAAAGGAAACCATTGCCTAGTAGGTGCTCCCCCATTGCGTGTCAGTGCCACTGGCTTTGTTGGTCTTGTTGCTTCAAGTTAAATGCAGATCTTGTCAGCGATCCCAGTTAGATGTCAGCACACTGGTTTCTGCCAGGTATTGCAGTCTGCTGGATCTGTTTGGCTCTGGACTTGGACATCTGTCATTTATTTTTAACAATCAGCCTGTGCTATCAATCATGTTGGAGCCAGTGTCCCAACCATGTCCCTATAGTCCCCATTCTGTAGCCTGCTGCCACGCGTGCAGTTCCCGAGAGGACATGACCCAGGGCTTGCCAGCCCGTGCACGCATTTCACCCCTTGTATCCTGGGAGGTGAGTCAGGGTCGTTTGAAGTCCCCCCAGCCTCTTCCTTAGACTCAGACTGCACACACCTGGGCAGGTCACTGTACTTCCCCTGCCCCCACCTCAGCTCTGTCGGGCTGCCCTAGCCATCAGAGCTTCTCCTGCAGAAGGCACCTCTGTCTCACCTCAGACCCCGGAAGAGGGGGAGGAGGAGGGATCAAGAGCCAGTTGACACCCTGAGTTTCCCATGGAAGATTCCACTGCCCAGGGTGATGCCTCTGACCACGCCTGAGCCGGGTAGAAGTTGGGGGCAGAGACAGCTGAAACACTGCCTGCGAATCTGACAAGTACTCCCTGTTCTCCAGAGCTTCAGCCAAAGCCCTACTTACAGCACTCAGGACACTGCAGAGCACCCATCTCTCAGCTCCATCCCACTGCAATCCTTCTAGGCAAAGAGCCAAATCCAGCCACCACCTGTTTTTATAAAGTTTTACTGGAACACAGACACGCTCATCCATTTGTGTACTGCTTGGCTGCTTTCGTGCTGCAATAGCAGGGCTCAGTAGTCTGTGTGCCTGCAGAGCCTAAAATATTTACTACCTGGCCCTTCACAAGAAAACCATTTGCCAACCCCATGCTAGGCTTCACTGATCACTAATTAGCCCTTTAATCCTTCCTCCCTGGATTGCAAGTTATAGTTTTCAGAGATTTTTGCATACATTGTGTCATCTAATTCTTACAACAATCCTAAGGAATCCAGAAAATAGCTCAGTTTATAAATGAGGAAACTGAGACTTAGACGCATTGCCTACTCTGGCCCACGGCCCCACAGCTGGGGAATGGGTGCCTGGACTGCAGCTGGGAATGGCGTGAATTCAGGGCTTCTCCCACCCGAGCCTCCTGGTCTGAGGCAGAATCTAACACCCAGTGGTGAAGTGCATGGCACCGGAGTCAGACTGCCAGGGTACAAACCGTGACTTTGCCAATTGCTATGTGACCTCAGGCAAGTTTTTCAACCTACCTGATCCTTAATGTCCTCATCTGTATAGCAGAGCAGAAGGGATTACTCTGCCCACTTCGAAGTGTTGTGGTGAGGATGAAATTAATTCATCCGTGTTAACCGCCTAGAACAGTGTTCAGCAGGTGGGATGTATCATTGGTGTTTGTTAAGTGATTTATAACCGGGTGTAAGTGCCACAGACTGCACAGTAATTCAGCTTCGAATATCAAGAGAAACATGTCAAGTGCTTTGATTTCTATCCCAGGAGCCAGGATTGGAGGAAACTTGAGAGTCATCATGCAGTGCCCAACCCTTGCTAAGAAAAGGAGCTTTTCTATTTAAGCAAAAAGAGAAAGGGAGTGGGCTTGAGTCCACCCCTCCCTTCCTTCTGCAGCTTTGCACCTCCCTGTCCATGCCTCGGCCTCTGTGCCTCCTAAACCCACCTCTCCTCTTGCTTTCTGGAACTATCTTCTGCTGGGTGTGCCCAGAGCTACCAGGCAGATTTTGCCATTTACTGGGGGCTTTGAATTTTTACTGGCGTGGAAGCTGAGCAACTAATGAGCTCCCGTCCTCCACCCTTTTGGAGAGAAGTTATAAGTTCTGGGAATTTCTGTGACAGTCCTGCAGGCATCGTGTCTTGGCTGACCTCGCCCAAGGCTTGGGGCCCTCTCCCATCAAATCCCAAACAACAAACACTTACCAGGTGCCAACAACGAGCCTAGCACCGAATGAGACACAGGGAGATGGGAAGAGAAATAAAGAGAGGCCCCTGCTATGAGGATCATACTGACTGGCAGAGCAGATATGCATAAAATATGCTATCAAGCACAGGGCAGATCAGAAGCTTGAGAACTAGGAAAACCTGAGGTCAAGTATTTGATCATTTATGAGCTGTGATCTGGGGAAATTGTTTAAACCTCTCTGGACCTCATTTTTAAACACCAATAAAATGGGGATAACAATGAGTAATCATCAGTATGATGAAAATTCAGTGAGATAATACATGAAGTGCTTTTGCACAATGCCTGGCTTATACTAGGGCCTCAATAAACATTTCCCTGTAAATCTCAGAATAGAGGTTTCTGAGAAGTCCCAGTTTAATTCAGGGAAGAAATCATAGGTGTCCGTTGCTGCCCATCTCTACCTGCTTTACTTGTAAATCTCAGGCCTTGTCCCTTTTCTCTCCTTTTATATATGCATATATATTATTATGGGTTTGGGGATGTATGTACAGGTTTGTTACATGGGTATATTGCGTAATGGTGTGATGTGAGCTTCTAGTGCAAATAGCATCACTCAAGTACTGAACATTGCACCCCATAGGTAGTTTTCCAACCCTTACCCTCCTCCTCTTCTCTTTAACTGAACTGTCTTTCTAGTGACTGCCATCAAGTTCCATCAGATTCCATCTCTGTCTTCGCCAGAATTCCACCTTCTCGTGGCCTCCCCACTTGGTTATTTAACAAACATCATCTCAAATCCAATGTGTAATCAGAAGTCTTGACTTTTCTCTCCCAAACCTGCTTCTCCTCCAGTCCTTTCCATCTCTGTAAATGACACCATGATCTACCTGAAACCAGTGCATGCTGCCAGCTGTATCTCACCTGCCCCCCATGTTCATGCATCAGAAGCCCTGAGGAGCTCCCAGCACCCTGACCTGCACCCCTCCAGTCGTCGACACATAGAGTTGCCAATGTTAGCCAATAAAAATACAGGAGCCCAGTAACTTGAATTTTAGATAAGCAATGGGTAATTTTCCAGAAAAAGTAGGTACCAAATACTTGGTGGAAGCACCCAGGAGGGAAAAGGGGGAGGCAGAAGGGCTCTCACATTCCTGTCCAGTCTTCAGTCTTCAGGAGGTGGAGGGTGGAATGTTGGGCAGTGGCCCTCCCTGGTCTGTCTCTGTTTTTAGCAGAGCCTACTGGCCCCTCGCTGGGACCTCCAGGCAGATGGTGTGTTTGGTTTTGTTAGGACAATGTTCAGCTTCACCCCATGCTTCCAGCTCAGAGACAGGAATCCCAAGTCTTCCTTTGCCTGTGTGGCCTTCCTCTGTGCAGCCCAGAGTGGCCCGGCAGCTGGCAGCATCCCTGGGTGCCTGCCTTTCTCTATGCTCCTTCTGGAGGCCTCATATTCTCTGAGACCCTTTTTGGAGCAATCCAAGGGATGCAGGGAACTGGGGGTAGGGTGGCCCCATGCTGTGCTCCCGTCTCGCCCTGCTGGGAAACCCTGGAAGAGGTGCATGATAGGACATCTCCCAGGGTCCCTCGCTGTGTTTCTGTCTGGTAAGAGTCCCAATCTGAGCTCAGCTGTCAACTAGTGGGGGTGCCAGTAACACTGGTCACAGGGATCCCCATCTCTAGAGGGGTCTCTGGAGCCCCTGGATGAACATGGGGTGGGGCAGTGACAATGGTGTCAGAAGTGACTTGTAGGATGCCAAGGTGCCACCTCTGAGGGTGGGAAGTGGTGGATCCTACAGAGCCCCCACCATGCTGAGTTCCGCTGGATGGAGTGCTTCTGCAAAGCACTTTGTTTCTCCTGCTTGTTGTCAAAAACAACAGTCTGGCAGGCTGTCTTCTGTGAGACATTTTCAGTGTATTCTCTGCCAGAGCTTTGGAAAAATGGCATCTTTCCGGGAGGAGTCAAGGAAAGAAAGGCATTGCTTATTTACCAATTAACACTTGTCCCCTGACCATTGGCTGCGGCCATTTAGCACATCTAAACAAGCCAGTTCCTTGAGGAAGTCAATGACCTTTCAGGATCTATAAAAGTAGTTTATATGCTTTGGCTCAGAAATCCTCTTCTATTTGTCTCCAGGAAATGAGTACAAAGAAAGAAAATGGCATATGTATAAAACTCAACCACATTCTTCATAATCACTCAAAGCTGGAAAGAACCTAAGTGTGCAGTCTCAGAGCATTGTTTAAAAGACAGTTAACACAAAGGAGTATTATGCAGCCATTTCAAATGTAACTATGACATACATGAGAGAGTGTTTATGAAATTGCGTTAAGGGAAAAAAAGAGCACCCCTTAGTGTGTATACACTGTGAATGCTGTTGTGCAAACAAACATATATTACAAAGGGCAAAGGATGGAGGGGAATTTAGAGAAATGAAAACCGTGGTGGAGTGGGTGGGAGGTTTACTGGTACACATTCTCTCAATTTCCTTAATGTTGTTGGGGTTGTTCATAAGACCACCCTTTTAAGAGGTCACAGGAATCTTCTGTCGCCCCGAGAACACAGCCCCCAGCATGGTGTTGACTGCCCTGGTGGAGGGGCCAGCTGGCCTCTTCTAGTCCTTTTCCTGGTTTAAGGTCCCTGACAGCAGAGGGTCCTGGTACCTGGGAACAGCCAGGGACAGAAGCTGGGTAAGTGCCCTGAGGACACAAGCAAAGGAGAGACAGGGTGACAATACAGTCAGAGCTGGGAACGATGAGTTCTGCCCTCAGCTTTGTAAATGGGACGGAGGCCCAGGGAGGGGAAGTGTCCTGCTCAGGGTGGCAGAGTGGGACCTGCATCAGAGGCTCCAATCCCCCAGGAATCCTTGCCTCCCTCCTCTGGGGTCTCAGCCGCTCCTCAGATGCAGACCCCGACTTTCTGGAGCCCCACTGGGCTCTTGATGCCTATTGCTTTGCTCTGCCAATTTAAAAAAAAAAATCTTCAACCTTTTTTGGGTGTAAACTCACTATTCAGATGCTCCAAATTTCCCATACAATGTTTTTCTAAGGTGACTCCCCCAATGGGCCCGACCCTCCTTCCCGTCAGGGGCACACCCCAGGGTTTTGATCTGAGTCTTGGAGCTTGTGTCTGCCTTTGGGCTTCGCCATGCATCTCATGTGTGTTCTCATAACTCTGAGTCCTGATTTCTTTGTGTGCTAGCAACTGCCGTCTAGAGAGCTCCACGTGAAGGGCACTGGGGACTTCTGATTCAACAGGCCCAAACCCAAACTCACTGTCCCCTCTCATCGCAGCCTCCCTTTTTTCTCCCTTCAATTAATAACATAACCGTCTAAGGTATAAGATCCACTTTATGGAGTTACCATCATTGTTTAAACTGAATCTCCACTGTCGGACCCTCTACCCAGCTCTCTACCTGAGGGGCTGGACAGAGCAATGCGTCAATGAAAATACACAGCTGGCAAGTGCAGGAGATGTAGGGCTGCTCCTTAGCTGGGGCCCCAGTGGGTGGCCCACCGCATCCTCCGTGGGCAGGAAGAGCAAAGGGCTCCTGCAGCAGACCCACCCATGCCTCTGTGCTTCGGACTCTCGAGACAGCCTGAGAGG
Organism: Homo sapiens; assembly: GCF_000001405.40. Taxonomy (NCBI): domain Eukaryota; kingdom Metazoa; phylum Chordata; class Mammalia; order Primates; family Hominidae; genus Homo; species Homo sapiens. The sequence goes on along the minus strand of NC_000008.11, from coordinate 27,953,221 downwards.
CCACCTTTTCCTGATCTTTTGAGAGCCTCCTTGTTTCTTCAATGTCCTGGCCCCCTGGGTTCCCTCATGCTTCCATTCCATGGCTTCCTTTTAGCCTTTGGCCCCGGTTGTCGGCCTTTGGGCCATCTGCTTTCCGTCTGGATTGGGCTGTAGGAAGAGAGAAAGGATGCAGGGCAGGCCTCTCTGGCTCTGCTTCAGGGTCTGACATCCACATGCATCTGACATTTATCCTGCAAAAGTGATCTGCTCTAAGCAATACCCTGTTCACTCTTGTGCTAAAAAAGAGTTCCTGCCTCTCTTTCTCTTTCTGACTTTTGACAAAAGGCTCCCTTCTGTTATCCTGGCTTGGCCTGTGCTTGGTTCCAAAAGGAACTGGGTATGTGTTACGACTAGAAAAGGGGTGAAGAGAGAGTGGGAAAAAAATCCACTCTGTCTCACAGTGTTTCGCTACAATAAATAATGCTTGCACACAGTCCATTGTCCATACGGCCAATAATTTCCTTAGGATAGGTCCCTACTTGGGGTATTGCTGTCAAAGTGGGTATATGTTTAAGGCTTAATAGAAAGACTGCACCAATTTGCAGGGAATGATAGGATTTTTCATTATTCTGCCTCTCTGCATGGCTTGTCACTCTCAGGCCCACAGGAAGGTCTTGCTGGCTGTGAGGAGTGAAGAGTACAGGGCTAAGGGAAGTAGCTCTGCAGGGTCTGCAGCCTGTGTCCCCTGGGTGATGGCAACGAAGGCAGAAAGCCCCCTGACCACTCCCTGTGCAAGGACTTGGTCCATAAAGACTGGGATCTCCACCCCAACCCTTGATCTCCAACTGCCAGATGGTCAGAAAACAACCACCCAGCTGTGTCCATCTCCTAGGACTGCTCAAAGTACCTCAAACCGGGTGGCTTTAAATAACAATTTATTTTCTCACAGCTCGGAGGATGGAAGTCCAAAAAAGGCACGAGCAAAGGCTGCACTCCCTCTAGAGGCTGTGGGAAAGGATCCTTCTTTACCTCTTCCAGCTTCTGGGGGTGCCAGCCACCCCTTTGTTTCTTGGCTTGTAGGCTCATTGCTAAAATCTGCGCTCCCATCGACACCCAACCTTCTTCCCTACATGTCTGTTTCTGTGTCCAGATCTCCCTCTTCTTCTAAGGACACTAATCATATTGGTCCCCAACCCAATACAACCTCATCTTAGTTTGATTACACCTACCAAGAGTTTATTTCCAAATAGGTTCTGGGTGGACATGAGTTTGCAGGGGACACTATCCTGCAAAAGTGACCTGCTCTAAGCAACACCCTGTGCACTCAGGGCTAAGAGAGCATGTCACCTGGAGCTCACATGTCCCTCCTTCTGGGTCATGCTCTGAGGACCTGGGACTGGAATTCTCTGGTGTGTTCGAGTTCGCTCGAAGTCATTCCCCGTGAAAAATGTTGAAAGGAAGAAGGGATTCCGGACCTCCTCTTCTCCAGCCTTGTCTCAGGGAACCTCCCCTGCATGAGGAAGAGGAAGGATTTTCCTTCCTCCTCTGGGTACAGGAGGCACATTCCCTGGCGTGGAGCACACTTGCCTTCTGCCTTACCGTGTGGCCATGGGCAGTCGCTGATGGCACCGTGCAGGACGGGACGGGCCTCTGCACCGGAGGTCCAGCCTCGGGTCTCCTGACCCTGGCACTGCCACAAGCTGTGTGACCTTGGGCAGGGGGCCTTGCCCCTGTGAGCCTCGGGGGCCTGACCACTTGACACATCAATGGTCACCAGTCATTCGTTGGTCACCAAGAAAACCCATGTCTACTTTGGGGCTCTTTAAAGGTTCTGTTGGGGGCTCTGGGTTGAGAATTTCTGGGCTGGACCTTCAGAGCTCCATTGGCGCCGATCAGTTTTTGGACCTTGGGAGTGACCACAGCTCCGGCTCCCACACTGCCCTCCTGCTCCACTCAGCACAGCTCTTGTCCTGCTCAGGCATTGATACCGGTTTTCTGTGTCTGACTCCACACTAAACTGTGACCTTTCTGGGGGCACATATATGAATCCCTCTGTATCATTCACTAGCCTAAATTTTAGAATTACATGGACTTGCATTTCAAACCCATTCTGCTCTTTTTAAAAATTCCATGAGTTTGGGCAAATTTCTAAACCTCTTTGAGCACCAGTTTTCTTATCTGTAAAGTGGGGATCCTAAGGCCATCCTCTGAGTAACGTGGAGACCCTTAGATGAGATGATGTATTAAGCACCCACCATTCCTCTTGAGAAGGGGTGAGTCCCTGTGTATGGTACTATAACAGCAGTTATTGGTGAGGTCTGTGGAATAAATGGCTTAGTCCACACTGACCTTTTTTTTTTTTTCCCATAAAGCTGAGTGCTGAAATAGGAGTTTTGTCACAGAGCTCGTTCCGATCGGTTGAATGGGTACAGAGGTGCTGTCTGTTAATATACGCTCAAGGAAAGTGCTGGCACTGGATTCCGAGGCATTGCTAAGTGTCTCAGGTTCCTGAGACCAAGGCACCTGCCCTAGTCCCCATGTGTTAGAGGGCCCCACTCTGTCCCTCTGGCCGCTTCCCAACCCACAAGGTGAGGCATCCTGAGGGCTAAGAGAACATGGCACCTGGAGCTCACATGTCCCTCCTTCTGGGTCATGCTCTGGGGACCTGGGACTGGAATTCCCTTCCCCAAAGCCTCAGCTTTCTTCCAGGTCCTTTGGGCTGTTCTGGGAGAGGGAAACCACGGTGCTGGCCAGAGGGTGACAAAGGGAGGGTTGCTTGCCGGCATTAGGTGGGGATTAGAGTTGGCCGTGCAGGCTGGGATGCCCCCCAAGCACGGGCATGAGGCCTGTGTGGAAAGGGTCTGCTCGAGGATGGGATTGGGGGTGTGTGTGGGGTGGGGGTCTCCTTACAAGGCAGGGATCTGGACCAGGTTCCAGGTAGTCGTGCATATTCCTGGCAACCCCCAGGTCTGGCTCGCGTCAAAGTGCAGACATAGGTGGTTTAATGGCAAAGAGCGTGTGGGTGTCCCTGCCTCAGCCCCTGGGGCTGGCATGCAGTTGGCAGGAGGATGTGCTAGACCCCTTCCCCTCCTTGGTGGCTCTGCACCTGCCCTGGCTGCAAGGACTCACTCCCAGGTGGCCAGTGGGTGGCATTCCCCCAGCGTTTCCAGGCTCTCAGCCCCTTTCTCACCACAAGGAGCCACGGTGGGCTGGCCACATTACTGAGCCTCCCTAGGTCTCTGCTCAGGCCCTGGTGGACCTGCCCAAGGCCAGCCTGCTTGTTCATGCTTAGCAGCACCATCAGCAAGGCCAGCTTAGTCCAGCTCCAGAACTTTCTGCAACAGCCCTTCTTTCTGTGGATGGGCAGTGGCTCCCCTCAGGTCCCACCCCACTGCAACCTGCAGGGCCTCTTCAGGAGCCAGACCCATGTCCCTGGCCCCTTCTGCACCCGGGCAGGCTGTAGGGGAGGACTCAGACCTGAGACACTGCCAGGCAGGGGCTTTTCCCATCCAGCTCCGGGTACCGTGGGCGTGAGTTTCCACGGGGAAAAGCCCTCTTGATGGGATGCGGTTGGGGTGGAAGGAGGACAGGAGGTGAGTCAGGCACTGCTGCTGCTCTCCGATCTGCCTGCCCTGCTTCCAGGCTGAGTTATGCGGCAACAGTGGCCTGATTCCTGAGCTACTCAATCCATAGTGTCCCAAAGACCCCCATGCTCCCACATGGTAGCTGCCAACCTCACCCAACTCCACCCTTACGGTTACAGTAATAATCATATTTCCCATCCAATAGGTTACTTGAGCCTCACCCACTGCTCTGAGGGAGACACTATTATCCCCATTCACAGATGAGAAGACTGAGGTCCAACGAGGTTGATAGTTCTCATAGGAGAAAATAAATAGTTGCTGATTAAATTTAAAGGGCACTGGTGGTTAAGGTCAAAGCTGGGCTGACTCTGGTTTCCTGGTCAAGAGCTCCGTCTCACTAATCCCTGCTGTTCCCCTGTGATTGCCACCTGGCTTCTACTGAGGAAATACAGATTAGCTGGAAAGCCAAGCTCTGAGCCACGTGGGCTCTGCTCATGTGTGATCAAGACAGGCCTGGGCCTCAGGTCCCCTGAAGCTCACTGTTCTGTCCACCACACCACCAGCCTCTGAGCAAGAAGTAGATAGGGAAACTGAGGCACCCCGAAGTGAGGGACAAGGAGGGTGGCTTCCCACAAAGAATACTAGCACCAAGCCAATTGTGGGCTCCACCCGCTTGTGCTTCGTTCATTCAGCCTGGCCATGTGGGTTTTTATAATATCTGCTTTTGCAATATAAACTATGCACATCGATATACACAAACGGCCATAACACCACATTGCAAATTACAAAGCAAAACGCATGAACTCTCAAGGATGGATTTTTAAATTTCCTTGATAAGGCTGGGGCTTATGGAAAAGTGCCCATTCCCGTCTGTAGTCCATTGCTTTCAATTTAACTAGGCGTTTGGGGCTGGAATCGTTTTTTCCTCCCCTTTCAGTCTTGGAGCGAGTCCCACAGCTAGGCTTCCTGCGCTCAGCTGTTTGTTTTTCTTCCTTGGAGAGGGACTGGGGAATGTTACCCACCAAGCCCCGTGGGACTGGCCAGTTTGAAGAGCTCTCCAGGCCCCTAGCTGCTCAAATCCCAAACACATGGAACCGGGCCACACCCTTCGGCCCAGTGGACAGAAAGGCTGGCCTGGCGGTCCTGACCTGCCGGTGGAACGGCCCAGCCCCAGGCCCTGCCGCCTTTGTATTTGATGGAAGAGAAGATAGGGGAAGGGGAAGGAAGGCTCCAGCTCGTGGCTCCCAGCCAGGTCCTGAGACTTCAGTTGTGAAAGCTGAGCTGGGGCCTCCCTGCCTCCCTCCCAGAGGGCCCATATATCTTGTGGCCTTGGGTGTGGCCAAGGCTGAGTCTGAGTAATTGCTTGCCTGGAGCAGCCAGACCCTCCCCTAAGTCACCGCCCTCACCCTGGGGAGGAGGCCTGCAACCCAGCCCGAGGCCAAATCTGTCCTCCACCCCCGACCCCACCCAGCTCCCCTCCTCAGTTACCTTTTAGAATTTTCTTTATTCTGGTGAAATACACAGAACATAATATTTATCATTTTAACCATTTTTAAGTGTAAGGGTCAGTGACATTAAGCATGTTTACATTGCCGTGCAACCATCGCCACCACCCACTAGCAGAACTCTTCATATCTCCAAGCTGAAACTGCATCCACTAGACCTGAACTCCTCATTCCCCCAGCCCCTGGCAACCCCCATTCTACTTTCTGTCTCTATGGATTTGTCTTCTCTTGGGGACCTCATATCAGTGGAATCAGACAGTGTTTGTCTATCATGTTTTTATTTTATCTTTTCACTCTGTCACCTAGACTGGAGTACAGTGGCGTGATCTCAGCTCACTGCAACCTCTGCCTCCCGGGTTCAAGCAATTCTCCTGCCTCAGTCTCCCAAGTAGCTGGGATCACAGGCATGTGCCACCATGCCTGACTTTTTTTTTTTTTTTTTTTTAGTAGAGACACGGTTTCGCCATGTTCAGGCTGGTCTCGGACTTGGGCCTCCCAAAGTGCTGGGATTACAGGCGTGAGCCTTTATGACTGGTTTATTTCACTTAGCGTAATGTTCTCAAAGTTCATCCAGGTTGAAGCAGGGGTCAGAATTTCCTTCCTTTGTAAGGCTAAATACTATTTCATTGCTTGGCTAGACCACATTCTGCTTATCCATCCATCTGTCAGTGGACATTTGGGTTGCTCCCATCTTTCGGCTGCTGTGAATAATACTGCTATGAACATGGGTGTTCAGGTATCTGTTCAAGCCCTTGCTTTCAATTCTTTTGGGCTTGTACCCAGAAGCAGAATCTCTTGCCCTTTGGATTTTTAAGCCAATTTGCCCTTGGAAGTCCAACAGAGGCTGGGTGCAGTCGCTCATGCCTGTAATCCCAGCACTTTGGGAGCCCAAGGCAGGTGGATCACCTGAGGTCAGGAGTTCGAGACCAGCCTGGCCAACACGGCGAAACCCTGTCTCTACTAAAAATACAAAAGGTAGCCGGACGTGGTAGTGCATACCTATAGTCCCAGCTCCTCGGGAGACTGAAGTAGGAGAATCACTTGAACTTGGGAGGCAGAGGTTGCAGTGATCCAAAGCCACACTACTGCACTCCAGCCTGGGTGACAGAGCGAGACTCCCTCTCAAAAAAAAAAAAAAAGCCCAACAGGATATTCTGACCACCTGGGATCTCTGTTCGCTAGGAGAGACAGAAGAAACTGAAGGAGAACAGTGAAAAAAAACAAAAGCTAAGGGGATCATGAATTCAGTCATTCTGCAGGATCTCAGTTCAACGAGTTTGCTAAAACAGAAATCAGGGAGGGGTGGGTTGTTATTTGAAATGCAGATGCCCAAGGCCCACCCCTTCCTAAATCAGAAAGGGGGGCATTCCACTCACTGGGATGAAGAGGGCAAAGGAGGCCTCGTCAGATTCTCTCTGGCCCTGGGCACACTTGGTGGTGCCTACAATGACCCATAATCCACTGTGCCTGGGGCTCCTGGTCCTACCCTTAGATAGAGCCAAATTAGCCCTGGCTGGCTGGGTTGTCTCTTACAGTCTGTATTAGTTTGCTGAGGCTGCCATAACAAAATACCGCAGCCTGCATGGCTTAAACAATAGATGTAGTTACTTTCTCTCAGGAAGGCTGCAAGTCCAAGATCAAGGTGCTAACAGGGCTGGTTTCCTTTGAGTCCTCTCTCTATCCGTGGTTGATTGAATTTGAGAATGTGAAACCAGCAAATACAGGAGGTCCAATGAAGGGACCTGAGCATCTGAGGATTTTCTGTGGGGGATCCTGGAGCCAATCCCTTCAGAGAAGAAGGCTGCACTCATAATTCCACTCCTCTAAAGTCAGTTGTTTTCACGAATCCTGGTTTTCTTTTAATCCTTTGTGTGTATGTGCTTGCTTCCTGTGATAGCGTATGCATGTCCCACATTGTTACATGGCAGACTTCATGGTTGTCATTTTTAGAGCTTCATTAAAGTTCATCTGGTTAATGTACCATGATTTAATTGTTCCTAATTGCTCATCCACGACTTCTCTAGGTTTTCACTGCTACAAATAAGAGAGTGATAAATTTCTCACTGCTGTAGCATTTCCCTTCTTTTGGGTTACTTCTTAAATTCCCAGGAGAGAGACTATTTTGCAAAGGATGTGAACATTTTTATGGCTATTGATACTTTTTGCCAAATTGCCTTCCAAAAATATTTGCACAGTCATCAGCAATGTTTAAACACACTAGCGTTCACCACGGTCTTGCCAGCATGATGTAGCACTGTTCCATTACTTTTAGAGATTTCCTTTTTTAAAATTTGCATTTCTTTGATAGCTAATAATCTCATCAAGCTTTCCATACATTTGATTATTCATTGTGTCATCTCTTAAGGAGACTGGCTGTTTAAGCCTTTTGCCTGGTTACTATGTGAGGTCAAATCAGGCATTTATAAAGTGTCTAATACATACTCACTACCATGGGGTGCTATAGGGGGACCAAGGAAGTATAAGACCTGGTTCTTATCTTCCAGAAGGCTATGATTGACACTCACATCTTATTTACTTGTTGTTGATTTCTTTGTACCCAACCTGCTGCTTTGCACAACCTGTATGCTTCATAAATCTTTATGTAGTTAAATCCCGGATGACATGTTTGTTGTCTTTGTGGTTCACAGAGATCAGCACTCAATTTAAAGGAATGCGGAATCAGAACCCAAAATAAGGCTGAAACCCAGAGAGATAGCTTAGACCTGGTCAATTAATATGGACACACATGAAGTAGTGCCCCACAAATGGGGAAGCCACGGCTTGACATCAGTTTTTAAAGCAAGGTTGAGGGTTTGAGTTTGGCAGGATGCAGTCTATGAGTCAGTGTGTGACATGCCTGCCACCAAAAGCTATCGTGATCAAAGTTACGTTCATAGAGAATAAGGGAGGCACCAGTATTATTTGGCTCCATGCAGGTTAGACAACTCCTCAGTGTTTCCTTTTTTTTTTTTCAATTTATTATTATTTTTTTACAGTCTCATTCCCATCACCCAGGCTGGAGTGCAGTGGGCACAATCACAGCTCACTGCAGCCTCTTCTTCCTGAACTCAGATGATCCTCCTACCTCAGCCTCCTGAGTAGCTGGCACTACAGGCCTATACCACCACACCTGGCTAATTTTTTGTATTTTTAGTAGAGATGGTTTTGCCATGTTGCCCAGGCTGGTCTTGAGCTCCTGGGTTCAAGTCATCCACCTGCCTCAGTTTCCCAGAGTACTGGGATTACAAGCATGAGTCACAGCGCCTGACCTCAATTATTTTTTTTTGAGACAGGCTCTCGCTCTGTCGCCCAGACGAGTGCAGTGGCGTGATCTCGGCTCACTGCAACCTCTGCCTCCCAGGTTCAAATGATTCTCCCACCTCAGCCTCCCAAGTATCTGGGATTGCAGGCAACTGCCACCATGCCCAGCTACTTTTTTTTTTTTTTTCTATTTTTACAAAATGGAGTTTCACCATGTTGGCCAGGCTGGTCTCAAACTCCTGACCTCAGGTGATCCATCCACCTTGGCCTCCCAAAGTGCTAGGATTACAGGCATGAGCCACCATGCCTGGTCTTAATTTTTTATTTTTTAAAAAATGTTAAACCTACAGAGAAGTTGGAAGCTATAAAGAGTGCTATATACCCTTCATTTTAATATTGTTAACATTTTATGCCATTTGCGTGTACCTGCTCTCTCTTCTCGCCCCACGTTTGTTATTACCATTTTTAATTTTTGTGGAACCATTTGACAGTGAGTTGCAAACTTCACCCCTAAATATGTTAGTGTGTATTTACAAGAACAAGGACATTGTCTTATATCACCACTATACAATTACTGAATTCAAGAAATCTAATGCTGATTATAAATACAGTATATCCATATTTAATTTTCTTCCGTTGCTCCAAGAATGTCCTTTATAACCATTTTTAAAACTCCTGATGCAGGATCCAATCCAGAATATACATGTGGTTTTCATGGCTCCATAGTCTTTTCTAGATGGGTTCCTTGCCTTTCACTGTATTTCATGACATGGACATTTTAAAGAATGCAGGCCAGTTGCTTGCTATCCTGTCCTTTAACTTGGGTTTGTTTAATTGTTTTCCCATGATTGACGTAGGTTAAACCTTCTTGGCAGTAACACTTTCTAAGTCATTTGAGGAGGTGGATTGTGTCAATTTGTTCCTGTACTGGTAATGGTAAATTTGGTTAAGGTAAATTTGGTCAGAATAATCTACTGTAAAGCTATCTTTTATTCCCTCTGATTAAGAAGTGATCTGTGGGGAGACACTCTGAGGCTGTGTAAATACACTGATTGCCAGCAATCCTTCACTCCATGATTTTAGCATCCACTTACAATTCTTGCCCGAGTCAGTTATTACAAAGGTGGTCATCAAATGTGGCTTTTCTAACCCTCTTCATTGCTGTTTTCCTCTCTGACCGCTGCAATGTAAGGTGGCTGCAGACAGTGGTGTGCTGGTCAGCTCTGATTACGTGCGTCTTTTCCTAACTCCGTAGTCAATGATGTCATGTTGGTAGCTTGAAGTCGGTCATAGTGGGATATTTACACCTCAAACATTGGCAAGCACCACAGCTTAGGCTTCTCCCCAACCCCTTGGAGAACCAGTTGTTAAACATTTATCAGCATACCGCTGGATGCATTTAAGCTAAAACACATTCAGGAAAGAATGACTTTGGCAATAAAGGGACTTTATAATTATTTTTAGTCAGAGTCTCACTCCCGTCACCCAGGCTGGAGTGCAGTGCTCACTGCAGCCTCCATTTCCCAGGCTCAGGTGATCCTCCCACCTCAGCCTCCGGAATAGCTAGGACTACAGGCTCACACCACCATGCCTGGTTTGTAAAAACACAAGCTTTTTGTATTTTTAGTAGAGACAGGGTTTTGCCATGTTGGCAAAGGAAACCTTAAGGAAAGGGGATCCATCTTCAAATATTTAGAGGGCTATCTTGTGGGGTACCCTCATTAGTTAGGATGCAACCTCCTAACACACCCCACCCTTCCAACCTCTTGGTGCTTCTATGTTGGATGGCTCCTTCAAGGCATCACAGGACTGCACCTCTCCCACCACTGGCTTCCTATCAAGGAGCCAGCAGGGAACAGAATGGAACACAGAGGGTGCAGGTCACCTTGAGCAGGAAGAGGGATGCTTCTTACTCTCATCTGAGAAGAAGCAGTGTGTTTGCAGAACTATGGTGAGGTGCAGAGGAGGTGGCATTCATGCTAAATGATGCAGAGGAGATGGTGTTCTTGCTAAATGGCTTTCATGTTCTTGGTAAAGTGGATATAGTTACTTCCAAGAATGAGAGAGGCAAAGCAGGCTTCAGCATTAAGAAGCATGAAGATGCTTTGAGATAGCAGCAAAGGGCATTTTTTTTTCCAGCCCTCCAACCCACTCAAGGCAGCCCAACTCCAGGATGTTCAAGCAGCACAAGAAAGGGCCAAGTCAGCGTAACACTTCTGCAGTACCGTGCAGCCCGAGAGTTAAAGTGGGGAAGGAAGTGGACGCAGGTGCTCAGAGTTCACCACTGATGTATACAAAAGTTGATAAACTCTCCCAGAGGCCGGGGCATCGGAAGGCAGCTCTGGATCCAGGCATGGCAGTGATCCGGGCATGGCCAGAGGAGGGCAGGTGGAGAAGGTCAAGGGGCTGGGATCAACCTGCCAGTTGAAGCAATGGGCAGCTTTCCTAACAGTGAGAGAGCTGGCAGGCTTGGTGGTGGTGGTTGGAAAGTGAGAGAACAGCGTTCTGGATCTCTTTGGAAAGTATCAAGCAACTACCTAGTTCTAGGGAGAGCAGTAGTGGGGGCCACCATCGTGAAGAGGGTGAAAAGCTGTGCGTTCCAGCAGCCAGAAAGTCACAATCATAGGGAGGAGGTGGGATAAAGGCACGTGGAACATACTCTGACTTGGGGCTGCAAGACTCAGTCTCGAGGCCTGGCTGTCACTGGCTAATGGTGGAAAAGCTATTTCTTGCTGGCCTCAGCTCTTCATCTCATGTGAATGGGGGCTGGGCGCAGTGGCTCACACCTGTAATCCTGGCACTATGGGAGGCCGAGGTGGGTAGATCACCTGGGGTCAGGAGTTCAAGACCAGCCTGGGCAACATGGCAAAACCCTGTCTCTTCTAAAAATACAAAAAAATTAGCAGAGTGTGAAGGTGCACGCCTGTAATCCCAGCTACTCAGGAGGCTGAGGCAGGAGAATCACTTGAATCCGGGAGGCAGAGGTTGCAGTGAGCCGAGATCACATCACTGCCCTCCAGCCTGGGTGACAGAGTAAGATTCTGCCTCAAAATAATAATAATAATAATAATAATAATAATAATAATAATAATGATGATGTAAATGGGGATTAAATGTTGGTCAAGAGTACAAAATGAGATGATGTCCACAGCAGTGCTTTGTGAAATGTAAAGCTCTATACATCTGTTTGGAGTTCCTCTATAAATATTAATGCCTACAAATCTGAGAATGAGTGTAGGAAGGGGAGGTGCAGGGTGTGCATGGAAAGGATGTTAATAACAACACCGAGAGTTTGAATTTGAATAGGACTTTGCAGTATATGTGGGGTTTTCTTCCCATCTATTTGATTTTCTCAAATGAGATAATATCTGCATAACACAAAGCACAGTGCTGGGCCTGTAGTAAGTGCTCAATTAGAGTTCATTCTTTTCTTGAGTCCTCACACAACCCCATGAGGTAGACGTTATTAATTCCATTTTAAGGTCAAAAGTGAGAGACTCAGAAAGACAAATTCCCATGTCCAAGAGTATGTATCAGCATAGCGGGTAGTGGTCAGGACTCAAACCCAGGCCTCTGGACTCCAAGGTCAACATTCCTTTCTTTCTAATCTAACTAACTGTGTCTAAGGACCCAACCAATTCTCAGAGTCTATTCTAAATCTAAATTGATTCCATTCTATTTAGAATCTATTCTGAATTATAAAATCTGCTTCCTCTATATCATCTACACTTCACACAAAGCTGCCAGCTTTTGAAACATGGTAAATATAAGACGTATTGTGGGTTTTTTTTTTAACTATATGATGTTAAAAGTTATCATCAGAATTTTTCTCTTTTGTAGAAAAGACTCTGAATCCCCATAAAATCATATTGTGATTGATGATTGTCACTAGCAAAATTTCATAGGAGTGTTTTGTAAGATTAAATATTTTTGCAATCCTGAAGATATCCAACCAATCTAATAATGCAAAATACTCTAGGCCCAATTAATCTTTCAAAGTAACTCTTGCTCTCAGTGTTAGTGTTTTTAATTGGGAAAACCCTCCCTGTTTGGGTGAAATGCCTTTTGCATTATGGTCAGTGATGATTTGGATGGATGGATGGATGGATGGATGGATGGATGGATGGATGGACAGATGGTTGGGTGGGTGGATGGGCAGATGGGTGGGTGGGTGGATGGGCAGATGGTTGGGTGGGTGGATAGATGGACAGATGGGTGGACAAATGGATGGATGGACAAATGGATGGGTGGGTGGGTGGGTGGATGGATGAATGGATGGGTGGGTGAGTGGGTACCTAATTCTGACTTCCTATACAGCAGAGTAGATATAGTAGAAAAAGATGTGAACTGGGTTTTGAGAAATATGCATACAAGCCCTGATTTCATCACCAATAATCTAGGTGATCTGAGACATTTCACATCACATTTTCCAGCCTTTGTTTCCTCACATGAAAATGGTAAGTAAATTATTATTAAGGTCACTTTTGGCTCAAAGTGTCCACGATCTTACTGCACTGTGAGTCCACCTTTTAAAGAACAGTGACGTGAGAAATTTGACACTTGGGCTCCAAACCTTATGTTCTGAGAGAGGAAACCCAATAAAGGCCTAGATTCCTGGCAAGTGGGACTCAGATTTCTCACATGCTTACTCGTGAGAATAATTTCCAGCCTCCTTAAAATACTTTATGACCGGCTCAACAAGTGAAGAAAGACGAATTTGAGAAAATCACCAGTGGGGAGAGCTTATGCTGCTCCAACCGAAAGCTATGTGGAGCCCCTGGGGGAATGATGGTGAGCTGTTTGAAAACAAGCACTTATGGAACAAATTGTCCAGAAAGATAGAAGCAGAGAAACATGCTTGCCGCCCTCACTGATTTCAGATTACAGCCTCATGGGACTGTGGCCAGGAGGCAGACTGGAGAAAAATACAGGAGGGGCCTCTAACGCAACCTAGGGAGTCTCTTGCTAGGGCAAGAGGGACAGATTGTGGTGGAGTAGAAAGAGGCAGATAGTCTGGGGCTCCAATTCTGGATTTAACATTCACTAGCAGTGTTATCTTGAGTAAGCCACCTGATCTCTCTAAGCTTCATCTGTAAAACTGGACATATGAATAGCAACCTCAGAGGATCCCATGAAACATAATACATGCAGTCCCCAGCCCATTGCCTGGCACTGAGTAGACTCCCACGAATATTAGCTTCCTTTCTTCTTCCATCCAGTTAGGTGGATGGGCCATTGGGTTAGTCATCTCATCTGTATCTCTGTCTAGCTGCGTGACCCAGGACAAGAGGCTTCTTGTTTCCTTACCTATAAAATATGGAGGGGCATCACAGTGGTTGCCAGGGTCTCTTACAGGCCTGACATTGCTACTCTCTGGTCTAATTCCTGCTGAGACTGGCAGTACACATCTGTGGCCTGGAAGAGCAAGGACAAGAGTCCATGGTGGGGGACATGCAAAAGTCAGAGCTCACTCATTGACCTGGAGGTTGAAACAATGATGCTGGACTGACAGCCAGGTTGTCCACACCACGTGAACACAGCCCCCAGCTCTGACCCAGCCACTTGCACTGGTCATCTCTTTAGAGCCTGCAAGTTAATGTCCCAATATCCCTGACCACGGGGCCCAGCCATTCATGAGCAGGGAGAAGGGGCATGGTGTTTGGGGTGGTGGAGTGCAAAAAGTCCCTGTCATATACATTTAATGTTCAAGTTGATGCAAGTATCTTGCCTGCAGATCCAAAACCCTAAGTTTCTCCACAACATCTGTCTCTGAAGACTACTATAAAACTTTAAAAATTCATACATGTGTCAGATATTCTGTGTATGGTATAAAGTGGCCAACATAGTGCCTGACAATCAGTAGGTGCTGAATGAATGAAAGCCCCCTCCACCGTTAATCAGGCAGGACCCACTTATTCCATAAACAGAGAATATCTCTGCAAGAAGTATTGAAATGATCTCATGTTTTTTCTTCATAAAGTTTAGACCACTTATTCGTGTTTAAGAAATATATATATATAAATGGTCAGTTTGCTGGCTCAGTGATGAAATGAGGTTCCAGAAAGGAGTTACTAGTTTACGATGGGTGGGTGCTACATTTATATAAAAGGGTGTGTACAAAGTGAAATCCAGCAAGCTGGATTTTTTTCCTCTTTAATTTTCACATAGATTAAAAACTGCTGGAGATAAGGTCAACTCTGGGCTGTAGAAGAGCAGCCTCACGCCCATCTCTCTCCGTGTACTGATTCATTGTAGGCAGAGGCTTTCCTGCATTGCCTGTCGATGAGGATTTTCCCTTAAATGCAAAGAAAGGGGTCTGGGAAAGTCAGTGAACATCGACTACAGGGCAAGTCATTTATCTCTAAACAGGCATGTGAGGTTTGAGAACACAGTCTAAATTTGTCAGATAGGGTTTTATTTCTTCACAGACATATTTGATTAGTGAGTCTTTGAGGGCCCCTTTCTAGAAATAACTGCAAGAAAACACCAACAAACCCCATGAAAGTATGGAGAAGATTCCCCACAAGATTTTTTTTTATTATAGTTACAATCCCACACCAATAAATTCACCTTCAAACATTTTTAAGTACACAGTTCAGAAGTGATAAGTATATTCACATTGCTGTGCCCCACAGGACATTTTAAGTTTCTAAACTGAATCATCAGACCCTGCACGTGTGTTAGCCAAGGGTGGCATCAGTGATTTGAGGAAGCGCTTGGTTCTAGAAGCACCCCATGGCCTGGGCTCATTGTAGGCTCTTCTGAGTGGGCTGGGACAGTATCGCCTAATGACAAGACCACAGCTTGGAAATGGGCACCCGCCGTTACTGCCCACCCCAACTTCTTTCCAGTTCATCTTTAGGAAGAGCCCTCCCTAACCGCTAGTTATGGACTGAATTGTGTCTCCTCCAAATCCACACGTGGAAGCCCTATCCCCACCCCGTGCCTCAGCATGTGACTGTATTTGGAGATAGGAACTTTAAAGAGGTGACTAAGTGAAAATGAGGCCATTAGGGTGAGCCCTGATCCGATATGACCAGTGTCCTTATAGGAAGAGGAGATAAGGACACACAGGAAAATGCCAGGGATGTGTTTGCACAGAGGAAGCACTGTGGGAGGGCAAGAGAGAAGGCAGCCATCTACGAGCCAAGGAGAGAGGCCTCAGGAGAAGCCAGCCCTGCCAACCCCTGGAGCTCAGACTGCCAGCCTCCAGAACTGTGAGAACATAAAAGTCTGTAGCGGAAGCCACCCAGTCTGTGGTATTTTGTGATGGCGGCCTGGGATTTCTATGGAAATCAGAGCCGGAGCCAGGGCCTTGGAAGTTCTTGGTGAGAAGGGGTCCTGAGCAGCAGGAGTCAGGGACTTAGAGAGAGTGAAATCAGGAAGGAGGAAAAGCAAATGCCAGCATGTGTCCTGGAGTTGGTCCCCACTGTGGCAACTGGGGCCTCATGCCCCCAGGACCCAGGAGCTGTGCAGCAGGGGCCTGAGTTGTCTGGGGAGAGCGCTTACCTGCCCACTCCTGTCCCCGGGGATCGGGACTTCCCAGAGGGTGAAGGTCATGCATAGGTGAGTCCCAGGTTGGTCCCAGGATTCTGAGAAGTCCCACACGTGCTAGGGGCAGGAAGCAGGAGGTTGGAGGTATAGCTGGGGTGAGCCCTGCCGGGTTACACCTCCTGGAACTTGGTTTTTCCTTTGCAACCATTCACTTTATACTACTACAGTATTTCACTACTATCTACTGATCACCTACCAGGTGCAAGGTTCTGTGTTAGCTGCTATGTTACTCAAAAGAGCAAGTCTCGAATGCTACTTATAAATTTGCAAAGACTGAGTTTCATTAAAACTCTTGGTTTTCTGGCAGTGCTGGTAATGATTTCAGACACTCTAGCCTCCAAAATGGGAATCCGGGAATATTCTCAATAGGAGGCTTTTGATTTAGAATTCATCTTGGATCCCATTTGCACAGTAAACAGCAGTAAGGTGTCACAGACTCTGCCTAGACCACCAATAGGGAATGCTAGGGCCAGGGCACAAAGTAGCCAGCCCCGCCTCTGGGCACAGTAATAAATACATTGGTGGGTTTTTTCTTCCTTTTAAGTTCTGACAGGCCATCCTAATATGGAAATCCGTGACCATCAGCTGGCCACTGCACGGTGTGTGTTCCATGCTTCCGCGGATTCAGTTAGTGCTCACCAGTGTGCCAGAGACAGGGTTTATTTGCAGATGATGGGCATCTGGGTTGCAGCCAATCCACCATTCCAGTGGGTGAAGCATCCCCACCTTTTTTTTTTTTTTTTTTTAATGGAGACACAGTCTTTCTCTCTCACCCAGGCTGGAGTGCAGTGGTGTGATCTCGGCTCACTGCAACCTCTGCCTCCCGGGTTCAAGCGATTCTCCTGCCTCAGCCTCCCGAATAGCTGGAATTACAGGCATGTGCCACCACGCCTGGCTAATTTTTGTATTTTTAGTAGAGATGGGTTTTCGCCATATTGACCAGGCTGGTCTCAAACTCCTGACCTCAAGTGATCTGCCTGCTTCATCCTTTGCTTTGTTTGTTGGACCCTGCCTGTAAGACCTAGAATTGGCCACTCTCCTTGTCCTACTGGTCTCTGAAGTGACCAGGGCCAGCTCAGGGAGGCATTCAGGATACCATACCTATGTAGGCAACCATGTTGCCCTAGAGCCCCCAGCGGATGAGTCTCCAGATGGCACTTGCATTGAACATCATGGGTCACCTGTGCAGAGAAGGAAAGTCTCTCTGGTTCTTTCTCAAAGGGGTCTCCTGCCGCTCCAAGCTACAGCTGAAAGCTCTGGGCTCCTCCTAATTCTGGGCAGGGGCTGGCGGGGCATAGGCATCTGGGAGAAGTCAGCCTGCAGCCTGTAAATATTTATCTTATGTTTCCTGCTGAGCTAGGAACCAGGGCATGTGGTTCTTTAAAAAGGAAAAATAAAAAGGGCTTATCGAAAAATTACCAATGTGCTGCCCTCCTCCCTGGGTACTAATGAATGTCCCCAGGACCTCCCCTTCCTCGGTCTTCACTTCTCCTGCCTTGGCCCTTCCCCATGGCTCCACGCAGCCCAGAGCAGGCAGTATTTGTTTGAATGACCCACTTACCCTGCTCTCCCCCTATCTGCTGGGAATGGGTGGGGCCAACAGCCTGGTCCTAGAATCCAGACGTGTCATTGTTGGCCCAGGGATCTGGGAGTGCTCCCGGGTCCTCTGGCCTGGCTGGGCAGTGCTGAGATCCTGAGCCCTCTCCCGCTCCCTGGGTCTCAGCCTTCCCATTCCTTTGTGCCTCTGGCCCCAGGATTGACTTTTCTGCTTTGGTGCTGTCACCCTGCTTGCTCTTAGCAGCTCTTCTCTGGGAGCCTAGACCCTAGAGACCTGCTCCCAGACTCCAGACTAGAGGCTGGATGTTCTCACTCCACAGATGGTCTTTATGGGTGACACCTACCTGGCTCAAGACTCTTGTGCTCCAACCACCCATTGAGACCCCATTCTCTTGTCTTGCTAACCCCCCTGTTGGCCATTTCTCCATCTCCACTAAGCAGCCTGGGTTGCGATGCTGTGACCTCTTCTTTAATGACACTGGTCTCCTGCCCAGGCCTGTTCCTTGAGTCAAGAGAAACTGCCAAGCTTTGGATACCTGTTTTAGTTTCCCGAGGCTGCCTAACAAATTACCACCAATGAGACAGCTTAAAACAATAGAATTGTACTGTCTCCCGGGTCAGAATGCTAGAAATCAGAACTTGGATATCAGCAGCCTTGGTTGCTTCTGGAGGTTCAGGGAGAATCGATTTCCTGCATCCTAGCTAGCTTCTGGAGGCTGCTGACAATCTGTCAGTACAGACTCCAGTTGTCAACATTCCCTTAAGAGGTGGTACTTGATCAAAATGAAGTTTTCCAAGGTGTGAACAGACTGGACAAAGTATGATGGAAGGGTCACCTCCTTCATGCTGGCCGTGAGACTTCTAGTAAGATGGCCCAAACTGGGCCCTGGGCAGCTTCATCAGGACTTTGCAGACTTTAGCCATTGGCTTGGGCCTATGCAGTCTTTGGTAAACTGAATATCTCTCCCATTTTGGAGATGAAAAGACTGAGGCCAGAGGAGTATAAGTGACCTTCCTAATGCCATGCCTCCTGCCCCCTGCTCCAGGGGTTCATGCCACTGCTCCACTCTGGAAGATTAACTGAAGAGTGGTTAATGCAAGGAAGAGCTCTGGGGGAGATGAATCCATGACCCAGTCACAGCCCAGGTAACCACAGGAATTGCCCACTGGAGAAATCATCATCAGCCAGGATCTGATTCTAGAACCAGTGTGTCTGTCCAATCATGGACCCCGATTGGGTGACAAGTATTGAGACAGGGCTGCTGGAGAATGGAAAGCCTGATAATTTCCTGTAATCTCTTCTCATGATGCCCCTGGAGCTCCAAGAGACACCACAGCTTATCAGAAGTTGTGAGAACACTCTGAGTTTTATAAGTTCTGGTTTTCAAACTGGGAGCTTAAGTGAAACAGTGCGACCTCCCAGGTCGAAATCCCAGGGCTGATTCAAGGCCGCATTTGCCTGGGAACAAGACCCTGAAGTGGGCAATTTTCTTCCTTGCCTCTGTCTTCCTAGCTCTCCTAGCCCTTCCTTTCTTCTGCAGGCATCCCTATCCCCAGCTGGTCCTCTGCACCCTGGGAGGTCCCCAGGCCTGCCCATCAGCTGCCTTCTCAGCACCTACCAGCTCTAAGCCCTGCTTCCTGTGCAGGAAACTGGACCGAAATTTGGTTCCATATGGGGACAGCTGACAATCAGCTGCCCTTTCCCAGAGAGTTCATTTTATTGCTGTTTATTACACAACCAATATTCACATAAATCCAAATGAAATGAGAAAATTCTTCCACCATCCCACAACAGAGCATACTAGCTTCCTTTTTCATTTTCTTTTGCTAGCTCCATCCGTATGCATACCCAATTCTTACAATTCAATTTCTGGGTTTTTTCCCCTACTTACTATTTCATAAGCATTTTCCCAACTTCTCCCTGTCTTTTATAATTATGATTTTGATGACTGCCTAAGAGTCCCTCAAGGGGACACATTTAATTTACCCATTCTCTTGCTCCTCAGTCTTTTTTCAATCATGATAAATAAACAGAGAAAGGTTTCCCCTGTTTTGAAAATTTTCCTAATAATAAATTTCCAGAACCTGAATTAGGTCAAAAAACATGGACATTTTATGACTTAAATATTTCAGCCAAATTACTTTCCAAAAAAGTTATATAAGTTTATATTTATGTTATAGATTTTAAAATGGGCCCCACAGTGCACTCACCACATGAATCTCATGAATCTGCCCTGTTGTCTCTTTTTTTTTTTTTTTTAAGATGGAGTCTCACTCTGTCACCCAGGCTGCTGTGCAGTGGCATGATCTTGGCTCACTGCAACCTCTACCTCCCAAGTTCAAGCAATTCTCCTGCCTCAGCCTCCTGAGTAGCTGGGACCACAGGTGTGCGCCACCACAGCTGGCTAACTTTTGTATTTTTTGTAGAGGCGGGGCTTCACAATGTTAGTCAGGCTGGTCTCGAACTCCTGACCTTAGGTGGTTCACCCGCCTCAGCCTCCTAAAGTGCTAGGATTACAGGCGTGAGCCACTGTGCCCAGCTGAATCTGCCCTGTTCTAACCACTTGTCACTGTCTAATATTTTGAAAGAGTAGATTACATCTGCTAGTCCTAAAAATCAACGCCTGCAGCCCAAGAGGGCAGCAGGAACCCATCCTGCTAACCAGGGATGTTAAAGGACCCTGCTATGGGCTGAACTGTATCCCACTAAAATTCACATGTTGAATCCCTAACCCCCAATGTGACTGTATTTGGAGGCAGGGCCTTTAAGGAGGTTTCTAAGGTTAAAGTAGGTCATAAGGGAGGGCCCTGATCCCATAGGACTGCTGTCCTTATAAGAATCAGAAGGGACGGCCAAGCGCCGTGGCTGACGCCTGTAATCCCAGCATTTTGGGAGGCCGAGATGGGCGGATCATCTGAGGTCAGGAGTTCGAGCCCACCCTGGCCAATATGATGAAACCCTGTCTCTACTAAAAATACAAAAAAATTAGCCGGCTATGGTGGCAGGTGCCTGTAATCCCAGCTACTGGGGAGGCTGAGGCAGGAGAATCACTTGAACCCAGGAGGCGGAGGTTGCAGTGAGCCGAGATTGCGCCATTGCCCTCCAGCCTGGGCAACAAGAGCGAAACTCCATGTCTTAAAAAAAGAAAATGAAAGAATCAGAAGGGACACCAAGAGGAAAGGTTATGGGAGGATACAGCAAGAAGGTGTCCTGCGAGCCAGGAGGAGAGGCCTCAGGAGACACCAGCCTGGTGGCACCTTGATCTCAGACTTCTAGCCTCTGTAACTGCAAAACCATAAACGTTTGTTGTTTAAGCCACCCGGTCTGTGGTATCCTATTACAGCAGCCGGAGAGGACTAATACAGGGTCCCCCTGGAATTGCTTATTTGCTTATTCAGAGTTGCTATCTGAGTCACAGAAGATCGACAGTAGTTAGTTTTTTATCAGGACCAGCTTCGTAATTTGCAGGGCTCCATGCACAGCAAAAATGCAAGGTTCTCAGGCTGGGCATGGTGGCTCATACCTGTAATCTCAGGACTTTGGGAGGACAAGGTGGGCAGATTGCTTGAGTCTAGGAGTTCAAGACAAGCCTGAGCAATATGGTGAAACCCCATCTCTACACAAAATGCAAAATTTAGCTGGGTGTGGTGGTGCACGCCTGTAGTCCCAGCTACTAAGCAGTCTGAGGTAGGAGGATCTCTTGAGCCCAGAAAAGTTGAGGTTGCAGTGAGCCGAGATGACGCCACTGCACTCCAGCCTGGGTGACAGAGTGAGAGTCCATCGTAAAATAAAATAAAAATAAAAGAATTAAAAATGCACGGTTCTTTGGCCGGGTGCGGTGGCTCACACCTGTAATCCCAGCACTTTGGGAGGCCGAGGCGAGTGGATCACTTAAGGTTAGAAGTTCAAGACCAGCCTAGCCAACATGGTGGAACGCGTCTCTACTGAAAATACAAAAATTAGCCAGGCGTGGTGGCGTGTGCATGTAGTCCCAGCTACTCTGGAGGCAGTAGAATTGCTTGAACCTGGGAGGCAGAGGTTGCAGTGAGCTGAGATCGCACCCCTGCACTGCCTGGGTGACAGAGCGAGACTCTGTGTAAAATAAATAAATAAATAAAAATGCAAGGTTCTTTGTCCAAAAAGCAGGAAAAAAGCTGTTTCCTTGCTGCCATGGTCTCTTTCAACCAGTCACTGTTGTTCTTTCTCAGGTACAGGGACACTCATGAGTCAGAGTCAAGATACTTATAGGTGCCTAGAGCCCTATCCTATGACTCATCACACATACCAGGCCTGACCCTGACCATTGCCACTGGGGATAGAGAGGAGGGGTGAGGCACTGGGTGGCTGGACCCCATTCTGGGGTGGCGAGGGGGTGGTGGGAGGTGGGACTGCACCTAAGCCAGGGGTCCACATCCCCAGCACAGGCTTCATTGTGCCTTAGGACTTCCCTGAGAAAACACAAATTCAGAGATAAATTCATCACCAGTTTCAGAAGAGCGACAGCAGAGAATTAAACCCCCAGCATGGGGCCCCGTGTGACTGCACTGGTCACACACCCTGAGTGCAGGCCCTGGTTTTCTCCTGCATCCCAGGGTCAGGGAAACCCTAATTGTTTCCTGTGCACAGCACTTGAAGTGCTAGAGCTCTACTGATAACTTCTTTCTTGCAGATTCTGAATGAATATTATGTTCTGCTTTTAAATGAATTTTCCATTAAAGTCACATGAATCCAGACCTCAGTAAATGCAACCCAGTTTTGCCTGCCACCTGAAGGAAGGCCCCTCCCTTTTTCTCGGCACTTGTATTGATATGCTTGCTGTGCAGTGGCGTTCCGTCCCATCCCTTCTGACACTCTGCCCTAGATGTGATGCTCTGTGAAGTCTGATACTCACCTTCCTTCCTTCTTTCCGTGTCATTAGCCTAAAGAGAAGGCAGGACTTGAACACAGGGCAAGAGAAGAGACATGGGCTTGGAGCTGCTTCCTACTAGCAGGGTGGCCTTGAGCTATGTATTAGTCCATTTTCACGCTGCACGTAAAGACATACCCAAGACTGGGCAATTTACAAAAGAAAGAAGTTTAGGCTGGGCGCGGTGGCTCACGCCTGTAATCCCAGCACTTTGGGTGGCCGAGGGGGGCGGATCACCTGAGGTCCGGAGTTCGAGACCAGCCTGACCAACATGGAGAAACCCTGTCTCTACTAAAAATACAAAATTAGCCGGGCATGGTGGCGCATGCCTGTAATCCCAGCTACTCCGGAGGCTGAGGCAGGATAATGGCTTGAACCCAGGAGGCGGAGGTTGCTGTGAGCCGAGATCGCGCCATTGCACTCCAGCCTGGGCAACAAGAATGAAACTCCGTCTCAAAAAAAAAAAAAGAAGTTTAATAGACTCACAGTTCCACATGGCTGGGGAGGCTTCACAATCATGGCAGAAGGTGAAAGGCACGTCTCACATGGCAGCAGACAAGAGAAGTTGTGCAGGGAAACTCCCCTTTATAAAACCATCAGATCTCGTGAGACTTATTCACTGTCATGAGAAAAGCACGAGAAAGACCGTTCCCCATGATTCAATTACCTTGCACCGTGTGCCTCCCACAACACATGGAAATTGTGGGAGATACAATTCAAGATGAGATTTGGGTGGGGACACAGGAAAACCATATCAAGCTAGTTACTGAATTGCTGTGGTTTGGGTTATTTCACCTGTGAAGCGGTGATACTATCTGCCTGCAGGACTGGGGGGGACCATACCATGGGATTGTAGGGCATTTGGCAATTTGCACTCTGCCATTGCTTCCTAGAAAGAAAGAGGGGAGATTCTCCATGCTGTTTTGTGTGAGGGAGGAGAGTGGTAGGCAGCAGGGCTTTTGGAGATTGAGCATTCTGAGCCTGCCTGAGCTCTGCCACCTTCTTGAGTTTCTCCATCTGAAAATGGGCATAACAATTCTACATTGTAAGTGTGCTGGGAAGAGTAAAGGAAGCAACTTCTAATAAGAGACTATAGCCAAGTTTGGCATACAGTAGGTGATTAATAAATGTCATCTCCTTTCCTGCTCCGCCTGCTTGGAGTTTGCCTTGTGACTGACCATCCCAGCAGTAGGTTTGGAGGACAGGGTAAGGGACAGATGGCACAAATTCACCCCAATTTCATTCTTCAGGCAATCTCCTGACTTCCTGAGCCTCTCTTTTCTCATCCTTAAATGAGATTCAGCATACTTGCTCCCCTACCTCCCAGGTTAGTCAGCTTGAAAATTAAGTGAGGCAATGGATGCAGAATTCTTTGCAAAGATAAAGGGTTATGATTCACACCAGTGCCCAAGGTTTAGGTCACTAAATCTCAAATAGGACCCTTAGCTTCCTTCTTCCCTCCCATACACATGTACCTACCCAGCTGGCACTGTAGGGACACCTGATGTATTGGGGGAAGGCAGCCTATCTGGTTGGATCACATATGGACCATCCTGACCTTATGCCATTTTTTTCATGGACATAAAGGACAATTAGAGAAGAGGGAGCAGGCTTGGGGTGGGCTGTGGGTGGGGAGGCAGTGCTGTGCAGATGAGAAGGTCGCAGTGGATGTGCAGGGGCAAGCCACCTAGCTCAGGCCGGGGCCTGCAGCAGACATGAATACATTAATCATAGATTATTACACTACTATGCTAATAACATTCATTAGTATTCAGTAATCAATATTGAGTCAGAGTCTTAATTTGAATCTCTACATGGTTTCTGCCACACAGCCTGACCCCAGCCTAGGTTTATCATGAGGAACTCACTCCCTTCAAAGCTTATTTTATAGGAGTGTCTCTGACCATTAAAAAGTGTGTTCTTGGCCAGGCCTGGTGGCTCACGCCTGTAATCCCAGCACTTTGGGAGGCCTAGGTGGGTCAGGAGTTTGAGAACAGCCTGGCCAACGTGGCGAAACCCCATCCCTACTAAAAATACAAAAACTAGCCGGGTGTGGTGGTGGGTGCCTGTAGTCCTAACTACTCAGGAGGCTGAGGTAGGAGAATTGCTTGAACCCAGGAGGTGGAGGTTGCAGTGAGCCGAGATCATGCCACTCCACTCCAGCCTGAGCAACAAAGCAAAACTCTGTCTCAATAAAGAAAGAAAGAAAAAAAAAGAAAAGAAAAAGAGAAAGAAAGACAGACAAGTGTGTTCTCCGTGTCCACCCTTTCAGCAGTTTGGCAAAGTGGGGCAAGAGCTGGGGACTCTGGAACCAAACTGCAGAGCCCATGATCAGTCACCACGGTATACTGTCCATGAGACCTTGTGAGTTACTGAACCTCTGTGTGCCTCAGTTTCCTCATTTGAACTATGAGGATCCTAACAATACTTATAGGGTTATAATAGGATTAAGTGTATTAATATGGGAAGCACTTAGAACAGTGCTTGGCACATACTCAGGGAAAGCCACTTGGTATTACACTGTTCTATGATCTGCTTTCCCATTTGTGAAAGTATAAAAGTTGAAGAATAATTAAAACACATTTAAAGTAGGCCAGGCAGAGAGATAAATGAGCTGTTTGCATAAACATGAATTAAGAGAGTCACACTCAACTAAGAATTATTCCCTGTTGAGGACAGCAAACATCTGGAAGGAATTAAATGAGGAAAGAGGCTGGGTGGTGGTGGTGTGTAAGCAGAGAACACGCTCTGACTGTTGGAAGGACATAATTCTCTTCTGGGATGTGCAAATGATCCCAAAAAAGGAGGCTGCCCTACGCAAGTTGATGCCCAAAGAATATTTATCCCCAAATAATTTTTGTTCTGATTAGCCCCGGTACCTGAAGTATCTTATTCCTATGAGCTGATGCATCACCTTGAAAAGGCCGCTTCTAAAATGCAAATAGACTCACATAAAAATAATGTTACCATTTTATATCTGTGAAATTCACAACATGAAAATTGTAATACTCAGTGCAGTGAGATTGCACTGAACTCGGCACATTTTAAAATCTGTAATGTAAATGTAAATTAGTATAACTTTTTTTGAGAAGTAGTTCGGCTGGAATTTTTAAGAGTCATAAAAATGTCCATGCCTTTTGACCTACTAATCCAGCTTCTGGAAATTTATTATTAGGAAAAATTTCAAAGGGAAGGGGAGGAACCTTTCTGCGTTTATTTACCATGATTGAAAAAAAGGATTCAACAGTAAGAGAATGGGTAAATTAAATGTGTCCTCTTGAGGGACTTATAGGCAGTCATCAAAATCATAATTATAAAACAGAGGATAAAAAATGCTTATAAAATGATTACAATATAATAATAATATTAGGTGGGAAAAAACCCAGAAATCAAATTATAAAGATTGAATATGCATATGAACAGAGTTAGAAAAACAAAATGAAACCAGTGTGCTCTGTTGTGGGACACTGGAAGAATTTTCCCTTGTTTAGGTTTATGTGACTATTTGTTGTGCAATGAACAGCAATAAAAGACCCAAATGAACTCTCTGGGAAGGGGTGGATGATTGTCAGCCGTCCCCATATGGACCAAGTTTCAGTCCAGTTTCCTGCTCAGGGAGCAGGGCCCAGAGCTGGTAAGTGAGGAGGCAGCCGATGAGCAGGCCTTGGGACCTCCCAGGGTGCAGAGGACTAGCTGGGCTTAGGGACCCCCACAGAGGGAAGGAGGGGCTAGGAGAGCTGGGGAAGACAGAGGTAAGGAAGAAAATTGTCCACTTCAGGGTCTTGGCCCTCGGCAGATGTGTCCTTGAATCGGCCCTGGGGCTTCAGTCTGGGAGGTTGCCCTGTTACTCTTAGTCACTCAAGGTCCCAGTTTGAAAACCAGAACTCAAGATCCCAGTTTGAGAACCAAAACTGGAACTGTTCTCACAACTTCTGATAAGCTGTGGTGCCTCTTGGAGCTCCAGGGACATCATGAGAAGAGACTGACATGAAATTATCAGGCTTTTTATTCTCCAACAGCCCTGTCTCAATACGTGGCCAGCTCCAGCCTACATCCCAAGAGATCTAAATGCATATCTGGCACAAACCTCTCAGAACCTCTCAGATTCTTACCTCTCAGGTTTTCTTACCTGAAAGAAACCTCTCAGGATTCTCACCATCTCACACTTGAGATCAAACTGCACTAAATAAATCCCATAGGAAATAGTTAAGG
The DNA here is from genome assembly GCF_000001405.40 of Homo sapiens. NCBI lineage: Eukaryota > Metazoa > Chordata > Mammalia > Primates > Hominidae > Homo > Homo sapiens. Next base: position 27,926,662 of record NC_000008.11, on the reverse strand, counting down.
TCTAGATTATACGGCAGTGTTTGTGATCCTCTGAGAGCATCTTCTATTAATTTATTTTATTTATTAATTTTTTATTATACTTGAAGTTCTAGGGTACATGTGCACAACGTGCAGGTTTGATACAACATGTGCCATGTTGGTTTGCTGCACACATCAACTCATCATTTACATTAGGTATATCTCCTAATGCTATCCCTCCCCCAGTCCCCCACCCCCTGACAGGCCCCGGTGTGTGATGTTCCCTGCACTGTGTCCAAGTGATCTCCTTGTTCAATTCCCACCTATGAGTGAGAACATGCAGTGTTTGGTTTTCTGTCCTTGTGATAGTTTGCTGAGAATGATGGTTTCCAGCTTTATCCATGTCCCTGCAAAGGACATGAACTCATCCTTTTTTATGGCTGCATAGTATTCCATGGTGTATATGTGCCACATTTTCTTAATCCAGTCTATCATTGATGGACATTTGGCTTGGTTCCAAGTCTTTGCTATTGTGAGTGGTGCTGCAATAAACATACATGTGCATGTTCTTTATAGTAGCATGATTTATAATCTTTGGGTGTATACCCAGTAATGGCACTGCTGGGTCAAATGGTATTTCTAGTTCTAGATCCTTGAGGGATAGCCACACTGTCTTCCACGATGGTTGAACTAATTTACACTCCCACCAACAGTGTAAAAGCATTCTTATTTCTCCACATCCTCTCCAGCATCTGTTGTTTCCTGACTTTTTAATGATTGCCATTCTAACTGGCATGAGATCATATCTCATTGTGGTTCTCATTTGCATTTCTCTGATGGCCAGTGATGATGAGCATTTTTTCACCTGTCTGTTGGCTGCATAGATGTCTTCTTTTGAGAAGTGTCTGTTCATATCCTTTGCCCACTTTTTGATGGGGTGGTTTGTTTTTTTTCTTATAAATTTGTTTGAGTTCTTTGTAGATTCTGGATATTAGCCCTTTGTCAGATGAGTAGATTGCAAAAATGTTCTCCCATTCTGTAGGTTGCGTGCTCACCCTGAGCAGATCCCATTTGTCTATTTTGGCTTTTGTTGCCATTGCTTTTGGTGTTTTAGTCATGAAGTCCTTGCCCATGCCTATGTCCTGAATGGTATTGCCTAGGTTTTCTTCTAGGGTTTTTATGGTTTTAGGTAACATTTAAGTCTTTAATCTGTCTTGAATTAATTTTTGTATAAGGTGTAAGGAAGGGATCCCGTTTCAGCCTTCTACATATGGCTAGCCAGTTTTCCCAGCACCATTTATTAAATAGGAAATCCTTTCCCCATTTCTTGTTTTTGTCAGGTTTGTCAAAGATCAGATGATTGTAGATGTGTGGTGTTATTTCTGAGGCGTCTGCTCTGTTCCATTGGTCTATATCTCTGTTTTGGTACCAGTACCATGCTGTTTTGGTTACTGTAGCCTTGTAGTGTAGTTTGAAGTCAGGTAGCATGATGCCTCCAGCTTTGTTCTTTTTGCTTAGGATTGTCTTGGCAAAACGGGCTCTTTTTTGGTTCCATGTGAACTTTAAAGTAGTTTTTTCCAGTTGTGTGAAGAAAGTCATTGGTAGCTTGATGGGGATGGCATTGAATCTATAAATTACCTTGGGCAGTATGGCCATTTTCACAATATTGATTCTTCCTATTCACGAGCATGGAATGTTCTTCCATTTGTTTGTGTCCTCTTTTATTTTGTTGAGCAGTGGTTTGCAGTTCTCCTTGAAGAGGTCCTTCACATCCCTTGTAAGTTGGATTCCTAGGTATTTTATTCTCTTTGTAGCAATTGTGAATGGGAGTATACTCATGATTTGGCTTTCTATTTGTCTGTTATTGGTGTATAGGAATGCTTGTGATTTTTGCGCATTGATTTTGTATCCTGAGAGTTTGCTGAAGTTGCTTATCAGCTTAAGGAGATTTTGGGCTGAGATGATGGGGTTTTCTAAATATACAATCATGTCATCTGCAAACAGGGACAATTTGACTTCCTCTTTTCCTAATTGAATACAAGGAGGCAAATTCTAAGTCTGAACAGAATACAGAAAATTCTGACAGTCAGCACTAACTGAAGATGGAGAGACTGGTGTAAGCAGGGGTGCCAGGACCCTTTTGCAATGTGACCTTCTTAGATTAAAGTGCTGGGTGGGGGAGAAGTCGAGGCAAGGCTCCAAGACCCCTTCAGCCCTGTGAGCCTCTGAGCCTAAGCTGGAATGACTTATCTCCTCCAGGGTGGCCACCACAAATGCCGTGTGCTTCCAGAAGCATCACTGAAAGATTGTAACAGCTGATCTTTCCATGGCTAGAGAGCCCTCACAACCTATATCCCTCCTTCTCAATGTGAAGTTCTGGATGAGAACTTATTCCATCTGATTTTTCTCATTGTTTGAACAAGCTGTGTACCAAGTTCCCCAGTTACCTCCAAGATTTTCAAGGTGGAATTTGTTCTGTGCCTCATCTGCCCCCACCTCCTACCTATCCCACCACCAGGCCTTATTTCCCTTTCTGTGGTATGCAGAGCAGAGTGGGGAACAGCCGTGGACAGGACACAACTAACAGACAATGAGCATCCCTAGACATCCCCACTCAGGATTTGTAGCATACCTGAGTCAGAACAGTCCACGACCTCCCAGGAGATACAAGGATGCTAGATTCTAACGATGAAGACACACATCACTGTTCTTAGTATTATGCAATAGCTGCTTATAACCAAGAAAAGGGAACCCTCCAAGAGGAAGGGGTGGGGGATCACTGGGATGGGTTTTTTGCTGAAGAGGAAATAGAGGATCTAGAAGAAGAAGTAGGGCCGGGTGCAGTGGCTCACACCTGTAATCCCAACACTTTGGGAGGCCAAGGCGGGCAGATCATGAGGTCAAGAGATCGAGACCATCCTGGCCAACATGGTGAAACCCCATCTCTATTAAAATACAAAAATTAGCTGGGAGTGGTGGCATGCACCTGTAGTCCCAGCTACTTGGGAGGCCGAGGCAGGAGAATCACTTGAACCTGGGAGGCAGAGGTTGCAGTGAGCCAAGATTGCACCACTGCACTCCAACCTGGCGACAGCAACAGAGTGAGACTCTGTCTCAAAAAACAAAACAAAACAAAAACAGAAAACACAACAAACAAACAACACAAAGAAGTAGAAGATGCAGAGAAGGAGCATATCAATATAAAAGCAGTCTTCATTGGATTGTGTCTGTCCAATCATGGACTCTGATTGGGTGACAAGTATTGAGACAGGGCTGTTGGAGAATGGAAAGCTTGATAATTTCACGTCAGTTTCTTCTCATGTTGCCCCTGGAGCTCCAGGAGACACTGTGGCTTATCAGAAGTCGTGAGAACACTCTGAGAACACCCAGACAGGCTGTTGGCACAGCACGTGAGCAGAAGGGAAAGGGCCCCGAACTCAGGAGGCCAGAAAATAGACACGGTGGCCTTGAGCCTGGCTGAGTCTGCTGCCGGGGTGCTCTTCCTTTAGGCAGTCCTGGAGCTGACTTGAGGGGAAGCCCCCAGGCTCTGGAGCAAGCATTCTTAGTTAAGGTTTACTTGCTGTAAATTTTTACCCTGGGCAATGCTAATAGCTCTGAAAGGGGATAAGAATGGTACTGTCTTAGTCTGTTCAGGCTGCTATAACAAAATACTGTAGACTGGGTAATTTATAAGCAACAAATGTATTGCTCATGGTTCTGGAGGCTGGGAAGTCCAAGATAAAGGTGCCAGCAGATTCATGTCTGGTGAGGGCCTGTTTCTCATGGATGGTGCCTTCTATGTGTCCTCAGGTGGCAAGAAGGGCAAACAGCTCCCTCAAACCTCTTTTAAAAAGTTGCTAATCTAATACGCGAGGGCTCTGCCCTCGTGACTCAATCACCTCCTAAAGACCCCCCTTACTATGACTTTGGTGATTAAGTTTCCACATTCGAATTTTGGGGGGCTTATTCAGATTGCAGCAGGTACCCACCCTCTAAAGTTGAGAGGATAACACCACCCAACATCTTAAGCTGACCTACATGAAACTGCTGATATGCAACTGCTTTTCAACATTCGCAACTGGCAGTTTCCTAGGGGTCCACTGAATTAACCTATGATAGTTACACTAGAACAGCAGCTCACAAACTTGTCTGCACCTTAGAATTACTTCTGGATCTTCTAAAAATTCCAAAGCCCAGGTAACACCGCATACCAATTCAATCACAATTTCTGCAGGTGAGACACCTAGCCAGGTAATCTAATGTGCAGGCAGGTTTGGGGACCACTGGTTTAGCACAATACCTGGGATCTAGTAAAGCGCTCAGCACACCACCTGTGATTTTATTCGTCTATCATTTATTGAGCACCTACTGCATGCCAGGCTCTGACTGGGTTCGCCTCTTGTCACCCGGGGCCTTCCTCCCCAGCGGTGCTCAAGTCTCCCCTCTTCCTCCTCCGCAGTGTCCAGGCCGCGCAGCTCCCCTGACGACCTGAAGGCCCTGACTCGCAATGTGAACCGGCTGAATGAGAGCTTCCGGGACTTGCAGCTGCGGCTGCTGCAGGCTCCGCTGCAAGCGGACCTGACGGAGCAGGTGTGGAAGGTGCAGGACGCGCTGCAGAACCAGTCAGACTCGTTGCTGGCGCTGGCGGGCGCAGTGCAGCGGCTGGAGGGCGCGCTGTGGGGGCTGCAGGCGCAGGCGGTGCAGACCGAGCAGGCGGTGGCCCTGCTGCGGGACCGCACGGGCCAGCAGAGCGACACGGCGCAGCTGGAGCTCTACCAGCTGCAGGTGGAGAGCAACAGTAGCCAGCTGCTGCTGAGGCGCCACGCGGGCCTGCTGGACGGGCTGGCGCGCAGGGTGGGCATCCTGGGCGAGGAGCTGGCCGACGTGGGCGGCGTGCTGCGCGGCCTCAACCACAGCCTGTCCTACGACGTGGCCCTCCACCGCACGCGGCTGCAGGACCTGCGGGTGCTGGTGAGCAACGCCAGCGAGGACACGCGCCGCCTGCGCCTGGCGCACGTAGGCATGGAGCTGCAGCTGAAGCAGGAGCTGGCCATGCTCAACGCGGTCACCGAGGACCTGCGCCTCAAGGACTGGGAGCACTCCATCGCACTGCGGAACATCTCCCTCGCGAAAGGTACCGCCAGGCCCTTGCTGCCTCCACCCACGGCCCCTTCTGATGGGGTCTTCCTCCTGCACGCCCCTCCCCAAGGACCCAGGAGTACCCCAGCCCCACCCCATCCCCAAGTGCACTTGCCATTCCCAGCCCCATACTCTCTAAGTCTTGCCCTACAGGACTCTGGAATTTTCTGCCCAAATGGCATGTACCCACATCCAGGGCTTGCACAGGTCTCTTCCCAGGTAAACCTCCCTCGGGTAGAGAGCAGATTCAGTGGCCACTCTTCTAGATGTGAGAGTTTGCTCCAGTTGTGGCTAATGGGAGCCTGGTGGTCAGCTTGCGTGGGTGTGCTGGAGCCTCCAAGAGCTTGAGGCTGGGGGCAGAACAACTGGCTCAGGCCGGGAGTAGAGAGGGGCTCCTCTAGTGTCATTCCCAGGGTGGAGATCTGGAGTTAGAGAATTCCAAACTTGAACCTGGCCTTCTAGGCTCTTAGGAAGACTTACTCATTTAGGCAAAAGAACGTATTTCATTGAACGATCAGCTGGTTTCATTTGTAACTGTTTTTTGTTTGTTTGTTTGTTTTGTATTTTGTTTTTTTGTTTTCTGTTTTTTTGAGACGGAGTCTCGCTCTGTAGCCCAGGCTGGAGTGTAGTGGCTTGATCTCAGCTCACTGCAAGCTCCACCTCCCGGGTTCACGCCATTCTCCTGCCTCAGCCTCCCAAGTAGCTGGGACTACAGGCGCCCTGTAACTGTTTTTGTTGTTGTCGTTTTGTTTTCTGTTTTCAAGTTGGGGTCTGGCTCTGTTGCCCAGGCTGGGGGGCAGTGATGTGATCATGGCAGCCTTGAACTCCTGGGCTTAAGTGATCCTCCTGCCTTAGCCTTCCAAGTAGTTAGGACTACAGGTGCACACTGCCATGCCCCACTACATTTTTTTGTTTGTTTTTTTGTTTTGTTTTGTTTTGGTTTTTTTTTTTTTGAGATGGAGTCTCGCTCTGTCGCTCAGGCTGGAGTTCAGTGGCATGATCTCCCTCACTGCAACCTCCACCTCCCAGGTTCAAGCGATTCTCCTGCCTCAGACTTCTGAGTAGCTAGGATTACAGGTGTGTGCCACCACTCCTGGCTAATTTTTGTATTTTTAGTAGAAGACAGAGTTTCACCATGTTGGCCAGGCTGGTCTCGAACTCCTGACCTCAGGTGATCCTCCTGCCTCAGCCTCCCAAAGTACTGGGATTACAGGCTTGAGCCACTACACCTGGCCAGTTTTTAAAAATTATTACTGTTTTAGAGATAAGGTCTTGCTATGTTGCCTAGGCTGGTCTTGAACTTCTGGCCTCAAGTGATCCTCCCACCTTGGTTTCCCAAAGTGCTGGGACTATGGAATGCCAGTCCATTTGTAATCTTAACTATAATGGCAAAAATGCAAAAATGTATGGGCCTCCATTGTACTCGTGCTGTGGGCCCACAAATGATAGAACCAAGAGACCCAACTCCCTTTCTTCACTCCTGACAAACTGGTCCCCTTCCCTCCCCCAATTCCTTCCTGCTGCACTCACCATCAGAAACACCTTTCATGAAATGCACTTCTCCCACGTCATCCCCCTGCTCAAAGCCCACTGTGGCTCCCCATGGCCCACTGGATTCGTTAGAAATTCCTTAGTCTGCCATCAGCACAAATAATACCATTGCGAGCATCTAGTATGTGTTACCTACTGTGCCAGTTGTATCTCATGTGGGCATCTTTTGAAAACAATGGCTCTCCAAGGGAGTGATGTTTTCCCTATTTTATTGACAAGCACACTGAGATTTGGGAAGCTTCCATAGCTTGCCCACAGCCGCAGGGCCAGGAGGTGATGGACCAGCATTTACATGCTGGCCTTTCTGATCCCAGAGCTAGTGTGCTTCCCATTGCTTTCCTATCCTGTCCTGCCTGCCTTCTCATCCACTGCCTCTCATGCTAGGGGGCACAGAGAGAACTGCTGCAGAGGCCAGTGAGCAATGTCAAGGAGTAGAGACTGCAATGTCAGGGGAGTGTTAAGGGTTATGGCAGGTCTAGCCCATTTTTGCCAGGCTGGAAGGTGGACCCAGGTTGACAAGGTCTGCCTCTGTTTCAAACGAAACCAGAAACATGTGATGTTCTCGAGATATTTAATTGTTTAACTCAAGGGCCATACATGGTCTTGCTGTGGGTGATGCATCCAGTCTAGTGGGGCACATCTCGTCACTGCCCTGGAAGCACAGCTCACCTTCCCCACTGACAGCTGTGCTCCAGAGGCTCCTGCACCTGCAGGGCCCTCCTCATCCTCCTCCTTCACCTCTTCTCTTCCTTCTCCTCTTTCTCTTCCTCCTCCGTCTCTTCCTCCTCCTCCTTCTCTTCTTTCTCTATTCCCTCCTCCTCCTCTTTCCCCTCTTCCTCTTCCCATCCCCTTCTTCCTCTTCCCATCCCCTTCTTCCTTCTCCTCCTTTTCTTCCTTCTCCTCCTCCTCCTCTTCCTTCTCCTCCTCCACCCTTCTCTCCTCCTCCTCCCTTCTCTCCTCCTCCTCCCTTCTCTCCTCCTCCTCCCTTCTCTCCTCCTCCTCCCTTCTCTCCTCCTCCTCCCTTCTCCCCTCCTCCTCCTCTTCCTCCTCCTCCTTCTCCTCCTCCTCCTTCCCCTCCTTCTCATCTTCCTCCTCCTCCTTCCCTTCCTCCTCCTCTTTCTTCCCCTCCTCCTTCTCCTTCTTCCCCTCCTCCTTCTCCTCTTCTTCTCTCTCCTCTTCCCTTTCTTCCTTATCCTTTTCCTTCCCCTCCTCCTCCTCCTCTTTCTCCTCTTCCTCCTTCTCCTCCACCCTTTCTTCCTTCTCCTCTTCCTTTCCCTGCTCCTCTTTATCCTCCTCATCTTCCTCCTTTTCCTCCTCATCTTCCTTTTCCTCCTCATCTTCCTTTTCCTCCTCATCTTCCTTTTCCTCCTCCTCATCTTCCTCCTCCTGCTCCCCCTCCTCTTCCTCCTCCTTCTCCTCCTCTTCTTCCTTCTCCTCTTTGTCTTCCTTCTTTTTCTCCTCCTTTTCCTCTTCCTCCTCTGCCTTTTCCTCCTTTTCCTCCTTTTCCTCTTTTTCCTCCTCCTCGCCCACCCAAATCCTACTGAACCCCCCCCAACCTTTCTAGCTCCCTGAAGTCTCCCTCTTCTGAGTTTCTGCATTTATCAGAGTGAAAGTATAATGATGGGGCCCTCTGCATCCTTTCCAGTTTACACAGCCCTTTTGTTACCCTGTTTTGTTTTAAAATGGGACCTGAGGAGAATCTATGAGGTGGTTTAAGGCAGATGTTGTAGAGGGCAGGGTAGGATTTTGGCAGGAAAACAACTGAGGCTCAGGGAGGAAGTCCCTGCCTTACTCAAGGCCTCATGGCTGGTAATGATCCAGGTTTAATAAGGTGTAATTTACATGCCATGAAATACCCCCTTTTCAGGTGTACAGTTCAATGATCAGGACCTTTAAGCCCAATGCCTGGTTCTCATTCTGTTACCCACAGTCCACCTGGATCTGTATGTCTCTGTGTCCCCCAGCATTAAGAGTGCAGTGCACATAACTGAGACTCAATATTCGTAAAAGCAACTGTTAAATCTTGACACTGGACGATCAGAGGCTTCCCCTACCCAGTTTGGGTTCCTGGTCCTGGGTCACTTTGGGCCTTCACATCCCAGAAATCAAAGGAGGGAAGGAGGTAGAATTTCTTCTTCCAAACACATGCCCCTGGGATCTTAGCTTTTCCTGTCTTCTCTTTTCCTTGACCTCCCTTGCCCCTAGCAGGGATTAGTGTTCAGGAACTAACTAATAGTATTAAATAACAATTACAGTGAATTATGACCTATAATGAGGCAGGCATTTTGTAGACATGAATTCTCAAATAGACATTCAAGACCACGAATCCTCACATCCTGCAAAAAGGTCTTATTGCCCACTTTATAGATGAGAAGACTGAATAGCCTTCCCACTGTTTCTTAGACAACTGGCAGGCCGTAAAGCCAAGATCTAAATTGGGTCTGCCTGGTCCAGAAACCCTGGTTGTTGGGATGGAAGCATTTTGCTTCCGAGCTGTAAGCAGTGAAGAGAGGAAAGCGTGTTCCCTGTATTTGAGGCACTTTCCAGGCCCTTCCTCTTCCAAGCTAGAGACGTCACCATGCCTCCTGCTAATGTACCCTCTCAGACCTCCCCAGACACTTCACATCCGGGTTCTTTCATTTCTAAGTCCAATCTCCTTGGCTCAAACTGAAACTGCCCTGGGTCACTCATTTGCCATGGTTCTTCTGGTGGGATCCTCCATGTAGTCTTTCTTTGGTCCTCAAACTAAGTTTTACACTCAGTTCTGTTGAACTGAAAGTTTCATCTTAGTCCTGCTTTCTTGTCTTTAAGCTTTGGATTCTTGATGGGTGTATCCATCTGTTCAGGCTGCCATAACAAAATGCCATAGACTGGGACATTTATAAGCAGCAGAGGTTTATTGCTCACAGTTCTAGGACTGGGCAGTCCAAAATCCAGGGGCCAGCAGAGTTGGGCCCTGTTCGGGACCAGCTTTCTGGTTGATAGTTGGTGACTTCTTGCTGTGTCCTCACTTGGTGGGAGGGATGGGGCAGCTCCCTGGAGTCCTCTTTGTAAGGATGCTGATCCCATTCACAAGGGCCTCACCCTCCTGACTCATCACTTCTCAAAGGCCCTGCCTCCGGATACCATTGCCTTGGTGATTAGGTTGCAACATATGAAATCGGGGGGGATGCAAACACTCAGATCACTGCACTGGGGCTCCTGGCTCTTCACAGTTCGACAGTGCTTGGGCCTCCAGCTCTCATTATCACCACTGCATCTAGGGTCTTTCCTGCCTCCCTGTCTCTGTTGCCAGGTGCCTGGTAATTATTATTAAAAAGATTCCTGCTGGTATATCTGAACGTATTTACCATGCAGCCTTAACAGGACCAAACTCTACCCTGGCTTTTGAACAAGGGCTAGGTCACTAGAAAAGCTTCCAGGCATTCCCATACTGCTGTCTGCAGTGGCCTTTCTGCCCTAGCTTTATCTAGTTCCTCTATTAAGGTTTTTAAACACACACACATCCACACCTGCATACATACACAAATATACACACACACACATATACGCATACCTGCACATATACAGACATAAACACACATACCCATGTGTACACGTTTGCACATATACGTATACATATGCACATACAAATGTGCATGTACACACACATGCACATGTATATACATACATATGAACACATATACACATACACATATATGCACATACATATACACATACACTCACCACACTCTCACGCTTTGCTCTTTCCTGGCTGAGAAGTCACAAATACTCAACTATGTGTATTTTTTCAAATATGAGCTTATTTACATTATTCCTGAGCTTGACCCAAATGGTTTTTATTCTCTTACTTTGTTATACAGTTTTTGATGAGCTTTGTCTCCAGTTTTTCTCTTGTGAATATCTGCAGTGGGGGTTCTATTTTCTGTTTTGGATTTTTAGCATTAATCAGGTCTGTTGAAATCTGCCTGTGGGTTTGAAAGAAGCAGAGAACTTAGATCATCACAGAGGAGAAGGAGCCCAGGAGGGGAAAGGTAACCAGAGAGGGGAGGCAGCCCAGGAGGGGAAAGGTAACCAGAGAGGGGAGGCAGCCCAGAAGGGGAAACCTGAACAAAGTCACATTCAGATGGCTCTCTTTGGCAAGGATGCAGGTTTTCTGGAATCACAGCATTTGGATGGAGTGGCAATACATCTGAAATCATCCAGTCCACTCTTTTTGTTTTGTAGTTGAGGATCCTGAGGCCAGAGAGGGGAGATGATTGGCTGAAGTCACAAAACCATCCAGTGACCTGGCTGGGACAAAAAAAATACATCTCTGGATTCATGAAAACAAGTTCGCAAAGCAGATTTGTCTGTGGGCTGATTTCGTGAGAAAAAACACAATCTATTAGAGAGTCCAGTTCAGCAAATATTTATAAAGGGATGACGTCACAGAGTGGGGCTTTGGATTCCAGGCTAATGCTGGGACTCTGGTTTCTGGGTAGTAGGGACCTGCTGAAAGTGGGGAACATCTCTGAGTGGAGTGACAGGTAAAGTGGCCTTTCTGTTCTACTGAGGGCTGAGGAGCATGGCCTGGGCTGAGGTCCCTGGGACGTTGTATGGTGAGCCAAGCTCTCATATCTCCTTCCACACGGACTCTGCTGGGAAGTGGGTGGAGTTGCCCCCAGCCCCGCCCACCACCCTCCATTGGGGGCTCGGAGGACGGTAGCAAGGGCAGTCCCAGCACCTTTCTGGGCCTGAGTCTCCTCGGCTGTGAAATGGGGCTGACAGTGCCTGCCTTGTCCACTTCTCAGGGTCACAGAGAGATGCCTTAAATGATGAAAAAAAGAGACCTCACAATTGTAAAGGTGATAGGGGCTCAGAATCCAGGCCCTGGTGACTTGAGGGTACTGGAAGTGGAGCTGTTTGCTGAGCCACTCTACCCTGTCAGCCGGCCTGTGGTTAGCATGGTTCTGGGGGTGGTTTTGACTGTACTGCTGGCTCCAGGCCAGGCTCATCAGCTGTCCTCATAATTTGCTCTTGGCACATCAGTTCCTGGATTCCAGCCCACACAGGTCCCCTACCCCGTCATGTGTTCTGGGATCAGGGAAGGGAGAAGGCATGGGTTTCCCCTCATTGGCTGATCCCCAGGAAAACCCCGGTGCTTCTCCTGAATGCCTGGTCCCAGACCCTTCGTCCCACTGGGAAGATGCTTCTGGTGGGAGCAACTGCACTGAGGGGAGCATGAGGGGAGTGGGCTAGATGAGTGGACAAAGCCTGAGCAGGGACCCCAGGACCCTGCTCCTCCTTGTCCCAGCCACCTCCATGCCCTGGCCTGCCTTGGTGACAGAAAAGATGAGAAATGAGATGGTGTAGAAAGTTGAGAAGTGAAAAAGCTAACCTGGGTACCTCTTGGAACAACAGATGTCATGGCACTTCTGCTACTACACGTTAGTCATTCTTCAGATCCTGATTGTTTGCTGGGTGTGTGCAAGGCACAGGCCACAGACAGTGCCCTACAGAAGGTTCTGTCCTCCTTGGGAACCACAGTTCGAGGTGGGGGATAGTGCCCAGGGAGTGGGCAGAGGTCACCTGACCAGGCTCCGGGTGCTCCCACAGGGGCATTGTGCACGAGGATCTCCCCACCTCCTTCTAGCTCTGAGATTTGGGGGCTCTGCCCATGGTACACTAAGAGACCAGAAGGGTGGGTGTATTCGTCTGTTCTCACACTGCTAATAAAGACATACCTGAGATTGGGTAATTTATAAAGAAAAAGAGGTTTAATGGACTCACAGTCCACATGGCTGAGGAGGCCTCACAATCATGGCAGGAGGTGAAGGAGGAGCAAAGGCACATCTTACATGGCAGCAGGCAAGAGAGTGTGTGCAGAACTCCCCTTTATAAAACCATCAGACCTCATGAGACTTATTCACTATCACGAGAACAGCAAGGGAAAGACCCACCCCCATGATTCAGTTACCTCCCACTGAGTCCCTCCCACAACACATGGGAATTATGGGAGCTACAGTTCAAGATGAGATTTGGGTGGGGACACAGCCAAACCAAATCAGTGGGCATGAAGGCAGTCTCAGGACTAAGAGGGACTGGACTCTTAGGATTTGGCTAATGTTCAGGGACACTATGAGGAGAGCGTTTGTGCAGAGGTGGAGGAAAGTTGGTGACCATGAGCACCGAGCTGTAAGTTTGCAGCAGAAGGGGTCAGATCGTGAGTGATCTGCAGGGGCCTTGACAGGGGAAGCTGCACCTGTGGTGCAGTGAGGGGCCTTCCCGTGCTCTGAGTCCCTTTGGTTGCTTTGTTGTTTCAGAGAGATGGATCAGACAGCAAGGCACACATGGGCTGGAGAGAGACGGAGACAGGGAGGTTCTTATAAAGGCCAGAGCCAGGCCATAAGGACCTGACGAGGGTGGAGGCAGTGAGGAAGGAGGTGGAGACATGAGAAGGACCTTCCTTTATGAGAAGCCTCGAATCACAGATGCATGTAGCTGGAAAGGGATGCAAAAGGGGGACAGGAAAGAAGAATCAGAGCAGGCTCAAGATTTCCAGCTTGGGTTTCTGAAGAAAGGATAGTGTCAGTAAACACACTAAAAAGTCAAATCCTGAGATTGCTTCACCTACAGGCAGCATCAGTGATTTAAAGATCACTTGGTCCTCGGAGCCCCTGGCAGCTCGGCCCCTCGAGGCTCTGGCCAAATCATCAGCCCTTCTGAGTCAGCCAGGCCTGTACCACCTGAGGATGTGATGAAGGCTTGGGAATTGGTGCCCACCTTTACTGCCCACCCCACCTTCTTCCCAGTTAATCTCCAGTAAAGACCTTCATAACCACATAGTTATGTTTAAAACAAAATCCATCTGTAGCATGTTCTTGAGCCCTGCCTCTCCTTGGATGACCCAGCCAAACTCCACAGGGTGATTTCAGGTGCGCTTGGAATACCCGGAAGTTGTCATCCTATAATGGTTCTGAGGAGGTGTTATGCAAAGTGAGGAGGCGTTATGCAGAGTGAGGTGATCGGGATGGCCCCCCTCACTCAAGGCTTTGAAGCCCTTCTCTAGTCATCATGCCACTGAATCCACTCAGTCCTCACTACAACTGCACATTTAATAGAATCAGAACTTGAACCCAAGACTCAATATCCATACTCAATGCCCACCTTCCAGATGATGTCTACCACCCAGAGGCCCTACATCAGGGTCTTTGGGCAGCATCCTCCCTTGGCGAGAGTGACTCCTGGGAAGACCCCCCTGCAGGTTGCACCTGCATCTGAGGGGCAGGTGAAATTGGAGGGTGCAGTCCCTTGCATCTGTGACCAGCTCAGTTCCTGGAGCACCCGGGGTGGTGGAGGCAGAGAGGAGAGAAAGGGGTGGGCATCCAGCCCAGCAGCAGAGATCTAGGTACCCTCTCCCAGTTCCCTTTGCTGCAGCCTTGGCCTTGGCCTTAAGGGGAGATCGCTGGGAAGGGGTAGTGGAACGCATTTGCTTCCTGACTCCGCCCTTCGTTTCTGTGCCATCTTTGGTCTGTTTCCAACAGGTTCTCTAACTCAATCATGTGGTCTGAAAACTGGGATCACAAAATCTAGTCCTTCTTAAATCATCTGTATTACTTGTGAATTGAAGAATTGTTGACTACTTTTTTCCCTGCGTGCGTGCCATGGAATTATTAAATGTCTGTCAAGTTTGGTTAGGTCTGAGGACAGTGCCAGTGTGAGGGAGTTATCAGTACATCTCAATCTTGGCTGGCTGATTGTTTTGTATGTATTATTAACACCCTCTGATCTTATATACTCATTCATTCATCAAATATTTATTGTGCAAGACGTTACTGCTGGACTGTGGGTCTGTGTGTTTCGATTTCCTGGGGCTGCCATAACAAAGCATCATAAACTTGGTGGTTTAACAGAAGCTTATTTTCTCACAGTTCTGGAGACTCGAAGTCTGAAATCAAGGTATCCACAGGGCCACGTTCCCTCTGAAAGCTCAGTGGGAGGACCCTTCCTTGGCCCTTCCCAGCTGCTGGTGCTTGCTGGCAATTCTTGGTGTTTCTTGGCTTGGGAATGCATCACTCCAATCTCTGTCTCTGTTGCCACATGTGCTCTCATATCTCTGTGTCTCTGTTTTCCCTTCTTATAAGGACACCAGCCATTGCACTGAGGCCTGCCCTACCCCAATATAACCTCATCTTAACTAATTATGTCTGCAAAGACACTATTTCCAAATAAAGTCATATTCTGAGGTTCCTGGTAGACGTGAATTTAAGGGGGTAGGGACACTATAAAGGCCACTTTTCATGGTCCTCCTTTTCTTTTCTTTCTTCTTTCTTTTTTTTTGGAGACAGAGTTCCACTCTTGTCACCCATGTTGGAGTGTAATGGCGCAATCTCGGCTCACGGCAGCCTCTGCCTCCCGGATTCAGGCGATTCTCCTGCTCAGCCTCCAGAGTAGCTGGGATTACAGGCGCCCACCACCATGCCTGGCTAATTTTTGTATTTTTAGTAGAGACGGGATTTCACCATGTTGGCCAGGCCGGCCTCGAACTCCTGACCTCAGGTGATCCACCCTCCTCGGCCTCCCAAAGTGCTGGATTACGGGCATGAGCCACTACACCTGGCCCCATGGTCCTTGTTTTCTCTTGAAAAGCAGCAGGAGGTGAGAGCTTGGAGTCTGAGTCTTCACAGCAGGTATAGGGATATAAAGGGTATGGTCCTGTCTCAGGAAGCTGGCAATTTTCTTAGGAAAGATGGGACACAGTCACTATGACAAGAGGACAAGGCAGGTGAGATTACTTGTCAAATGGCACCAAGCACATGCATTCAAGCAGCTCACACTAACTTTCAGCACACTGGGTCAGAGAGGTTTTTGCAAGGAGTGGGCAGTGAGCCACCTTAGAGCTGGTAGTGACGAGGAGGTTGGCAGGGAGGGCTCATGGGCTCACTAGCTTGGGAACAGCAGGTGCGACAATGGCTGGCAAGAAGATTCTGCAACTGATGAGATGTCTAGCCCTGTGGGTGTTGCAGAGTGGACGTGGGCAGGTCACATGTGGGTTGAAACAACAGCTGCCTCACTCACTCGCCGCCTGTGTGGTCTCAGATGAGTAACTGCAGCACACGCCATTGTCATGGGGACTGTATCCAATCATGTATGACAGAATCCCTGCCACATGGGAGACCCAGCCTGGAGGGCAGCCCCACTCGGGAGAGATTAGAAACCCCTCTTCCATCCAAGTGCAAAAGCCAGACATCTGAGCATGACGCTGGCCTCTTCCTCCCCAACTTTCACCAAAGTCAGTCTCTTCTACTTCCTAAGCAGCTTTTGTATGTGTCCCTGACATCCCTCTGATGGCCGCACTCCTCATCCAGGGGTCTCACCTCCCACCTGGCTGGACTGAAGGCTCTGCCTCGGCCTCCCTCCTGTTCTCACCCAGTTTCCACACTGCAGCCTGAGCCGTCTTCCTCATGTGCAGATCTGGTTGAGCTCTTCTCTCAGGCACCTCTGTGGCCTCTGGTGCCCTCAGGAGGGGCTGAGTCCAACACTCAGGCCGGGTCTCTAAGAGCCCCACTTTCTCATCCCAGTGTGTCCCTCATCTTTTATCCCGCTGTGGCTTACTATCTCTGTCTTCATTTTCAGCCTTTGTAGGGATTGTTCCCTCTGCCTGGAACTGTCCCTTTTCACTCTTAGCCCAGGCTGCCACAACAAAATACCATAGACTGAGCTGCTGAAACAGCAGGCATTTATTTCTCACAGCTCTGGAGGCTGAAAGTCCAGGATCAGGGTGTGGCAGGGCTGAGTTGTGGTGAGGACTCTCCTCCTGGTGTGCAGACTGCTGCCTTCTTGCTGTGTCTGTTTGAGAGAGAGAGAGAACTCCCTGGTGTCTTTACTTATAAAACCACTAACCCCATGTGGGCTGACCCCCGTGACTTCATCAAAACCTCATCACCTCCCAAAGACCCCACCTCTTAAAACTGTCACATTGGGGATTAGGGATTCCACATATGGTTTTGGGAGGGGACATACATATTCAGTGTGTGTGTGTCCCTCTCCCACCCCTCTGTTTACTTAGCTAACTCCTGTTTCTCTTTGAGATTTCACTTTGGATATTACTTCTTCCAGGAAGACTTTCCTGATGCCCCCCGAGACTGGGCTGGGGGTTTCCTGTGAGTTTCCAAAGCTAATGCTGCCCCTTCCTCTCCTCAGAGAGGGCGTTTTGTTTCCTCTACAGATGACCTGGTCCTGTTTCAGAAGGGAGCCCCCTAACCTCAGTGCTGTTTTTGCCTTTCCAGGGCCACCGGGACCCAAAGGTGATCAGGGGGATGAAGGAAAGGAAGGCAGGCCTGGCATCCCTGGATTGCCTGGACTTCGAGGTAATGAGCGTGCCCCTGGGTGGTACCTGGGAGAGATCCCCAATCCATCTCTACCCGCTACTTTCTTGATGGTATAAATGCCAGGGCTCCCCAGGGGAGTGCCCAATCAACTCCGCCTCAAACGCTCTGTTCCAACAAGAGACTAAGAGGTTGCTGGTGTCACGGTGGGATGCAGCGCATACTTTTCCTTAGCAAGTGCCACAGTCTGAAGGAAAAGGTACAGGACAGGCCTGCAGCTCCCTGAAGCCCCTTCCCAGCCCAGGAGCCAGGGTCTGTGTGAGCAGAGCATGCAGAAGGAGTTGGAGATGTTTTGAGATCCAGACCAACCCTTTGAAGATGCTGTCCCATCAGTGTTTCCTGATCACTAGCTACCTGCCACCCTCCCGCCCCACCATGACTCCTGCTGACCCTGCCCAGGTCTACGAATGGGTCATGAATACCTATCCCTTCCTCTTTTGACCCGTCCCCTCCCCATCCTGCTGCACATAGTGACAGCCCTGAAGAGCCAGTGGCTGGTGGGTAGGGTACTTTGGGCCTTCTAGAAAGACAAGGTTCTTCTTAGACTCACTGTCTCCCAAGCTCCCGTTGAGTTCCTTCATTGTACCTTGCCTGCCAGTCTGTCCATTCCTGAGCCTGTGCTGCTTGCAACATTTTGCTGGGAGACTGTTGTCTTCTAAGTGATGGAAGAAAAGGAAATAGAGGGAAAAAGGTGTCTGGTTATTTATTTTAGGAATTATACCTCCAAACCATCTGCTTCCTAAATCTCTAGGATGTTGCAAACACAGTAGAGGAGACAGTGCCTGGAGGAAGGAAAGCTCCCAGCCCAGTCTCTACTCCTGGCCCTCCCCTCTCAGGGAACCTCCCTAAAGTCAGCACTGAGGCTGCTCAGGGGCTCATGGGGCTCTGGAACTGCATTTTCTGCCCTAGCGAATCATAAGATGGGGAGCCTGGGGCACAGCTTGTGCTAGATCAATAATTCTGTGGCAGTGGAGCTGTTGGACTCTGGGAACAGATATGTTGTATTAGGAGGGAAAAGGAGGAAACCCAATCAGCTCTCTCCGAGAAACCTGTCTTCTTCCAGCCATTGGACCTTCGGACTAGAGGAGTAATTCATTACTGGGAGACAGATTTCTCTGAGTCCCAGAAAAAGCCCAAAGCAAACCAACTCATATTCCAAGCAGGAAAGAACAATTAGTCAGTTAATTAAGGGTGCTCTGCTTTGCAGAGATAACTACACGCTTAGGCCAGGCCTCATGGGGCCAGGGCTCTCACTCGGTCAAGGACTTGTTTATGCTGGCTCTGCATGGCGCCGGCACCGTCACCGCAGGAGGTGGCCAAGGGGCCTCATGGCCAAGAGCCCTGGGGCTTGATTGGCAGCAGGCCATCCATTTACTGACCTCGCCTCCAATCCCTTTTGCTATACCTCCCTGTGTGTATGCAAGGGAAGGGATCTTTTTGTGTTTTTTTTCCTTAAATAAAACGAGAAGCTACTTTTTCTTCTTCCCACCCCGCTCCCTAAGTACCAGTAAGCCCTGTTGATCAGCATGAAGCGATGCTGACCGACCATGAACTCTCATTTCAGCAACAGCAGGGCTCAGATCCTGCCTCCAACACTGCTGTGTGACCTTGGGCAGTTACTTAATCTCTCTGAGCTCCGATTGGCTCATTTGTCTAACACAGGCAGAATAATCCCTCCCAATGTCTTGTGATGATTAAATGAGATACTTTATGAAAAGCATCCAGAGCAGGGCCTGGCACGTAGAAAGCACTCAAAAAAGTGTTTGCTGATTCTAGGCTGGACGCGGTGGCTCACGCCTGTAATTCCAACATTTTGGGAAGCCGAGGCAGGCAGATCACTTGAGGACAGGAGTTTGAGACCAGCCTGGCCAACATGGTGAAACCATGTCTCTATTAAAAATACAAATATTAGCTGGGCGTGGCGGCGTGTGCCTGTAATCCCAGTTACTCGGGAGGGTGAGGTGGGAGGATTGCCTGAACCTAGGAGGCGGAGGTTGTAGTGAGCCGAGATCGTGCCACTCCAGCCTGGGTGACAGAGCGAGACTTTGTCTCAAAAAAAAAAAAAAAAAAAAGTGTTTGCTGATTCTAAGTCTCCAGCATGCTGAAGGGCAAAGGGACACCCCCAAAGGAATAGGCACCCCCACCGTCACTCACAACAGCACTGGACCTTTCTAGCAGGAGGATCCCAAGCCTGATGGATACAAGGTGTGCATGGGAGGGTCCATGTGGACCTCTTTGACTCTGCTGTGGTGGCATCTTTAGATTAACAGAAAAAAGCCAGACACAGAGGCTAAGAGAGGATGCATGGGGGAGGCTGAGCCTTGAACCCGACGATGACCTCTGAGGGTCCTTCCTGTTCTGCATCTGAGGCTCTGCCATTTGTCTGTTTTCTCCCCAGGTCTGCCCGGGGAGAGAGGTACCCCAGGATTGCCCGGGCCCAAGGGCGATGATGGGAAGCTGGGGGCCACAGGACCAATGGGCATGCGTGGGTTCAAAGGTAATAACAATCTCAGTTCTCCCTGAGCCTCACCACCAGTCCCAGGCAGCACATGGGCATTGGCATGGGGGACCAGGACTCTTATCTTCACTGTGCCACGGACCAGCGGGGCAACCTTGTACAAGTCTCTTCATCTTGTTAAAGCATTTAGTTTTTCCTCCAAAAACTAGAAACCCTCAGCCAGGTGTGGTGACTCATGTCTGTAGTTCCAGCATTTTGAGAGGACCAGGCAGGTGGATTGCTTGAGCCCAAGAGCCCCATCTCTACAAAATATAAAATAATTAGCCAAGTGTGGTGGCACTTATCTGTAGTCCCAGCTACTTGGGAGGATGAGTGGGAAGGATCTCCTGAGTCCAGGAGTTGGAGGCTATAGTGAGCTATGATTGTGCCACCACCCTGGGTGACAGAGCAAGAGCTCATCTCTAAAACAAAATAAAACACACACACAAAAATCTAGAAATCCTCATGATACTATATCTCACAGGGCTGTCAGGAGGAGTGAGCAAGCACGTATGTGTGCAAATGCTAAAGTCCCTGTAGAAATGCAAGGGAGTGTTATGGTAGGTTGCAGCCCAGAGATGTAACCAGAGAAAGCCAACAAGGGGCCTGCAGGGCAGACACCAGGGCTGCAGGCCCAGGACAGCCCTCCTCCCTAGTCCTGCCAGACTCCTGACCTTCTATATACTCTTTTATTCCCCCAGGATTTACAATTTTAATTCAATTCTCAGATTTACAGTGCCAAAAATGTTCCTTCTGATTTGCTCTTCTTCCTGTAGGCAGTCCCCTTGTTTACGTTAGGGGAACCTACTTTTACAGTCAGTCTGTCTTTTCATGCTCGCTTCAAGATTGTCTAAGCCTCGTAGCATCACTGCGGAAGACAAGGACATCTGATGCTCTTTCCCCAGGCTTTCTACTCCTCACTTGTTAAAATGAAAACTAAGAAAAAAGTACTGCTAATCATTCCCACTCCATGTCTAGGGTGATCTCTTGATCTTAGATCACTGAGAAATTTTATTTTACTTTCTGGTCAGTGATGAAACAGGCTGAGGTTTTCCTTCCTTTTATGATCCCATTTTAAAAAGTTGATTTTAAAACAGATTGTAAAAGCAGCACATGCTTGTTGAAAATAAAATTAGAGACTGGGCAAGGTGGCTCATGCCTGTAATCCTAGCGCTTTGGGAGGCCAAGGCAGGCAGATCACTTGAGGCCAGGAGTTCAAGACCAGCCTGGCCAATATGGCAAAACCCCATCTCTACCAAAAATACAAAACTTAGCCAGGCATGTTGGGGCACACCTGTGATCCCAGCTACTTGGGAAGCTGAGGCAGGAGAATCACTTGAACCCGGGGAGTGGAAGTTGCAGTGAGCTAAGATTGCACCACTGCACTCCCGCCTGGGCCTGGGTGACAGAGTGAGACCCTGTCTCAAAAAAAAAAAAAAAAAGAAAAGAAAAGAAAATTAGACAACACAGAAGTGCATAAAGCAAAAAGTCTCCACCCCTCAGTTCCCCCAGCTCTTATTCTTTAGAATAACTACTGTCAATGCTTTGGAGCACACCCTGCCAGATCTTTTTCTGAGCATATTCCTATATATGTATATGGCTGCCTTTTTTTTTTCCCCCCCCCAAATCTTGGATCATCCTGGGCATTCTCCCCTGGAATTTGCTGGCTTGATTTTTTCACCAGACAGCATGCCCATGGGCTTTTGATTGGCAGATGTCTTTCTGGGGGTCCTTGGAATAGAAGTCCCTTGTCATTTTAATGTCCAGTGAGTGGTGCCAGGATTTTCTACTTCTTTGTAGAGGGAGATGCCAGCTGGCCAAACAGGTCTTCTTTAGCCATATCCTGGGAAGGAAATGCCACAATTCCCTGGTATCTCACACTTATGTTTTATGGTCTCTCCCACAAGAAAACCTGCTCAACATAGAACCCGCCTCTCCCCCTATTTAACTAAAGCCCCCTCTCCTTTGTTTTCCCCTGGGCTCATTAGAACAAACTTGGATGTGGACCTCTAAAACCTTGAGTGTTTAATAGGACTATCTTTGACTTGTCTTCTTCCTGCAAAATTCCATGTGCTCTTTGGTTCTTTACAAACGGGTGGGATTTTCTCACTCATGCCTCCTCCTTCTTGGGGTACCCAGGGCAGATGGCAGAATTGGCTGCCCTCTTCTCCTGCCTGCTGGGCTCTCCAGTTGCTGCTGGCTCCTGCCTGAGGGTTTCTCTGGTCTCGAGTTCATCAATCTCCTGCAGGTAATATTTTATTCACAATTAGGATTTCTTTCCATTTCTAATGCCAGTTTCCTCCTCTGTTTTAGGTGACCGAGGCCCAAAAGGAGAGAAAGGAGAGAAAGGAGACAGAGCTGGGGATGCCAGTAAGGACATTCTGCTGGGGCCGTGGGATATGGTGTTGGCACAGGGCTAGCTGTCCCCCAAGCAGCCCCATAAGTTTGGAGGTTCAGAGGCTGGAGCCATGGCTGGGGCTCAAGTGTCAAAGGAGGCTCCCTACCTTTTTTAGGGCTCTGCTGGTCTAGCAAGAGATGCTGATAGACCCCAGGGGCACTGGCCACATTTCTAGAGGTGTCATAAACCTGGCGGTTGTGTGCATGGATCTGGAGGCTTCCCCCGGTCACTCGCTAGCCCAGCTGGTATAATCTCTGTGCCTCAGTGTTCTCATCTATAAAATAGGGATAACAGGAGTCTTTACCTTATAAGGTCATTGTGAAAATTGAATGAGTTAATCTGTGTAAAGTGCTTATGATCATGCTGGACACCTGGTGAGGACTCAGTACCTGTTTGTGATTATTATTCTGTGTAATACACCCACTCAGACACGCTTCCTAAAATCATCAGAGGTGCTTGCACAAATTCAGCTACTGACCTTGTTAAAGGCCTCCCCTCCCTGGGTGTTACACAGGGAAAGGTGCAGAGACAAAGTGGCATCGCCTTTGTTTTCCCCATTTGCCACTGATGGAGGAGTGACGCTGGAGAGCTTGCGATCCGGCAGACCACCCTGTTAGTAATGGGCATCTTTCTGATGCGGTCCTTGCTAGAATGTTGACAAGGGGATCAGCTTATTTAGTTGTGCCACTCTTCTAAGGTTTACTTTTCCCCTAGAGAGGGCTACATGTAGAATCTTGGAGACTTGCCAGAGAAGAATGAACAGAGTCTCCTAGCCAAGTTTAAAAAGGAGCAAAAGAAAAAACACCAAACCCAGCATGTGGTGTTAGTTGGCTCTGTCCCACGTGAGGGCGCAAGCAGAATATCACTGCCTCTGGCATCTAGGCTCCGGTCTTGGCTCTGGGAGGATGGGGCCTGGGGAAAGAGTCCCTGTGTTAATAGCTTCCCCCCGGACACTCAGGGACAGGGGCCACTGCAGAGTCACAAGCTGGACACAGAAAGGGGTCTCATGACACCCAAATAAATCAAAGACTATCAGCCCCACCAAAATTCAACGCAATACCACAACCTACAGCACCACTAATAATTAGCCATAGGCCTCCATAAATAGGAGAAGGTTTCGAAGAGAAACCTACAAATCCTACAACCAAAAGGACACTTAAAACAAATAGAGCATATGCCATTATTCCCACATGGGCGATAACCATGACTAATGACATGAAAAATTATTGTTGTGCTTCAACTAGAAGAACACTAATGGCCAAGACCTGCAAAACACACCCGCTAATAAAAATTATTAATTACTCATTCATTGATCTTCCCACACCATCTAACATTTCTATATGATGAAACTTTGGCTCACTTCTTGGTGCCTGCCTAATCCTCCAGATCATTACACGATTACTCTTGGCCATGCAGTACACATCAGACACTTCAACTGCCTTCTCTTCAGTTGCTCATATCAGCTGAGATGTAAACTACAGCTGAATGGTCTGCTATTTTCATGCTTCCTTGGTCTCACTAGGTCCTTCAGATGAGATCAAGCACACTCAGGATGGTATGGTGCAGTAGGCCCTTCACATCACACTTTAGTCCCAGCTGTGCAGGACCAGAAGGAGACCTCACTCCCAAAAAGAGGCCTCCCCAAGGCCCCCTGACACTTAAACTTGCCCCTGCTTTCTCTCTGCCCTGCCCTCCCCTCCCTGAGGCATGATTCAGGATCAAATAGGAGCAAGGCAGGTGACAGCACCTTGTCCTTGAAAGTGATGGACTTGCCCGTAGAAAAACAAGGAAATGCCCAGGCTGATCCTGGACCCCCCACACTCACCTCACCTGAAGTGCTAAAGTCCACAAGGCCATCTGCGAGCTTCACAGTACTTCTAGCATTCTCTAGAGTCCCTTTCCAGGGCTGCTTAACTGGGTGTGTCTGACTGAATGAGGCCATCTAGTAGACCTGATCTGATCCCTTTTGTCTAAAGGGCTGGGTCCTGAATGCTGTCTTCGGGGTGCTGTTTTTCCCTGCTCTGTTTGTTGACTGGTTTCTGACAGAATGCTGCCAAGGTAGCTGAGAAGGATCGTGGCATTTAGTTCTGAGAAATAAACAACTCCTGATGGGGGTGGGCAGGAAGGGAGGAACTATGTGGAAAGATGGCTTTGAGATCAGAAACACTGCCCGCATGCCAGAGGGGCTCTTGTTGGGAATTCTCTGGTGGCTCTTCTTTCAGCAGACTTGAGAGAGCAAGTGAGGAGGTCGAGCCAGCAGGGCGTTCCCCATGCTGTGGAGGATGCGTGGTCTCTATTCACCTTGCTCCTGTGGGCCAGGCTGGTGGGCTCTGTACTGGGGTTGGGCCCTGAGGCCAGAGCTACGGTGCAGGGAGGTGAGAGCCAGAGCCACAGGGGTGCGGGGCTCCCTGGGGATGGGTGGGGAGGCGTGGGGGGAGGCCACCCCCTCCACTTGGCCCTGGAGCCTCTTGACTGTACAGCAAGAGGTGACATCAGCTCTGGACAGCCTCCCCTCAGGGACTGAGGCTTTCTTTCCTGCCTCGAAGAGCTACACCCTCATTGCAGCCCAGAACTCAGACAGAACCCAGAGCCTAAGCTTGCACAAAGCGCTGAACTTTTCTTTCCTGCCCTCTGACAAGACCCCCACCCCCAGTAGTCTCCAGAGGCAGTGAAATTGGGAGGTGAAGGGGCTGAGCAGAGACAGCTCCATGAACAGGAAGCTCTACACAACATGAGGAGGACTCTGGGAGACCCAGAGGAATCGTAGAACAAAGAAACTGGGAGGCCAGCCTCCATCTCCCCATTTTCAGAGGCCCATAGGGGAGGACGGACTTCCTCACGTCCTTAGGCCAGGGCTGAGGCTGAACAAAATCCCCAGCCGCTGACTTCCTGACCCTGGGATGGGGGCTTCGGCCCCTGGTCTTGGGTAGTAGGGCCGGGCTCCTTAAAACCCCAAGTAATCCCCTCTTTCACTGGTAGCTCCAGATGCAGATGTAAGGACCTTGGGGCTGGAGGGGAATAGTTGTCACGATTCAGGGCTGAGGTCTGTGCCTGTCCCATTGCGGGGTGTCTTCCCACAGCCTCTGCCCACCAGCTTGCTCTGACCACAACAACATCAAGCTGTATTCAGCCTCCTGCTTATGTTTCCAGGGAATTCCAGTCCCAGAAGCATTAACCATATCCCTGAGACCCGGGCTCTGTGGGGGAGAGCCAAGGCTCAGCTTTCAGAAAAGTGTGGAAATTCTGACAGACATGGTGCCCATGTCTGAGGGTTTCTTAGTCATTCCCTGCGCCCTGGGAAGCCCCACCGTAGGATCTACGGGGTGGGAAAAAAGCGTTTGCAGCACCGGAGAGCTACCCTCCTCCACAAGCCAACATCGTGCGGGAAGAGCCGCTAACCAGGGTGGCCTCTGCTAACCCCGAGGCCTTTCAACCTTCCCAAACACCTCTGAAGCCCGTGCCGTTAGCAGCAAAGACCTGAAGTTCCAGCAGATGGGGATGTAACTGTGCAAAAGGGACTGGTGAGAAAACATGACCGACACCCCTCACTAGGGACGTGGAAGTTGGGGGTTTTCCCTGGAGGAGGGCATGCCACAGAAGGCTTCTCAGGACCCATCTGAGTCCACATTAAAATATTTTTCAGAACAAAAATCTTGCCATTGTTTACCCATGTTTTGATCTGAAGTCATAGGATTTTAGGGTTGGATGGGTTTCAGACCCATTCCTCTCTCTCGCCCAACCCCACCCCACCAGTTTTCAGAACAGAGACCAACAACAGAGAGATGAGAGGAATCCCCAAAATCACCCAGCCTAGGTCACGGCCAAATTGGGTCTAGAATCCAGATGTCCCGATTTCTGCTTGCTGAGAGATAAAGGTTTTTTTCAGTCAAGGGCAATATCAGTCATTCCGTGACATGTTTGGCTTTTGGGAGTTTGGCCAGGAAAAAAAAAAAAAAAAAACCCGCTACGTATACATATCTCAAGAGAGAAATACATTTGTTTTACCCTAGTAGATGGTCCATTTGCAGGAAAAATAAATAGTGTTTTTGCAACTAAGGGGTGGGTGAAGAATTCAGGTTTTTTTTAAGTCCCACAGCATGAATTTAAAGCAGGATATAAGTTCAGATTGTTTAAAAAATCTTTCTCAATTTGGTTTCATATGGAAAAAAAATATGCAGATGACACCAGGGTGAATTCTAAACCAGAGTTTGTTGATGGTTATCATTCATGGCTTAGAGCACTTGAAAAATGTTTAACACTTCGTACATGTTTTCAGTATTTAGGGAAGTAAGTCTGGGGACGAGGGGAGCTGTGGGCACCCCAGCATGCAGTGTAAACTCAGAATAAATAATCAGAGGAGGAAGTTTCTAAACAGTTTTCCCTGCAGCTGCTGAGATGTTTCTGTCTCTGTTTTACAGTCAAGGAGGCAGAATCCTTTGGAGTCCTCGGACTCCCTTCTCCCATCCCTGTGCCTAGACTTTGCTGTACCAGGTGCCCGGGAGAATCTGTTTAGGATAATGGAGCACCAAAAGTTAGCCTTATCTCAGGCATGGAGAGACACAGCGACTGCACCTTTTTTTGTTTGTTTTTTGTTTTTTTGGTTTTTTTTTTTTAGATGGAGTCTTGCTCTGTCACCCAGGCTGGAGTGCAGTGGCACGATCTCGGCTCACTGCAACCTCCGCCTCCTGGGTTCAAGTGACTCTCCTGCCTCAGCCTCCAGAGTAGCTGGGATTACAGGTGCATGCCATCATGCCCAGCTAATTTGTGTATTTTTAGTAGAAATGGGTTTTTACCATGTTGGCCAAGCTGGTCTTGAACTCCTGACCTCAGGTGATCTGCCTGCCTCGGCCTCTCAAAGTACTGGGATTACAGGCATGAGCCACCGTGCCAGCTGACCCAAGTCTTAAAGAGTAAGTTCATGTCCACCAGGTGGATGTGGAAGTTGAATGTGTCCCAGGTAAAGAGAACCATGCTTGAAACAGCATAATGTTGTCTGATCCTCCCAAATAGTACAGCATGGCAAGGGTTTGGGATGTAAGAGACAAAAAATAAGCCTGGAAAGGAAGGTGGGGATAACCAAGGGCATTGCAGTGGTCAGGAGTTTAGGCTTGAGCCTCTGGGCACTAGGAAGCCATCCATAGGATTGTAATGGCGGAGCCTTGGCTGTCCCTGGTGGCCCTTTGCACATGACCAATGCCTCGTGCGTGGTAGACAGACCCTTCCTCTCGGGAAAGGCCACGTTCCAAATCCAAGTTTCTCTTCTGCTCCTGCTCCTTCTCTTGTCTGCACTTCCACTTTGAGAAAATCCTGTTTTTCAGAAACATTTCCTGAGAAGATGCGACCCCAACTCTATGCAGTTCTGTAGGAGCAGAGCTGGTGTGGAGCAATGAAAATGAAGATTCATTTCCCCTGCTCACTCCCACACTGGTGACCCCAACTGTGCAGGTGTTTTGCACATTGACCAATGCCCCAACCCCAGCTGGGTGTCCCACTATTCAATTCCATTCTGACATAATCAACCTGGAGTTAGTGAAGACCCCACAGGGTAAGGGCTCAGTCCCACAGGCTGCCCCTGACTTCAGATGAAATCTCAAATCCAAGCTTCCAGAACATATAAGCAACTGGCTGAAAGTCAGAGATTCCCTTTAGACCCCCTCCGTGGGTTTGATTATTTGCTAGAACCCAACTCACAGAACTCAGGAAAAGTTAGGTTCATCAGTTTATTATAAAGGACACAACTCGGGAACAGAGGGATGGGAGAGATGCAGAGGGCCAGGTATGGGGATGGGGTGCAGAGCTTCCCTGCCCTCTCTGGGCACGCCGCCCGCCAGGTACCTCGATGTGTTCTGTGTTCAGCACTGCACCTCTCTGAACCCTGTCCTTTTGGGTTTTTATGGGGCTTTCATTACATTAGCATGACTGATTAAATCACTGGCCATTGTTACTTGAATTCAATCTTTGCAGCCCCTCTCCACTTCCAAGTGGGGCTGAATGGTCCAACTTCCTAATCACGTGGTTGATTTCCCTGACAATCAGCACCTCATCCTTCGATCCCACCCAAACTCAGGTATGGTTGGAAGGGGCTTACTATGAATTTTAAAAAGATGCTCCAGAGCTATTTCAGGAGTAGGGACAAAAAGCAAAGTTTCTCACAAGAGATGCTCCTGTCACTCTTATCGCTTAAGAAGTTACAAGAGTTCTAGGAGCTCTGGCTGGGAGCTGGAGATGAAGACCAAATACTTCTTATTATATCTGTATCACAGTAACAAATCTTAAATCCAAGTCCTGTTTTCACCTCACTGGCTGTGTGGCCCTGAAGCTAGTCGCTTAGCCTCTCCGGCCACAATTTCCTCTTTTTTCCCCGGTTCTGTGCAGAGGATGGGATCTGGCCTTCCAGACATTCTGGTTTGCCAAGATCCCATCTTAAGCCTTCCAAAAACAAATCCAGTGACTCTTCCTGAAAGCTCCCAGTGACCCCTTCCATGGGAGCTTCTACACTGCTGTGTGCAGAAAACAGTTCAATTCCGATTAATCCATGCTGTGAGTGGTTTGATGGCTTCACATACATTCAAGAGGACCTGGAAAAATTAAAGGCCTGGCCCCTTTAAGAAGTCAAGTGGTAAAATAAGGATGTGCAGAGGCGCCTGCGAGTCAGGGACAGCTGAGCTCGTTGTATTACTTTCATCTCTTTAAAAGATATTTTCAGCATCCCTGGCCAGAGGGAGAGAGACCAGAGCTGGGCCCGTGCCCTGGCAGGGAAAAAATGCTTAGGCAAGGAGAAATGAAGCCCCTCTTGGGAATCCTAAGAGGTCATTAACAGGGCCACTAATATTTGTATTCTGGATATATGCTAACTGAAGGCAGGAACCAGGGCCAAAGCCTGGGAAGAACTGCTAGTTGGAAGAAAATAAACAAGGCACTGTGGAGTTTATGTTCAGAGTTAGCAGCCAGGTGAGTGTGTGGGACTTGGGAGGCGTGGCTGCTGTGACGCCTTATCTAGTGGGGGCATTTCACACGTAAGTTGAGGTGGCCAGTTTGACTGCTGCCTAATCCCTGTTCTTATGTGTGTTGCCTGCTGTGTCTCCACTTCTCTGCGTACACAGGCAGCCGAGCCTGCGGTGCCGCCCTTCCCTCCCCACCAGGGACTGGCATCCCCAATTCTCTGGCAGACATGCAGTGGCTTTGGGGGTTTGCCCTGCAAGAAAACTGTCTTAGTAATACCCACATCAGACGAAGGTGAACACGGAATCATCTATGAAAACCAGTGAAAGAAATGACGCTGGGATCTTTGATGTGGGTTTTGAACAAAGAAAAGTTTTTACGTTGAGATGTACATGAAAACCAAGAGTGGTTTGACTGTTTATTTAGAAAACATTTCAAACAAACTTGGGA
This sequence comes from Homo sapiens, assembly GCF_000001405.40. NCBI lineage: Eukaryota > Metazoa > Chordata > Mammalia > Primates > Hominidae > Homo > Homo sapiens. Next base: position 27,897,357 of record NC_000008.11, on the reverse strand, counting down.
ATCGTCCTTAATCTCCGTGACCCCGAGCTCCCGTTATGCTGGGAGTGGATGCAGCTGTGGGCTCTGCGGATTGAGTCCGGGAGGTCCCCGGGAGCCTTTGATGTCACTGGATCAACTCTCACTGCCACTACATGAACTTCACAGCCCTAAGTACCCTCTGTCCTTTGACATGGAAGCCACCCTTGGAGGGTGTTTGGGGCCAGCTATCTAGTTGGACTTACTTCCCCTGGGGCTGGATTTCAGCCTCTTCTTTTTCTTTTTTTTTTGAGACCGAGTCTCACTCTGTCGCCCAGCCTGGAGTGCAGTGGCACAATCTCTGCTCACTGCAACCTCCTGCTCCTGGGTTCAAGCGATTCTCCTGCTTCAGCCTCCTAAGTAGCTGGGATTACAGGTGCACACCACCACACCCAGCTAATTTTTGTACTTTTAGTAGAGGCAGGGTTTCACCATGTTGGTCAGGCTGGTCTCGAACTCCTGACCTCAAGATCCACCCGCCTCAGCCTCCCAAAGTGTTTGGATTACCGGCGTGAGCCACTGCGCCCAGCCTCAGCCTCTTTTCTTTAGGGAGCCGTTTGTTGAATTCAGATGGAAGAAAGAGACAGACGAAGCCATAGTAAACCTCCCTGGGAGGTCTTGGGGCCATGGTGGCAGGAGGGGGTATATGGCTGTCTTTCTCGCTGACTCAGAGGTTTGAAAAGTCACTTGTCATGGTGCCTGGGTCCCCCACCATGATCCTCAGGGGTTGTATTGAGTTCAACACTATTGAGAGGCAACCACCCCGGTCACTGAGCTCCTGCATGTTTCAGAATAACTCTGGGGTATGTCGTCATCCCATCTAACTGAGGAGGGAACCATGCTGAGAGTTTACACTCCTCACCCAAGGTCCTAGAGTTAGAGAGGGGTAAACCTGGTTCTCAAGACAGTCCTGACCTTTGAGGATTTATGGTGCAGAGGTGGAGAAGCATCACGGAAAGGGGACTCAGACCTAGAACATAGAGGAGGAGGAGAACTGGGATAGGAACTAGGGCAAGGAGGGGATGGCAGAACCCTCCCAGGAAGGTCCACTAGCCCTGGGCACATGAACCTGAGCCTTCAAGAAGGGTGCCTTACGGATGTCAGCACCTCCCCACAGGGTGTACAGCAAGGAGGGCTGCAGGCCTGATGAAACAGGCACATAGCATCACTGTCTTCTCCTGGCTCTCCAGCATTTCTTTCTGGTTTTAAATGCTTGTTGACTCTGACCTCTCACTGCCCTCTGAGAGGTTCAGGAGCTTAAGAAAGAACAGGATTCACTTGTCCACCCAGGCCACCCAGGAAATTCCTACAAATCCAGCTCTAAGCAGAGCTTCTGGGCCTTAACAGCATCCTCCCACTGTGATGGGGTGAGCTCCTGGTTCAGGACTGGGCAAGGAAAGCGCTTCGTTTATTATTTGATCAGACACACTTTTTATTGAACACCGGGTAGCCAGGAATAGCAAGATCAGAGCAAACTTCCAGTTTCCAGAGAATATGAAGCACGGCTGGGGAGACAAAGAGGGGAAGTCACAGTTTTTAAAAGTCCAGTACGATCCTCAGGGCAGTGACAATGCGGGAGATAGTTCTGTTGCTCCTTCTACCCAGCAAAGTCCCAAGTACCCCGTCTGACCCCTAAGTGGAGACACAGCACTTTGGAAACCCAGGTGTGGTCCTGGCGTGGCCGCCTTATCATGTGACCTGGAGAGAGTCACTCACTCCCCTTCTCTGAGTCTCAGCTTTCTCACCTGTAAAATGGGGCTAACACCACCTACCTCAGGGGAGGACAGCAAAGACCCCATGAGAACTGCTAATAAAAGTGCTTTGAAGAGTTGTAAAGGAACGTATTAAGAGCAGATTGGCATTAGGAAATAGCATTTTACAAAGCACACCCACAGGCCAGACAACATTTTGAAAGCGATGCCCTCCAGGACAGCCTGATCAGAAAGTTCTTTTGCTTTTGGGATGGCCCCTGTCCTTCCCATATGGATCACATTTCCTGCCGAGCAGTGTCACCTCAGCCTCAGCAGAGCCCCTGTGCCTCAGGCCGGCTGGGGGCACGGGGAGTTCTTTCTTTACAAGAGAATGAAAGTTCAACTTCCTTAATGGGCAGATGGTCCGAATTATCCCTAGGGCTCTACTCTGCAGCTGCAGAAAATCAGAGCCTATATTCCCAGCCCCATGTGTTTATTTCTATTCTCCACAACCTCCTTTCTTTCCTCTTGTTTTGCTCTTTCAGGGGGACTGGAAGGCAGGGAAAACAAACATAAAGGAGCTGCAATCTTCCAGGCTTAGGGTGGGCTTTCCCTCTGCTTTTCTGTAGAGGCAAAGTTCCCTGGACTTTAGGTCCCTTCTGGTGCACAGCCAAGCAGGTTTTGGGGTATTTAGTGACCAGCTCCGTTCTCAGAGCCCCTCAAATGCTGTGAGTCCCATTCATCCATTCATTGCCCCACTCATTCATTCCACACCATCTGTTGAGCACTGGAACGTGCAGGCTCTCTGTTTGCTGCAGGGATGTGATTTGGAACCACAAGGATGCAGAATGGTGGCCCCCTTCACGCAGCTTCCCATGGGGAGTGCAGAGAGACACGGAAGAGGGAATCATGGTGCAGGATTTCTCATTAGTGGAGAGCACATGCTGGGGCCACAATCAGGGAAGCCTTCCCAGAGGAGGTGACATCTCTCTGCCTTACTCACAAGGCCCCACAACTAGGGAGTTGTGTAGCCGGGGCTTGATCCCAGATCCACATTCTCCCACAGAGCTTCTCAGCCTTGGCTGTGCACCAAAATCACCTACGAATTGTTTAAAACTGGCCCCTCACACTGGTGGGTTTCAGAGCTTCCCAGGTGCTTCCCAGATACAGTCAAGACTGGAGCTACTGCTTTCAGTCTAAGACTCATTCCCTTAAGCCTGAGAAGAGTGGATCCGGCAGACCCCATAGGGCTGTTGTGAGATGGATGAAAAGCACTTTATGTTTGGAGAGGGCTGTTATTAAATATTTGTCTTAAGCATTCAGCCTGAGAGTCGCCTCTGTGGATTGAAAATAACAAGCCTTTGCCCTTCTCTCTGACTCTTCCATGTGGCAGCTGTGTGACCCTGAGCAAATTTTTACTTGACTTTTCTGAGCCTGTTTTCTCTTCTGTTAAATGAGCTGTAATAACTAACTCATGGAGCTCCTCTGAAGAAGAAATGAGCAAATGCACGCACAAAGCACTTTGCACAGTGCCCAGCCTGTGCACGACGGGACCTCAGTAGATAATCATTCTCTCCTCTTTTTATGCCTGACTTGAGCTCTGTCCTGGGTAGTACCCAGAACTTGGCTGTGTTGTCGCTGGGTTTGGGGATGGCCCTGAGCCAGGTGTGGCCAAGCCCTGCTGGCAGTAGATAGCTCTGAGGTTACCCCAGCCTTGGAAGCCAGTTCTGAGAGATGGCAGCCACTGGCCACTACACAGTCCTCCTAAACCCGCTGGGGGCGGAGTAATAAAACCACTTGCTCAGTTGCGCTGAAAGAAGGAAAAGGCTGTTCCTCATCTCACACCCCAGTGATAGCCATGAATCCCCAAGCACACAGTGTAAAATAAGGTAGGGAATAATCAGATGCAAAACCCTGGGATGTCCAGAGATGCCAGGGCGAGTAAGTGAAACCAGATCCTGGCTTTAAAATCCTGTAATGCATTCCCCAGAGATGCTGTCGGGTTCCCTTCCATTCCCAGAGGCAGGATGAGCAGCTGTCTGGTGTGCTACAGAGAGGAGAGGATCTGTGTGTTTGAAGTAGAGGGGAGGGGTTCAAGGCCAATGTCCGAGACCCCTTCCAGCTCCAGGGTTCAGGGGCATCTGGGGTAAGACTCAGCCTGCTTTGCCTGGGACCTTGCTTGTCTGACATATATATTTACAAAACAAAGAGAGCAAAGAAATGTTTGTTTTGAGAGGAGAATCCCCACATAGTAGATTTCTAAGGTCTGCACTAGGAGCTCAAGCGTGGTCGCAGCCCTAGCATTGCATTCCTGGGCCATTCCAGAGCTGCCTTGCTTAACAAATAACATCCAGTTTGCATCAATGTACAGAAAGTTGCTGACAGCAGGAGCCGGTCTTCTGCCTCACGGATGCCCTGGTCCTAATATGCTAAGGAGCCAGGAACCAAGCCCTGGGGAGAACAGAAGTTAGGAGGAGACTCATTCAATTCAGGGGATGAGCCTTTTTGTTCCTGCTTCCTACGAGTGCAAAAAGGCTTTCAAGGATACATCCCTGCTTGGCCACTGGTGTCCAAGCCATCCCAAGCATGGGGACCCTTGGAGCTGACCCACACGCTGCTGGGAGGACTGCCACCTGACCAGGGGTGGGAGCTCACAATGATGAGACCTCACGTTAGGTGCCAAGTCCTTGACATGCCCTGTTGCTCCCAGCCGCCACCATGATGTCCACTTTAAGAAGAGGTGAGAGGCTGGGTGCGGTGGCTCACGCCTGTAATCCCAGCACTTTGGGAGGCCCAGGCAGGCGGATCACGAGGTCAGGAGATCGAGACCATCCTGTCTAACACGGTGAAACCCCATCTCTACTAAAAAATACAAAAAATTAGCCGGTCGTGGTGGCGGGCGCCTGTGGTCCCAGCTACTCGGGAGGCTGAGGCAGAATAGCGTGAACCCCGGAGGCGGGGCTTGAGTGAGCCAAGATCGCACCACTGCACTCCAGCCTGGGCAACAGAGCTTGACTCCGTCTCAAAAAAAAAAAAAAAAAAAAAGGGTGAGGTATGGAGAGGTCACTTCTGGCCTATGGTGGAGTCAGATTCCAATCCTGCTCCTGAGTCCAGCTGCCTCCTTCCACCCTCCTGAGTTATCTCCCCACAGGAATCACCATGACAGTGTGTGATGCCTTGCAAATTCCTAATTTCCCCAGGACCCACAGAGGCAAGTAGCTGATCAGTTCTCAGATGGGTGCATGGGATTCACAGGTGCCCTCTTCAGGCTTTTCCAGTCCCAAGAACCAGAGACTCATCCGGGTCATTTCAAGTAATGAGGATATGCAAGGAGATTTGGGATAACCAGGACCCATAGTTCAGGTGGGCCTTGTGGATCCTGGCATGAGAAGGTCACTCGGAATCCAAGGCCGTTCTGGGGGCCACTGCCCTTTGGCTCAGCTTTTCACTGGGAGGCCTCTTCTCCAACATGGCTTATTGATTCCACCATCCCTGCCTCTCAGTCTCTTTGTGTCTGCTCAGCTCTCTCCGTATTCCCCAGTGTGAACTGCTGGGAGAGGTGGCCCTGCTAATCTTCATCAGAGAGGCTGGGACAGAACTTCTGAGTCAGGCCAATGATTCACGGTCTTTCCCACGTGGAAGGCAATGCCCATGGGCTGTGAGCATGGCACACACCCAACCAGCCTGTTGAGAGCCACGCTCTAACCACATCTGACGTCTAAGACAGACAAAGCTGGACCCTAGTTACAGTGATAAGAACAGATTGTAATCAGCGATAACTATTGCAGCAGGGAGGAGTCCAGCATGAACTGAATGCCACCTCGATGTGTACAGAGGTGACGGGTATTTTAAGGGAAAATGAGGGATTAGGGAGAGGGAAGAGTGGGGACTCAGTAGAGTCAGGGAGGTGAAAAATTACAAAAAGCAGAAAGGAGCTAGTTCATGTAAAACCCATCTGGGTTTGATAACTGGTGCTTATCACAGTGAGGCTTCTGCATCCCACGGGGGACAGGGGCCCTGTCTTCAGGTGTTGGCTGGAACATACAGGAAATTCTTTTGGTAGTCTTGCATTTTCTCAGGCAGGCACTTTAAGGGGGTCCAGATCATCCTAGGAGCGGAATCTTGAGCTATTAGAAACTATATTAGTAGGCTGGGCGCAGTGTCTCACGCCTGTAATCCCAGCACTTTGGGAGGCCGAAGCGGGCAGATCACGAGGTCAAGAGATCGAGACCATCCTGGCCAACATGGTGAGACCCTGTCTCTACTAAAAATACAAAAAGTAGCCGGGCATGGTGGTGCACACCCATAGTCCCAGCTACTCAGGAGGCTGAGGCAGGAGAATCACTTGAACTCTGGAGGTGAAGGTTGCAGTGAGCCGAGATTGTGCCACTGCACTCCAGCCTGGATGACAGAGCGAGACTCCTCCATTTAAAAAAAAAAACAAAAAAAAAACAAACCTATTGTAGTTCTGTTCACATCTATACAGACATGTCTTGTGTCTTTATAGAGGGAAGGTTGAGGTTCAGGAGAGCACCTGGCTACAGAGTCTTTGTCACTGATCCCCTCAACAACCCTGAGAGGCCCATGGGACAGTGAAGAAATGAGGAAGTCTGAAATGCCTCTCAGACTTGCGAGAGCACTTGTAGCTTGCCTGGACTGGCCCTGCCCATCCAGTCTCTGCCCTGGGCTCCCCTCACCCACCACGCTGCTTGCTTCAGACCCACACCTGCCGGGACAACCTGGAACTGCCTCGCAGCATTTTGCATCCAAAGAAGAGACAGGGTGAAATACCTCTGTGTCCCCAAGGCTAGATCGATACATGTTTAGACATCAATTAGCAAGGCGGGGATATAGAATGACCTTCAGAAGGGCAGCACAAATCGATGAAATCCAGGGTCAGGCCCCAAGTCACTGTGTGCACAGCGAGCTGTGGCCTCCGTGCTGGGGCAGCACCTTTCCCACCCCTCCCACCCTGAGCAGGTGGGATCTGTGGGTGAGAACAGCACCCATTCTGAATATGCAGGCACTGGAGGTTGAGACTGGAACCAGGGATCCGGAGGCATTCAGAAGGGGATTCCAATCATGCTTGCTCATAAAGTCACGCACACATCTACCCATTGCCCTCCACGCCATCTATTCAGCATTTAGGGCCCTCAGCCAGCCACGTGTCATGTTAAGTGTTAAGGGGCCATGGACAAACAAGACATGGTCTCTATTTCCAAGGGAAAATAGTATATGTGCTTGTAACCTTCACAGATGGAGAGCAGTGCCACCTGGTTCTAGGAGTGCCAGCCTGCCCCACCCTGGGCCCTGCTGGTTTAACCTCAAACTGTCTTCTCTCTGTATTATGGTTTGTTACTGAAAGTAGCCAGCATCAGAAAGAGAAGTGGTCTCAAAAGAGAAGGATCTGGCATCCCAGTAATGGCTGGTGACTTCTCTGTCAACTTCAGTTTCCTCATTTCTAACTGAGGGTTTTGGAGCCCCTGAGTTCTCTGCCAGCTTTGACATTCTGTGGTCTTTCTTATCTATTTTAAACTCTTAGTTCATTTGAGTGAGTCCAGGGCAAAGACAATACTTATTTATCCTTGCATCCTTAGTGCCTAGCACAATCCTGGAATGTGGTAGTAATTCCATACCTGCAAATTGATGGATAAATAAATATGCAATTGAAAAAATAAACACAGACATTGATAAAATATACATAAAGAATTAATACAGATAATGCATTTTTAGTGCTGCATATCTGTGCACGGGAAGTAGAATCACCCCGGACTTCAACAAATATTATCACTTTCCTCAAAAGCCAAGGCTGGTTTATCCTTCCCCTGCGTGCAATCGTTGACATGTTCATTTTCAAATGCAAACTCAGCAATGGCTGTGCTTCACAAAGGCAACCCTGTCTTCTTGGTTCTCCCATAAGACTCAGGAGAAACCAAGCTGTTTCTATGAATTTTAGTTAGAAGCATTGCAGTTCCAGGGTTAAAGTAATTGTTTTTCATGTAACTGCTCCATCAAAAGGCATCTTGCATCAAAGTCGTGATGCAAATTGGTGGACCATGCTCAGGGATCTTCTGAAGAAAGGATTCTGGGAAAGAAAGGAGGGTGTAGATGGAGAACTGGCCCGAGGGCTAAGTCTCAAGTTCAGGCCCCAGCTCTTCTGCTAGCTACGGGATGACTTGGGTAAGGCACGTCACCTCTCTGGGCCTCTGCTCCCACACGTGTCATGCAAAGAGTGTGGACTGTGTCATCTTCAAGTCTCTACCAGCTGGCAAATGCTATGCTTCACCATCATTTGTGATTATTGGAAAAGCCCAAAGATGATGTCATAATTACCGAAAAATCACTCCAAGCACTAAGTAATGGGACATCTGTTGCCGACAACTAAGCTAATGGAAGTTGTTCCTAGTGATATCCTGAGAAAATGCTAAGATTCCTTGTCCAGACCCATGCCTTGATCTTCTCCATGACCTGGCCTCATCTGTGCCTCAGCTGTACCCTCTTTACTGGGGAACAAGCTCAAGCTTTGAGAGATTTGGGGCCTGTAGAAGGAGGGTGGCTGAGGACCATGGGGTTGGTCCCGGTGGGGCCTGGGTGAAGGGCAGGCTCAGTACAACAGGTTGAGGAATGGGGAGGCAGGTGCTGTGGTCTGGGGCTGCAGTGAGGCAGAGAGCTCCAAGCCGAGGCTGGAATTGACACTCCAGAAAAGTTGTGGGGTGAAACAATGAGCCCCTTGATCTGGGAGACAGCAAGGAGGCTACCCAGCCAGGAGCCAGTCTCCTGCCCTGTGTTCCCTCAAACCACTTTCCTCTCCTAGGGTTACACAGTGAAACCAGGCAGGGATGCTCTGGTCTGGGCTTTGAGGTGACAGCACTTTTCTCTTTCTGCTTCTCTGTATCAAAGGGAAGAACCTTGGTCACAGGGTGTTGATGGGGCTTGTAACCAAACCGAAGTGGGATCTTCTTGCCTGGCATGGTAAAGCCAAACATCCATACTGAAGTTGTGCAGTGGGAGGAAGCATGGTGTTTATTTGCAAGGCACCAAGCAAAGAAAATCTGGTAGCTCACACTTAAGACTCAACCTCCTGGATGGCTTACAAGCAAGGCTGTTTAAAGGCAATGGTAAATTTCAGGAGAGCAGAAGTTACAGGCAAATTTCTAAATCAAGACATGGATGTTATACATTGGTTTGGCCTAAAAAGGTGGGAAATCTGGAAGCAAGGGCTTACAGGTCATACATGGCTTCAAAGACTTTCTGATTTGCAATTGGTTAAGGAAGGGAAACTTTGTCTAAAAACTTGGGTTCAGCAGAAAGGAATATTAAGGTCTGGCCTGTGGATGTGACTTCTTCCAGGTCCTCAGAGCTAGCTAGGTGCCTGGAATTTTCCTTTATTCTGTGGCACTGGAGAATAAAGAATAAACACAATCATTAGCTGGGCATGGCAGCATGCACCCTGTAGTCCCAGCTACTTGGGAGGCTGAGGCGGGAGAGAATGGCTTGAGCCTGGGGGACAGAGGTTGTAGTGAGCCGAGATCATGCCACTGCACTCCAGCCTGGGTGACAGAGCCAGACCTTGTCTCAAAAAAAAAAGTCCGTCAATCAGAGTTCAGGCCTCAGTTTCCCCTCATTTGAGGTCTATATGCCAGCAAATCCATTTGGTTCTGGGTTTCTGAAAAACATCCAGCTGGGTTTCTGAAAAACACCTCAGGGACATATGTTAAGATGTTCTCTTTAGTTTCTATAGAGAGTCATCAGAGGTTGACTCTAACTTCTTTGACTATTGCTTTAAGCTACTATTTCTTTCTTTCTTACCAAGTTGCTCATTTACTTCTTGGGGCTAGCCTAGAATTTCCCTTGAAGATACTCAAGATTTTCTTTTATTTCCATGTTTGGGGGCCTAGCAGCCCCTAAGTCCCTGCTCCATCTCGGGCTTGTGGTCCCCAGTTCTGGGGAAGCAGGGAAAAGATGAACAGAGATGAGCCCTGTGGATATCTGGGTGTCTCTGCTATGGGGGGCAGGGGTGGGCATTACAAGAAAAAGCTCTGCCAAAGCCTTGTGGGATGGGGATTGGAATAAGCTGTCAAGAACAGCCTCTCCTTGTTTTTAGTAAGGAATAGCTCTTGGTGTTTCCCTTCAGCTTGGGTTTTCCAGCCAAGTGATGCTATGTGCCGGTGCCATTCCTGCACAGAGCTGGTAGGGACCAGCCTTGTAGCCAGTACCATCCTCTTAACTTGCAAACCATGAAGGCATGGACAGGTAGACCCCAGTCTGCAGGTTAGGGATCCAGAACAAGAGGAAAAGTGTGATAGTCTCTGCACCTAACGCCCTCACCTGAGGGGTGCAAATCAGATACCCACACGGGAGTGGTATGGGGCAGGGTTTTCTTCCGGGTTGCTGATCCTCATTTGCTCAGGAAGGGTTTTCCAGGGCTCAATGTGGTATGATGCCAAGGAGGAGGTGAAGGTGCCTCGCAGTCATTGAAGGGCAGTTACTAGGGGACGTGGCTGCAACCTCGAAAGCCTGGGGTCCCATTGCTCATCACCAGCTCTCTTGCCCTTTGCCCTCTACCTGGAGCATCTGCTCTTGCTTTGGAGCCTAGGAGTCTCTGAATTTCACACAATCAAGAATCCCTGTCTCCCATTTTCCTCCACTGCCACGTGCAGAGAGAGGCATCTCCCTGACTCCAGTAGCCCCGTTCCCCCTGCAGGGACCCTCCTGGGGGGCATCTGAGGAAAAAACTCCCTGGACTGACAGGAAGAGTCTTGGGGAAGTCACGGACCAGGCTGAGGCTGCCTCTCAGTCACCACTTCTGATTAAGTCGGGGCTGACACATTGTGGGGCAAGAGCATTTCCCAGTGGTGGTTGGTGGCTTGGTGGGAAAGCTTTGACCTGGGGCAGAAACTGCCGGGAAAAAGCAGCATTTAAACCCTCTGCCCACAGAAACCCAAACCTCTTAAATGATGACGTCCTTCTCAGGCTAGAGGGTAGTCACTGTTGGAGGGCGTTGGTGATTCCCCAAGTGTGTTGCTGGAGGTGGCCTCATTGCTCAGCTCTGGGAAAGGCTCCTGCCTGCCTGCCTCCCCTATACCTCTTCAGGGGTAAAGGAGGCCAGAGACACAAGTTTCTGAATTTAGACTCTGAGTTCCTGAATCAGGGCAGCCTACATCATAAGCAAGTCAGACCTCAGCCTGTGGTTTCCCAGAGAGGTGGTAACAGAGCTGAGATTTTGTTGGGTGGGGAGAAAAGGATGCAAAATCCACAGCTTAGGGCCATGCTCTGTGAAGTGGAGCTACAACAAAATGTGGCCTCTGATTTGGGTGAGTCCAGGGGAGAAGGTGTGGCTTTCAGATTTGTGTTGACCCTGCTGGGGCAGGCAGCATCTGTTGACCCTGTGGGCAGGCGGCCCTCCACCATGGGGGGAAGCCCTGAGTCTAGGGGATCTGGGGACAGGTGGTGAGGAACAGGCCTCCATGCTTAATGAACCGACACTGGGGTCTGGGTGGAGTGGTGCCTTGTGCAGCCTCGCCCAGGTGCTCTCTAGTTCTTTTTCTCCCTTGAGGGCACTTTTCAGTTCCTGAGATCAATGTGGTCCCTACTGGGGAGACCATAGGAGCCCTGCAGGCCATGACTTTGCTCAATGCATGGTAAGCATGGGCCATGGGCCAGAGACATCCTTGAAATTGATGCTTTGCATCCCGTGATTATGGTTATCATATGTTTTCAATTTTTTGAAGGTGTCTTGTTTCCAAATATTCTTCTATCACTTCTATATACATTGAAACCTCTTGGGAATTTCAGTATTTCAGCATCCAAATGACATTTTCCAGACTTCCCATTGCACCCACCATGATCATCTGACAGCCATGTCCCCATTCTCTCACTTGAGATGTACGGTCATTGTAACAGCCTGAGCTCTGGGTCCAGAATCCAGAGTCATCTCAAGTAGAGAAGGCAGCAAGTATGTGATTAGAAGTGTTGTGATGTAATAAAGAGGATGCTGGAGATTTGGGGCCCTGATGTTGGATTCTCCATTCAGGTTGCCACCAAAGCCCTGGACTCTGGGGAGCCATGCCCTCCAGCCAGCACCTGCCCATCTGGGTCCATATTAATGAGTCCCTCCATTCATGCATGCCTTCCCTTTGCACAGGCTGGGTATCTCAGTGCACCGGGCCCTGTACCAGGTCACGTGATCCTCAGAAGGCTCACAGTGTCCTAAGAGAGTAAATAGCAATAGCAATTATGACACAAAGCTATAAGCATGTACCTAGAAGGGGCCCTGTTGGGTGTGGGGACCAGGGAAGGAGAAGAGGCATCTAAGCTGAGATCTAAAAGACAAGGAAAGCTTAGGCCAGAGTACAGAAAGGAGTTTTCTGAGGTGGGGGAGTCCACGTCCTTCCTCAGCTCATTCAGGTCTCCACTCAAGGCCTTCCTTCTCTACTCGTCCAAAATGGCACCTGCTCTCACTCCCCACCCTCTTCCTTGTTCACTTGTCCAAGACAGTACCTGCCCTCTCATTCCCTCCCTTGTCCACCTGTCCAAGATGGTGCCTGCCCTCTCTCTCATTTCCTTCCTTGTCCACTCGGCCAAGATGGTGTCTGCCCTCTCTCTCATTTCCTTCCTTGTCCACCCGGCCAAGATGGTGCCTGCCCTGTCTCTCATTTCCTCCCTCCTCCACTTGTCCAAGATGGCGCCTGCCCTCACTCTCCACTCCTTTGTTCACTTGCCCACAATAGTGCCTGCCTCACTCTGTACTCCCTGTGCTTCTGTTCCCATCTATGCTCTTATCACCGCTTGGCTATAATTATGGTTTTGTTTTTGTTGACTAGCTGTATTGCTAGACTCTCCCTAGAATGTCAGCTCCATGAGGGCAGGGACTCTGTTTGTGGGTGTATCCACAGCTGTCTGATAGACTCTCAGTCACTTACTTGGCTAAACGAGTAGGTGCACAAAGTGAGTTCAGGCTGGCCAGAACAGAGAGGCTAAGTCAGGGAGTCTCCGACCGTCTACCTTGGCTGCCTAGTCACACCCAGTCACACTCTTCCTGTTGTTTTGACCCCACACCTGACTTCTGCCTGGCCTGCTCTGTGACTCACAGCACCCTCCTGCCACTTCTTGCCCTACTTGCTGACCCCACACTGTGGCTTCTGTTGCAGGCCTCCTGGTGCAGCCAGAGGTGAGGCAGGTCTGTGAGAAACCAGGGCTGACAGCCTGGCCTCAGCCAACCCAGGGCCAAGGCCCCGCGCAGCGGCCGGGTCCCTCTTGGTGCTGCTGGCTGCAGGTTAGCCTGTCCTTACTGCTCCCGGGGAGTTTCTTGGTGTCAGACCCAGCCTCTGAATTCCAGCTCTTCTCCATGTTTTTCTTCTCCAGGATCTCTCTGTTGTCTTGCATAGCCTCAGCCTGTTTGGGGACAGCCTGAATGAGTTTGTATTTGCAGTCTGTGTGGGGAGAACGGTCACCTGGCCAGGGATGAAGGATCCGCAGCAAATACATCCAATATCGAGAGGAGGCATCCCTGGTGCTCTCGCTGTAGTCTTTAGCATCATTCCTGGGGTTGGGGTCGCTTCCTGGTGGCTTCCTCGGTTCCTCTGCAGAATTTTCTGGGGTTTTCTTGGCCCAGGCATGTGGCCAGTTCTGAGTTCTCTCCTTTCTCATGGGGCACAGATGTCAATTCTGCCATCTCCTTCGGGACCTATGAAAGTCTTTGCCAAGTCACAGTCATTAAAAGGAGGCTCCTTCCAGCCCACTTGGCCAAATACAAGATAAAGGAAAAACAAAAGTCCAGGAGTGCCGCGCTTATTAGTAGCAGGGCTTGAGTAGGTTTGTTATTTTCTCTGGCAGTTCACATGGGCATTTTCCTGCATTGTGTCACCCACTTGTCACTGGGTTCCAGTACAATGTCCACCCCTACCCCACATGACACCAGTGGATTCTGGCTTTAAAAAGAGATGACCCTGATTTCTTCTCTGGCCTTGGATTACTGAGGGTTGGAGCTAGAAGGAACCTTGCTGATTGACCCTCTAATCTAAATGCCAGTCCACAGCCCACAAACCAATTGTTCTGAATTATTTGGGACACTTGGAAAAATAGAGATCCCTCACTCTTGCCACCAAGATTCTCTTTCAGTAGGTCTGGATTGGCCGTGGAATCTGGTGTTCCTAATGATTTTGATAAGACCCACTGACCACTCCAGTATCTTATCAAGTGAGGATGCTCAGGTCCCAGCAGGGGAAATAGCCCCCAAGAGTAGTGGGGCGGGCAGGATGGTGAAAAGGATGTGGGAAGACACATAAGGAAACGCAAGCTGTGATCCCAGCTCTGGCACTGACCATGTGTTTCACCCTGAGACTATGACTTCCCAGCCAAACCCTGGCTTTGTGATGATCCAAAGGCTTCTTTCAGTTGCTCTGGTGTTCTTTGGGTCCCCAACATTTCCCCTTGGAGAACCAATGCATTGTAATGCTCAGGAATGGCTCTCTACTACATTCTGCAAACATTGATTTTTCATTTCCTCCAGCCAGGCTGTGTGCCAAGCACTGAGTTTAGAGATCAATGTGACAGGGGCTCAGCCCTCAGAGAAGGGGGAACAGACCCACATTGCTGATGTTTCCATGGGCCAGGATTGTGCCCCAGAGCCCTTTTAGCTTTGTTGCATTTTGTTTGCATGACAGTCCTGCAGTGTAGATGTTGTTCCCATGTCGCAGTTGGGGAAATGCCTTTAGAGAGGTTGTGAGGCTACCTTAAGGTCATTCAGGTCGAAAGGGCCTATTATGTGCCAGGTGCTATTCTGAGTTCTTCACATCTATTACCATGTTTCATTGATTCTGTGACACACATTTATATGTCTGTGAAATCAGGAAGCACCTGGCACTTGATATAATTTGCCACCTACCCAGCAGAGATTTTTCCTTCTTAGTGGCATATAAAACAGGCGCCCATTACAACAGGTGGCATCTCAGATTTGATGAACCAATGTGTCTCACAGTTGCAGATAGTAAGTGGCAGAACCAGAATTCCCAACTGGCTCTCTCTGGCTTAAAGCACTTTCACACTCACAGCCTAGTGGGAAAGTGAACATGAATGACCAAATCAGGGCTGAGACACTTCCCGGGACACAGCCATGCTACCTGCCCACAAAGTCTTAACCATCCTTGGCTTCCTATTTCTCCTACACCCTCCTCCCTAGCAGGCAAGGCTGCTGGTCACCGGGTCTCAAACAGTGGAGAGAAATCTGGTAATCACACTCCTTGATATTTACCCAAATGAGCTGAAACTGACATCCACATGAAAACCTGCACATGGATATTTATAGCAGCTTTATTCATCCAGGCAAAAACTTTGAAGCAACCAAGATGTTTTTCAGTAGGTGAATGGATGAATAAACTATGGTGCACATAGAAAATGGAATACCATTCAGTCCTAAAAAGAAAGGAGCTATGAAGCCATGAAAAGACATGAAGCAACCTTACATGAAGGTTCACTTACTTATTACTAAGTGAAAGATGCCAATCTGAAAAGGCTGCATACTGTATGATTCCAACTATGACATCCTGGAAAAGGCAAAACTACGGAGAAAGTGAAAAGATCAGTGGTTGCCAGGGGTAGGGAGGAGGGAGAGATGAATAGTCTCACTGAATAAGTGGAGCACAGAAGATTTTTAGGGCAGTGAAAAGATTCTGTATGATATCGTAATGGCGAATACACATTATTATACATTTGTCCAAACCCATCGCATGTGCAGCACCAAAAGTGAACCCAAATGTAAATTGTGGACTCTGGGTGATGACGAGGCATCAGTGTAGGTTCATTGAGTGTAACAAATGCACCACTCTCAGGGGATGTTGATAATGGGGGAGGCTGTGTGTAGAGGGAGGGGTGTTGTATATGGGAATTTTCTGTACCTTTCAATCAATTTTTCTGCGAACCTAAAACTGCTCTTTAAAAAAGGCTATTTTATTTTATTGTTTATTATTTCAACTTTTATTTTAGATTCAGGGGGTACATGTGCAGGTTTATTACCTGGGTATATTGCGTGATGCTGAAGCTTGGAGTATAGATGATCCTGTCATCCAGGTAGTAAGCGTAGTGCCCAGTAGTTAGGTTTTCAACCCTTACCCCTCTTCTCCCCTCCCCCATCTTGTATTCCCACCCCCACCCCTGTGTTTAGCTCCCACTTAAAAGTGAGAATATGAGGTATTGGTGTTCTGTTCCTGCATTAATTCACTTAGGATAATGGCCTCCAGCTGCATCCATGTTGCTGCATAGGACATGACTTTGTTCTTTTTTATGGCTGCATAGTATTCCATGGTGTATATGTATATGTACCACATTTTCTTTATTCAATCCGCTGCTGATAGGCACGTAGGTTGATTTCCATGTCTTTGCTATTGTGAATAGTTCTGCAATGAACATATGAGTGTATGTGTCTTTTTGGTAGAATGATTTATTTTCCTTCAGATGTACACCCAGCAATGGGATTGCTGTGTCAAATGATAGTTCTGTTTTAAGTTCTTTGAGAAATCTCCAAACTGCTTTCCACAGTGGCTGAACTAATTTACATTCCCACCAACAGTATAAGCATTCCCTTTTCTCCACGGGCTTATCAGCATCTGTTGTTTTTTGACTTTTTAATAATAGCCATTCTGACTGGCGTGAGATAGTATCTCATCGTGGTTTTGATTTGCATTTCTCTGATGATTAGTAACGATGAGCATTTTTTCATGTTTGCTGGCTGTTTGTATATCTTCTTTTGAGAAATATCTGTTCATGTCTCCTGCCCACTTTTTTTTTTTTTTTTTTTCCTTAGACAGGGTCTTGCTTTGTCATGCATGCTGGAGTGCAGTGGCACAAACGTGGCTCACTGCAGCCTTAACCTCCCAGGCTTAAGTGATCCTCCCACCTCAGCCTCCCGAGTAGCTAGCACCACAGGCATGGGCTACTATGCCTGGCTCATTTATTATTATTATTTTGTAGAGACAGGGTTTCCCCATGCTGCCCAGGCTGAGGCTGGTCTTGAAGCCCTAGCCTCAAGTGATCTTCCTGCCTTGGTCTCCCAAAGTGCTGGGATTATAAGCATAAGCCACCAAGCCCAGCCGCTCTTTTGCCCACTTTCTGATGGGGTTATTTGTTTTTTGTTTGTTGAATTATGTTCCTTATAGATTCCAGATATTAGACCTTTGGTGAATGCATAGTTTGCAAATATTAGTATTTTCTCCCATTCTGTAGGTTGTCTGTTCACTTTGTTGATAGGTTTTTTTTTTTTTTTCCTGTACAGAAGCTCTTTAGTTTAATTAGTTCCCACTCGTCCACTTGTCAATTTTGGTTTTTGTTGCAATTGCTTTTGAGCACTTAGTCATAAATTCTTTTTCAAGGCCAATGTCCAGAATAATGTTTCCCAGGTTTTCTTCCAGGATTCTTACAGTTTGAGGTCTTAAATTTAAATCTTTAATCCATCTTGAGTTCTATAATTTTGTATAAGGTGAAAGGTAGGGGTCCTCCAGTTTCATTCTTCTGCATACGGCTAGCCAACTATCCCAGCGCCATTTATTGAATAGGGAGTCCTTTCCCCACTGCTTATTCTTTTGACTTGGTCGAAGATCAGATGGCTGTAGGTGTGTAGCTTTGTTTCTGGGCTCTCTATTTTGTTCCATTGGTCTCTGTGTCTGTTTTTGTACCAGCACCGCGCTGTGAAAAAGGCTATTTTTTTAAGGTGGGGAGAAGGCTGGCAAAGGGCAGAAGAGGCACAGGGTGATTTGGGGGCTGAAGTCTTGATACAGCTGGGCCCCAGCCCTCTCTTCCTCCTACCCAGGGGTAGGCGGAGTCAAAGAAGGCCCCTGGGGGCGGGTCCTGGTGTATCTAGAGCTGGGTAGTGACAGTTGGCTGCTCCGGCAGGTGGCGTGGAGGCCCCGATGATGATCCGCCTGGTGAATGGCTCAGGTCCGCACGAGGGCCGCGTGGAAGTGTACCACGACCGGCGTTGGGGCACCGTGTGTGACGACGGCTGGGACAAGAAGGACGGAGACGTGGTGTGCCGCATGCTCGGCTTCCGCGGTGTGGAGGAGGTGTACCGCACAGCTCGATTCGGGCAAGGTAAGGCGCTCTGAGGGCAAAAAACATGAGGAGAGGGCCTGCACATCCTAGGACTGGGCTCACCTCCAAAGCCCGAGTCCCTTCCACTGCAATTCCGCGAGGTCCCCAGCCTCTCCCCAAATGCTTGCTGCAATAAGAACTCACTGCCCCGCCCCAGGCAACCATCTCCGGTGGTCATCAGACAGTTCTGATGATTAGAACATTCTTCCTTTCGTGGATCTAAGTCCTGTCCTGGTGGTGTCCCATACCAGCCCTTCCCAGTCCTGTGTCCCAGGCACAGCTGCTGTGGTCTCTCTCTCCCTGGCTAGCTCTTTAGACCTTTATAACGTGCTCTCATGTCTCTATTATGTTTTTATTGTTAACACTTATATGATACTCAGTGTGCCAGCCTATGTTCTCAACATGTAACAAATATTTACCCATTTCATCTTTACAGCACTATGAAGTATACAGGTATCATCGCTGTTTTTCTTTTTTCAAGGAGGGAAACAGGATCTTGTTCTGTCATCTAGTTTGGAGGGCAATGGTGCAATCATGGCTCACTGCAGCCTTGATCACTCGGGCTCAAGCGATCCTCCCACTTCAGCCTCCTGACTAGCTGGGCCTACTAGCAATCTCCAGCTAACTTTTCTTCTTATTTTTAATAGAGATGAGGTCTCACTATGTTGCCCAGACTGGTCTCGAACTCCTGGGCTCAAGTACTCCACCCACCTTGGCCTCCCAAAGTGCTGGGATTACAGGCGTGAGCCACCATGCCCAGCCATCCCTGTTTTTCAAATGAGGAAATAAAAGTGCAGAGAGGTTGAGTAACTTGCCCAAGGTCACACAGCTAGCAAATGTCAGACCCGATGTTTAGGCCCAAGCAGGTGTCTTAGGAGTCTGTATTTGAACCACTCTGCTGGGCTGTCTCTGCCTCTCTGAGTCTTTTCTTCTCCAGATTAATCCCCAGATATTCATCTTGCCCTCATATGACAAGATTTGGAGAGTCTTCATCATTTTGGTTGCTTTCCTTTTGACACACTGAAGCACACTGACCTCCTACAGATAGCACAAGAGACTCTGAGGAAGGGGCACAGACCCTTCTTAGGTAGATGGCTGATTCAAACCCTGCATTTGTTTCCTGATGGAAAGAATCAGACTCTTGTGTTGACTCACAACTAAAACAATGGTCCCACATGCACAAACCTGGTACTCCCCACACCCATTCAGTAGTGAGCTTTCCCTTGATGGCATGTCCTGGCCCTGTTGCTTCTGCATTCTGGGTCTTGGTGTCCTGTCTGTAACTAAAGGGCCTGCAGGCTGCATAATGGGTCTCCCAGCCTGGGCCCCCTGGGATTTAAGATGCCACTGCTCACCTGTGGAGAAGACCAGGTGGGTGTGGGGAGGGATTGGGGCTGATCCTCTCACACCCAGTTACCAGGCCCCCTGGTGACCTGTGGATGGCAGCCCACTGACGGCAGGGTTCCCCACATCATGGAGTGGAGCCGGGCGTACCTGCTGTCTTGCCTGAGGTCATTGCTGTCCAACCCACTGTGCTAAATGGCTACAGGGTGAGGGGAGAAAGTGGCATGTCCCTTCCAGATGGGGACTCGGAGCCAGGTCACATCCAGACTGGAGGTGGAAGCCTCCACTCCTCCCAGCCGCCTTCCTCTTCATCCCCATAAGGGGCTGCTGCAGTTCTTGGTCTGAATCTCATCCCATAGATCTCATTGGTAATTGACTGAAAGTGACCCTTGGTGAAATCTGTCGAGCCAGCTGGCAGGGAGTGCCGTCTTAAGGGCCAGAGTTTGAGGGGCGAGTTCGAAGGGATCCGGCACCATGAAGGGCAGCCTACCAGGAAAGAATACTGTTCTCCCACCTAAGGCTTGGGGCTGGATTCCAGCTGGTTTTGACTAAGGAAAACCACCGTTGTTGTTGATTAGAATAGGAACAGTCCTCAAATTCCCATTTCTAGCTCCGAAGAAGGCTTCTTCCTAATAAGTGGCAGTAAAACCTTTTGAGAAAAAAAATTATAAATTATTTTCAAGAAGCCAGAATAGGTAGTTTGAAGATCACAGGTCATGTTAGCCTGACTCTGCCAGTTGGTGAAAAGGCAGTGGGTGGGCTTCGAGTGCCAGGCCAGCGATCCTGTAGACTGTGGCTTCTTTCACTCCCCTGATCTGTTCCTCTTGACACAGGGAAGCTCTAAGCTTGTCACTTGATTCTTTAAACTGGTCGATAGGAAGCTGGACTTGCTTTCACGAATGCCCTATTTTTTTGCCCCATTATTTCCCTATCATGGTGCCCTAACAGGTCTCAGGTGCTATTCAAGACCTTGGCTGGTTGCAGGCCAGGTGTCACTAGCAGTATACAGAGGGCTGTAGGGGCCTGGGCAGGGAAGGGCTGGCATAACTGAGGCTTTCTGCCAGCCCAGGCTGCACCCATGTTCTCCTCCTCTCTACAAGCAGTTTCCAGGCACCTAGCATGGGCCAGGCTAGCTGCAGGGCTGGGGGGCAGAGCTGACCAAGCCCAGCCCTGGCCACAGCATGGGCAATGTAGAGGAGGATTCTAAACCATGTGCCAAGGGTTTTAATGCTGTTGTAGTCATGGGGCCGAGAGGAGGGAAAGCTGTCATTCCTGGCGGCAGGCAGAGCCACCCTGCCAGCATCCTACCCACTGGTGCCCCAACCCCACTCCCAGCTCGTCTGCTGTTGAGCCTGAAGGAGCCTCCCAGGTCCCTCTCGCTCTGCCTCCTAGCCTTCTTCTCACCCTCTTCCTTCCTGACAGTTTCCTCTCCCTAGCACCCCCAACACCCCGCCTCTGCTGTCCTTGTGTTCTGCACACTCTCTCTGGAGGCTGCCTCCACACCTGGGGCTTCAGTCACCCCCAGCTCTTCCCTCTGTCACAGTGCTCAGTGGAGCTCCAGACCCAAGTGTCCGGTGACCTTCCTGACAGGTGCACTCGGATGCCCCATGGGCTTCTCCAATGGCAGCTGTCACAATTGCACACATATCCTTCCCACCAGATCCTGTGCCTCTCTCATTGCCATCACCAGAACCGTCCTACCAGTCAGACCCCATCCCAGCCAGAACCCTGGGCCACCTCTTCCCTGTCACCACTCCCCCTCCCCACATCAGGTTGGTCCCCGAGTCCTGCAGATCCCACCAGTGTTCACTCCTCTGGCATTCCTTGAACCTGTCCCCACCTCGTCGTTCTTGCTGTCCTCCCCTTAGGAGATTAGCAGGTAGAGCAGTGGTTAGTGCCCCAGCCCTGGAGTCAAACCACCCATGTCAGAATCCCGGATCTGCCACTTGCAGCTGGAGACCTTGACTAGATTCCCTACCCTCTCTAAGCTTCAGTTCTTCCGCTATTGAAGAATTACTATAAATGCTAAAGGAGATCTTGGGTGTCAAGCAGTTAGCATGCACAGGCTCTGTTGTGCACGCTTATCTACAAGTGTGGGGTGGAGGTGGGGACAGTAGAGGCTCTAATCCTCCAGGAGTCACTCCTCACGGCCACCACACCTGCAGGCTAGCTCCTGTGGCCTTCCTTCTCATGGCTGCTGGGGATCTTTCTTTTTTTCTCTTTTTAAGAGATGAGGTCTCCCTCTGTCACCCATGGAGTGCAGTGGTGCAATCATAGCTTGCTGCAGCCTCGACCTCCCAGGCTCAAGCAATCCTCCTGCCTCAGCCTCCTGAGTAGCTGGGACCACAGGCACATGCTACTATGCCAAGCTAATTATTTCATTTTATTATTTTGGAGAAATAGGGTCTTGCTATGTTGCCCAGGCTGGTCTCAAACTGTTAGGGATCTTTCTAAAACGAGTGCCTGGTCACCTCACTCCCTGCCTGGGTCCTCAGAGGATTTTTATCGCTCTCAGAATCAAGCTGGATTTCCTTAGCTCAGCACCCAAGGATCTTCTTAGTTGGCCTCCTGCCCACCCCACACCTCTCCACACTGCACCTGCTGGTGGTTCTCGGGGCACAGATGGTGTGTTTCATGTCCCACCTCTTCTCCTGTGCTGCTCCTCCTGCTGGAAGGCTTTTCCCTCCCTCTTCAGCTAGGGAATTCCTACTCAGCTTTTAAAGGCAGCTCAATGATCTTTCCTGAGGGAAGCTTTTCTGGCTCCTTCCATGCTCCCTCACCCCTAAGATGGAAATAACCCTCCTCTATGATCCCGTCACATTCTTCTCTATCACAGCACTTCTTATACTCTCCTGATCCCTGCGATACATGGAAACATCTTGAGGGCTTCACCTTTGTAGTTCCAAAACCCAAAACTACCTGGGGCATAATAGGAGCTGGATAAATGTAGAAGGGAAGAAAGGAAGGAGGGAGGGAAAGTAGGAAGAAAAGGAGGGAGGAGTGAAGAGAGGGAGGGAGGGAGGAGTGAAGGGAGGGAGGGAGGGAGGGAGGAACAGAGGGAGAGAGGAAGGAAGAAAGAAGGGAGCGAGGAAGGAAGAATAGAAGGAAGGAAGGAATTCCAGTGCCTGCCAAACCTGAGTCCTCCCTGTCTCCAAGCCCTGACAGCTCTCCCAGGGGTCTGGCACCATAACATTTCTCCTGGACAGGGCATAGTAATCAGATTTTCTGTTTGCATGGGGGAAGCCAAGAAAGACCCAAATGGGAGGGCCTTGAAGATGTTCTAAATTTTAAATTGGTCCAGGAGGTGCTGGAGTGATGCAAATGGCGAGGTGGAAGGGTGATGACTGGAGGGAGGCTTGGTAGGCCACGGAAGGGAGTGTGACCTAGCGCAGCTGGGAGCATCTCCCAGGGAGACAGACAGATGGAAAAGGAGGTAAGGATTGCTGCACATCAGACAGATTTGTAGGTGGGAACAGGCAGACAAAATTAGGAGCGTTCACGTCTAATTATTGCATTATTACCTCCTCTTGTCCTTTTATCTAAGATAAGATTCAAATATTGGGAGACAGC
Organism: Homo sapiens; assembly: GCF_000001405.40. Taxonomy (NCBI): domain Eukaryota; kingdom Metazoa; phylum Chordata; class Mammalia; order Primates; family Hominidae; genus Homo; species Homo sapiens. Next base: position 27,874,654 of record NC_000008.11, on the reverse strand, counting down.
TTTAGTGCAAGGGTCAGCCAACATTTTCCATAAAGTGCTGGATAGCAAATACTTTAAGCTTTGTGGGCCAGGTGGTCTCTGTCACAGCTACTCAGTTCTGCAGTTGGAGTAGGAAAACAACTGAAGCCAATATGCAATCAAATGGGTGGGGCTGTGTTCCAATACAACTTTATTTATAAAAGCAGGCATTGGCCAGACCTGGCTCACGGTTTGCCGTCCTCTGGCTGAGTGTTACATGCTGTGGACTGTGGCTGTGTGAGGAGAAAAGACTGTACTGGCCGAACATGAGAGGCCAGGGCAGGGCCTCTTCACCTCAATAATTACTTTCCTAGAGATGTCACTCAATCTTTCTGGGGCCTCAGTTTCCCTCTCTTAAATACCTGTTAAATAGTCGTCCTGCTTTCTATGTGTGAGGCACAGATGGAAGCCTGTAGGATTCAGTGTAACTTTTTCCTACTATGAATGTTACTCTAAATAAACACATAGAAGCTCAAACGTTAGCTCTATAAGGCAGAAATCTTTTGCATCTGTTGTTTTGTCTTTCTGTTCATCAGAATGGTACTGAGCACACAGAGGCCTCAATAATTTGGTTTTTTGCTGTTTTGTTTTGTTTTTGAGACTGAGTCTTGCTCTGTCACCCAAGCTGGCATGATCTCGGCTCGCTGTAACCTCCGCCTCACGGGTTCAAGCGATTCTCCTGCCTCAGCCTCCTGCGTAGCTGAGATTACAGGCGTGCACCACCACGCCCAGCCAATTTTTGTGTTTTTGGTAGAGACGGGGTAGAGACGGGGTTTTTAGTAGAGACGGGGTTTTGCCATGTTGACCAGGCTGGTCTTGAACTCCTGATCTCAACGATCTGCCCTCCTCAGCCTCCCAAAGTGCTGAGATTACAGGCGTGAGCCATGGCACCTGGCCAAGAGTCTGCCTTTCTTTCTTTTTTTTCTTTTTTTGGGTGAGCAACAAGGCTATTTATTTCACCTGGGTGCAGGCGGGTTGAGTCAGAAAAGAGAGTCAGCGCAGGGATTTAGGGGTGGGGCCGTTTTATAGGATTTGGGTAGGTAGTGGAAAATTACAGTTAAAGGGGGTTGTTCTCTGGTGGGGAGGGGTGGGGACATAAGGTGCTCAGTGGGGGAGCTTTTGAGCCAGGAGAAGGAATTTCACAAGGTAATGTCATCAGTTAAGGCAGGAACCGGCCATTTTTACTTCTTTTGTGATTCTTCAGTTACTTCAGGCCAGCTGGACATACATGTTTGCAGGTCACAGGGGATATGATGGCTTAGCTTGGGGTCAGAGACCTGACATTCCTGTCTTCTTATATTAGTAAGAAAAATAACATAAAATAGTGTTGAAGTGTTGGGGCAGCAAAAGTTTTGGCGGGATGGTATGGAGAGATAATGGGTGATGTTTCTCAGGGCTGCTTCGAGCGGGATTAGGGGCGGCGTGGGAACCTAGAGTGGGAGAGATTAAGCTGAAGGAAGATTTTGTGTGTCTGCTTTTCTAACAAGCTCTCTGGTGATGCTGACAGCCCTGGTCTTCAAACTGCACACCTTGAGTAATCAGCTATCAGTTCTAAAGCTAAAACAATGATTGGTACCTAGAGCTGACAGGGTTCTAGCCTCTGCCTGGTGGTGCAAGGAGCAGAGAGAGTTTGCTGGCAAATTCCTCCGGGAATGATCCCCCGCCACCGCAGTGTTGACGTCACTGCAGATATGCACTGCTCCTCCCTTGATGACCGTGTTCCCATTGTATTGGTCCTCCCGTGACTGGATGTGAACAAGAACCCCCTGGTGAAACACCAGCTAGAGTTTCAAGATCCTATATACGTATTTGGGCTGGGTCACCTTGGAACTGTTCTTTATTTGTTAGTCTTCTTTATTTGCTTTGGGTGTGACTAATCCCACAGAGCCCTGGGGCTTGCAGCCTTTTCCTGGGTAATTTGTAAACCGATGTGTCTTCCAGGAGACGTTTAATCTGCAAATCATTCTCTGCCTCAAAGGGCTTATTGTGTAAGAGCTACAGCTATCCAGGCCAGGAAGAGGCTCTGGAGAAGAAACAACATCCAAGGAGGTGGCGGAAGGGGCCTCTCCTCCCTCCTCCATCCCCGGATTCACTGCATGGCAATCCCGTGACAACAGGGGCTGAAAATGTCTACGTAACAAAAATATGTTCAAGCCACTTAGTTCATCTGTTAGAGCCAAACAGCAGGGAAGTGGTTTAAATGTTCCCTTGACATTCTTTGTAAAGGGATTTTACCCACGTACTTCAAGAGTGAATGACAGAGTTTAAGACTTTAATAGCCAGTCCTGACGCTGCCACTAAAAAGGAGAGGTTGTCCGGCTTCTGACACATAGCTGATATTTGTAGCTACTACCATCATCACCAACAATTATTGTGATTCTGCCCTCAAGAAACTAATCCCAGAAAATAAGTATGAGGTCTTCGGGGGGCGTGGAGAGGGCAGCTGGAAGCCCCTAGGTTTGAGTGTACAGCAGAGCCAAGTCAAGGGCAGGCACAGTTATGCTCTCTCTTCTCCTTCTCGCCCTCCTGTGTATCCGCTTATAGCTGTGTTTCCCTGTCTCCACAGGCACTGGGAGGATCTGGATGGATGACGTTGCCTGCAAGGGCACAGAGGAAACCATCTTCCGCTGCAGCTTCTCCAAATGGGGGGTGACAAACTGTGGACATGCCGAAGATGCCAGCGTGACATGCAACAGACACTGAAAGTGGGCAGAGCCCAAGTTCGGGGTCCTGCACAGAGCACCCTTCCTGCATCCCTGGGGTGGGGCACAGCTCGGGGCCACCCTGACCATGCCTCGACCACACCCCGTCCAGCATTCTCAGTCCTCACACCTGCATCCCAGGACCGTGGGGGCCGGTCGTCATTTCCCTCTTGAACATGTGCTCCGAAGTATAACTCTGGGACCTACTGCCCGTCTCTCTCTTCCACCAGGTTCCTGCATGAGGAGCCCTGATCAACTGGATCACCACTTTGCCCAGCCTCTGAACACCATGCACCAGGCCTCAATATCCCAGTTCCCTTTGGCCTTTTAGTTACAGGTGAATGCTGAGAATGTGTCAGAGACAAGTGCAGCAGCAGCGATGGTTGGTAGTATAGATCATTTACTCTTCAGACAATTCCCAAACCTCCATTAGTCCAAGAGTTTCTACATCTTCCTCCCCAGCAAGAGGCAACGTCAAGTGATGAATTTCCCCCCTTTACTCTGCCTCTGCTCCCCATTTGCTAGTTTGAGGAAGTGACATAGAGGAGAAGCCAGCTGTAGGGGCAAGAGGGAAATGCAAGTCACCTGCAGGAATCCAGCTAGATTTGGAGAAGGGAATGAAACTAACATTGAATGACTACCATGGCACGCTAAATAGTATCTTGGGTGCCAAATTCATGTATCCACTTAGCTGCATTGGTCCAGGGCATGTCAGTCTGGATACAGCCTTACCTCCAGGTAGCACTTAACTGGTCCATTCACCTAGACTGCAAGTAAGAAGACAAAATGACTGAGACCGTGTGCCCACCTGAACTTATTGTCTTTACTTGGCCTGAGCTAAAAGCTTGGGTGCAGGACCTGTGTAACTAGAAAGTTGCCTACTTCAGAACCTCCAGGGCGTGAGTGCAAGGTCAAACATGACTGGCTTCCAGGCCGACCATCAATGTAGGAGGAGAGCTGATGTGGAGGGTGACATGGGGGCTGCCCATGTTAAACCTGAGTCCAGTGCTCTGGCATTGGGCAGTCACGGTTAAAGCCAAGTCATGTGTGTCTCAGCTGTTTGGAGGTGATGATTTTGCATCTTCCAAGCCTCTTCAGGTGTGAATCTGTGGTCAGGAAAACACAAGTCCTAATGGAACCCTTAGGGGGGAAGGAAATGAAGATTCCCTATAACCTCTGGGGGTGGGGAGTAGGAATAAGGGGCCTTGGGCCTCCATAAATCTGCAATCTGCACCCTCCTCCTAGAGACAGGGAGATCGTGTTCTGCTTTTTACATGAGGAGCAGAACTGGGCCATACACATGTTCAAGAACTAGGGGAGCTACCTGGTAGCAAGTGAGTGCAGACCCACCTCACCTTGGGGGAATCTCAAACTCATAGGCCTCAGATACACGATCACCTGTCATATCAGGTGAGCACTGGCCTGCTTGGGGAGAGACCTGGGCCCCTCCAGGTGTAGGAACAGCAACACTCCTGGCTGACAACTAAGCCAATATGGCCCTAGGTCATTCTTGCTTCCAATATGCTTGCCACTCCTTAAATGTCCTAATGATGAGAAACTCTCTTTCTGACCAATTGCTATGTTTACATAACACGCATGTACTCATGCATCCCTTGCCAGAGCCCATATATGTATGCATATATAAACATAGCACTTTTTACTACATAGCTCAGCACATTGCAAGGTTTGCATTTAAGTTAAAAAAAAAAAAAAAAAAAAACTAAAGGTGAAAGATGCCACATTGAACAAACTAAATTCCCAACCCGGTTCTGGCAAAGAATCCAGTTATCCCTTCCATGAAGACGCACATAACTCTCTTACTTGGTCTTTCCATTAGGGACAACATAAGTCTTGTTTTACATCAAATAAAAACAATGTTAAAAAGTGTGTGAACCTTAAAAATGGAAGTCTACTAGTTTACATACCTACTTCAGAGGACATGGAAATGACCATGGGCCTGCATTTCAGGGACCAAAGCAAATTAGGCCTGGCCTAAAATACATCAGACCTTTTGTAAGAAAGAATTTCAATAAAGCAAAAAACATGTCACAAGCTTTCCATTACACACATTCCTTCTCCTGAAAACCTGGTGAGTGTGGGGAGGGCTGGTGAATTTGGATGATGTGATCATTTTTCAGTGGGGATTGGTAGTGTGGGCAGCTTATAGGAAAAGCCACCCTAATATTTCTGGATGATAACACTGTCTTGACCAAGAACATGAAGGAATGTGATGGCTCAAGCCTTATTTGGTAACCAAAGGAAGTGGGTCCCAAGCAACAGAACAATCACCAAGGCCCATCTTACAAGAAAACTGCTTTTGCATTCAATAGAGAAAAGAACACCTGTCTATTTCCTCCTCACATCTCCAGAGTCCTCACTTGGGGATGTGCTTCCCTCCGGAGTTCCGTTCAATGTAAGAAGATCGTCCAGAGTTAGGTAGCGGGTCTGTGAAGTCACTGGCCCCATCATCTAAGGACAGGCAGGAATTCCAGGCACAGGACCTGAACAGTATGTGGGGATGGCCCAGGTCACTGCACGGTCCTGGTCACATGCTTAAAGTGGCACCTCTGGGAATAATGTGCTGAGATTGCTACATGATAATTTGCTAAGTCAACAGAGAAAAGTTTACTTCCTGGAAATCCACAAAGGAAGCACCCTTTTCTTTCTCTTCTAAAAGTCCTGGTGGTGCCCCCACCCTCCCAAATCTTTGTGGTTCCCATTCTGTAAACAGGTTCCATGGAGAAGAGCCATGGAAATACCTTTTTCTGCCCTCTTTAATATCTAAAGGGCAGATATCTTTTTCTGCCCTCTTTAATATCTAAAAGACACGATGACTGACTTTATCTTGAGTGCCTGATTTGGGGCTTACATGTGTCATAGTTAAATGCACCCACTCTTGTGCCCTGGACACGTCTCTAATGAGATACCACTTTCTCACCCATAGGAACCCTAGAGTTTCTTCAGCGACATTGTGTGATGATAGTCTTTTTTTTTTTTTTTTTTTTTTTGAGACAGAGTCTTGCCCTGTCGTCCAGGCTGGAGTGCAGTGGCTGAATCTCAGCTCACTGCAACCTCTACCTCCTGGATTCAAGCGATTCACATGCCTTAGCCTCCCGAGCAGTTGAGATTACAGGCACACACCACCACACCCAGCTAATTTTTGTATTTTTAGTAGAGATGGGGTTTCACCATGTTGGCAAGGCTAGTCTCGAACTCCTGGCATCAGGTGATCTGCCCGCCTCAGCCTCCCAAACTGCTGGGATGACAGGTGTGAGCCACTGTGCCTGGCCTTTTTTTTTTGTTTTTTTGAGACAGGGTCTCCCTCTGTCGCCCAGGCTAGAGTGCAGTGGCATGACTTGGCTCACTGCAACCTCTGCCTCCTGGGTTCAAGTAATTCATGTGCCTCAGCCTCTCAGGTAGTTGGGATTATAGGCATGAGCCACCATGCCCAGCTAATTTTTGTATTGTTAGTGGAGCCAGTGTTTTGCCATGTTGGCCACACTGGTCTTGAACTCCTGACCTCAAGTGACCTGCCCACCTCGGCCTTCCAAAGTGCTGGGATTACAGGAGTGAGCCACTGTGCCTGGCCCAACGGTTATTCTAACATTTCTATAAAATGTCAAAGGTGTAAGTCACTTGTCTTCTTAGAATAGCTCTTCTTTAGCCCTCTGGAGAGCACACCTTGCCTTAACCCCTTGCCTCTCCTTCCCCCGACCTGTAGCTTTTTGGAGCTGGGGGTGGGGGGCGGTCCTGACTGACCGCAGCTTTGTTATTTATTTCTCTCCACCATCTCCCCCGACTACAACAGGCTAAAGAGCTCTCAGCTCTCAGGAAGAAGGACTTTCTGTCCCCTGGGTAATTTTTCCACTCTGGCTGAGGGAACTTGAGTGGCTCCCTGGAGAGGGGTTGTGTGAGCTCTGGTCATGGTTCTTCCCTCAGAAGTTGTCGTCGTGCCCCTGGGGTTTCCACATGTTCGGACTGGTTTCAGCCAAAGACTCGAGAAATGTATGCACTTTTCTGGAATTTTCTCTGTGTAGTTTCCTTCTCTCAGGGACTGTGCCCTGCAAATTCTAGCTGCCATGGCCTCCTGTCACCAGTCTTGCCCCCTCACCTCAGCAAGATTGCCTGGCTCTGGGCTCCCCTCCCTGTGCCACCCATTATCCCATGTCTGAATTGATCAGTTGCAAGTATTTCATGTTGTTTTCTGGTTATGACAGAAGGAGGGCAATTCTGGTAATGAGTACCCTTTCATGGTCAAAAGCTGAAGTCTTCCCTGTGGGTATTTCCTGGTTGAAGAGAATCATAAGGGAATGGCCTGGACATGGAAACAGGTATGTGAAATGTATCCAAGGACACTAGAGAAAAGATGTTAAATAGACATATGAAAGGTGTGATATCCCATGATATCTCTTCTGGTCTTTTCATTTGGGAAAACAGAAGTCTTGTTTTTCATCAAATAAAAACAATGTTAAAAGTGTTTGAAAGGTGTAAAAAGACCTATATCAAACATCTCAATGTGAAACTATTATGTCTGGGTTGAAAAATATACTGGTTGGTATTAACAGCAGATTCGAGGCCACAGAAGAAAGGATTAGTGAGCCTGAAGAAACAACAGTTCAAAATGAAACACATGGAAAAAACTTAGTAGAACATCAGTGAATTGTGGAATAACCTCAAGTGGCAAGTATATGTATAATTGGAGCCCATGAAAGAGAGGAGGTCAGAAAAAAATATTTTGAGTAATGGCTGAACTTTTCTTAAATTTGGTGAAATCTGGAGACCCACAGATCCACAGAACTCAACAAACCCTGAGCCCAAGAAAAATGATGAAATTCTACACTAAGTTACATTATAACTAAATTGCTTAAAACCACTGATAAAAAAAAGTCTTAAAAACAACCAGAGATGGGGAAAACATTACGTAGAGGGGTGCAAAGATAACAATAACAACAGATGTCTCTTTGGGAAAAAAATGCAAGCTAAAAGACAGTTGTGACATCTTTAAAGCACTGAGAGAAAAAAAAAAACTGTCAACCTAGAATTCTTAACCTAGTAAATATATCTTTCAAACACAAAGGTGAAATATAGTTTTCTCAGACATATAAGAGCTGAAAGAATTCATTATCAGCAGACCTGCAGTCACTACAATAAATGTGTTGTTTGTTTAACTTGTCACTGACAAAGCTCAGATGCACTACAAAAAATGTTAAAGGAAATCCTTCATGCAGAAGCATAATGATACTAGATGGGAATATGGAACTACAACAAGATCAACAGCACTAGAAATGGTCACTACATGGGTAAATAGAACCAATTTTTTTTGGCATTTAAATCCCTTCGAAAAATAATAAATTGGCCCAAGCCAAAGTAATAACAATGTCTTGTGTTGGAAAAGATGTGGAGCAACTGGAACTTTCATACATGCCTGGTGGGAATGTAAAATGATACAACTACTTTGGAAAACAATTTGGCAATTTTCTTAAAGAGTTAAACATATACCTACCATACAGCTCGGCCATTGCAATACTAGGTATTTACCCAAGAGAAATAAAAGCAGGTGTTCACGCAAAGACTTGCAAACAAATGTTCAGATAAAGCTGTAATAAACAAGAATGGGACAACGTAAACATCCACCAGCAGGTGAATGAACAGACAAATTGTGCCATATCCATACAACAGGCAGAAGCATGGATGAACAAAGCTAAAAGTTGGAACTTTAAAAAGACTAATGATATTGACAGACCTGAAGCAAAACTGATCAAAAAAGAAACACAGAAGACACAAATTAAAAGCAGTAGGAATATAAATGAGGACAAAGTAGAGGCACTGCAGAGAAGAAAAAGAAAATTAAGATAGTATTGTAAATAACTTTTTGGGAGGCCAAGGTGGGCAGATCACTTGAGGTCAGTAGTTCAAGACCAGCCTGGCCAACATGGTGAAACCCTGTCTCTACTAAAAATACAAAAATTAGTTGGGGCGTGGTGGTGCATGCCTGTAATCCCAGCCACTCAGGAGGCTGAGGCAGGAGAATTGCTTGAACCCAGGAGGCAGAGGTTGCAATGAGCTGAGATCACGCCACTGCACTCCAGCCTGGGGGACAAGAGTGAAAATCTGTCTTAAAAAAAAAAAAAAAAAAAAAAAAAAAAATATATATATATATATATATATATATATATAAAATATATTATAATTTCCAAAGAAGATTTCCCTCTGTCTGTGATTAGAAAGAGGCTACTGGGAAAAAATGAACTTTAAAAGTAATAATCCAAAATACCACAGGATAGGGACATTTCCATATATATATATATATATATATATATATATATATATATATATATATATATATATATATATATAACTTTATGCCAATGTATTTGTTGGGAAAATTTAAACTACAAATATATTTTAAATATCAAGACAGAATCAAGGAAAAAAACTTGAATAGTGCAATAACACATAAGGAAATAGACTCTGTAATTAAAAATCTTCCCACAAAGAAAACACTAGGATCAGATGCTTTAAAAGGTAAGCTCTAGCATACATTCAATAAATAGAACATCTAAATCTTGAGATCCAGGAGATTGCCCTCCCCTCTTCTGTCATGTGAGGACACAGTAAGCAAGCACCATTTATGAGACAGGAAGTGGCCCTCACCAGACAATGAATCTGCCAGCACCTTGATCTTGTACTTCCCAGCCCCCAGACCTGTGAGAAATAAATTTCCATTGTTGATAAACCACCCAGTCTCTGGTAGCTTGTTATGGCAGCCCAAAACAACTGAGACACTAGGTATTTAATGTCTGAGAAAGAAGGAAGATCCAAAAGGAGAAAGAAACATCCTCTCTTTTCTGTACTAGAGAGACAGAAAAGAGAATTTATATGGTGGGATGGGGGCTAGGCATTACAGGGATGGACAGAGGGAAGGGAGTGTTGACTTTGTATTCTAGGGAAATGTCCCTATCCTGTGGTATTTTGGATTATTACTTTTAAAGTTCATTTTTTCCCAGTAGCCTCTTTCTAATCACAGACAGAGGGAAATCTTTGGAAATTATAATATCTAATCAGTTATTGCTGGTAAATTGCACTGCTGGAAAAAATATTATCAGATAAAAATGTTAAATCCCCAAATAAAACATCTCAGCAGTGGGTAACTACACCTTGATGTCATTCATTGAGTGGAAACTTTATTATAATTAGTGGAGGCCATTTAGTAAAATAGAAAGATTTATGGAATATAGAATTAGGAGACCTGGATTCAAGTCTTAGTTCTACAACCTACTGGATAAACCTTGGGCTGCAGCATCATCATCATCATAAATGGAGGTATTCAATGTATCTTGTGTTATGAAGATTTTTTAAAAAGTGAAATAGTGTTTTATAAACTCTAAAGCATTATACAAAGAATATCATTTGTATAACAACATGGAAGACATTGGCCTTTGGTTTATTGGAGAGGTGGTCATTAGAATTTTAAATTACAGGAAATTGATCAACAATAAAATAGAATACAAATGCCTTGATAAATAAATACATTATAGAACCAAAATAAATTATGCTTCATTACATCACATAGAGTGGCATAATAATATCAGCCACAGATTCACATGGATTTGCAAGGAAACATGGGATTTTTGCATTTTTAATCCCGCCCTGGGAGTCTGCACGTGAGACAGGAGGACCCCTTAGGTCCAGCTCTTTTCTGGAAGGGCAGACACTGGAGTATCTGTACTGTGGACAGCTTCAAAATTCACCACACAGACCATTTCCTTGTAGTTTTACTGGGTAACAGGCCAACGAGCTTAAGGGAACTTGAAGACCGGAGGGTAGAATAGGGAGTAAGTTAAGCCGAATACGGAGTAAATTAAGCCGGGGGGTAAAAAAAGCTGCGTCCTTTCCTCCTTCCTCTTCATTAAGACCGCCATCGGCTCTCTCCTGACCTCTGCAGGCTGATGAGAGAAAGACAACTGTAAGCTTTAGGGGAAAAAAAATACAGGATGTTTAGGGCCAAGAGCAACTGCATTTCTAAAGCCGACTTATATGAGTTGTGCTTATATGAGTCTTCTAAATCTTATATGCACATTGTTGAAATGCAGATCCTCATTCAGCTGGTCTGGGGTGGGGCACAAAATTCTGCATTCCTAATAAGCTCTCAGCGATGCTGCAAGGCTGCTGTCCACACCCATGTGTTGAGTAGCAAGGCTCAAAGGGACTTTCAGGGCATTGAATGCGAGAGGTGGAAAGGATATTAGAAGTGCTCAATCTCCCTTTTTGCGGGTGAAGAAACTGAAAGCAGAGAGAGCAGGCAGGCACCACCACAAATGTATAGAACATGAGATATTTCATTTCCCTAAGCCTGGTTTCCTTGTTGGTAATATCTAAATATGTGAGCTTGGAAAGCCTCTCACAGGGTAGCAGAATACAGCACTCCAAAATATAACACTTTGACATAAGAATTATTTTGAGCTGAAGGCAATTGAGAGGAAGCAAATACAAGGAAAGCTCTGTGCCCTCGCCGCTATGCCTAAAAGCAGGACACAAATTTGCAAAGGTGCCCCTCCTCCCTGCTCCACCAGGAAGGACTAAGTTGATCCCTGGAGATGACTTTTGACTCTTAACAGCCTGAAGACCACACGAGAGGAATCCACATAACAAACTTTATTAACTAGCCTGCATCTATATTTGACTTGAGACAATTTGCCACCCCTAGAGACTCAGGATCCTTCTCCTTTGTCTTGTCACTTCTCTTTTTTTTTTAGATGAAGTTTCGCTCTGTCACCCAGGCTGGAGTGGAATGGTGGGATCTTGGCTCACTGCAACCTCCATATCCCAGGTTCAAGTGATCCTCCTGCCTCAGCCTCCCAAGTAGCTGGGATTACAGGCGGGCACCACCACACCCAGCTAAATTTTGTGTTTTTAGTAGAGATGGGGATTCACCATGTCGGCCAGGCTGGTCTCGAACTTCTGACTCAGATGATCTGCCTGCCTCAGCTTCCCAAAATGGTGGGATTACAGGCGTGAGCCACCACACCTGGCCCTTGTCACTTTTCTAAAAATGTATTATTCTTTGTTAAAGATGCCATATAAACAAGAGTTCTAAGTTACCTCTTTGAGAGTTACTCTTTCCCTGAGTTTTCTCCCATGCCCATATGAGATATGTATGTTAATAAACTTCTCTTCATTTTTCTCTTACTAATCTCTCTTTTGTTACAGGGGTTCCAGCCAAGAACTTAGAAGAGTAGAGAGGGGAAATTATTTTTTCCTCCCCTACAGTTTCCAGCTGTAATATTTAATGATGCCATCACTTGCCCAGAGCCACACTGCTAGACAGATCGGTGCAGGACAAGCCTTTGCCTCCTCAAATGATTAGGTTGGATGGCAGAGGCCACCAAAGATTAATCTGATCACCAGAAGCCGTGGGCATGAAAACGGCTGTTTTGCACGATAGATAATCTATACTTTTTCTGTTTCTCCTTGACATGCTGCTGGCTGGGGAGGTAACTAGTTCTAGATGAGGTAGGAGATGCTCCTGGTTTCCAAGTGAAATTGGTATTTCCCAGATGGTAGGAGTCCAATCCAGATTGCTCAGGGCTGGGAGAATGATGGAGGGAGGGAAGGTTAGAAATAATCATAAATTCTTCTTACTATTGTTTCTAGATGGAATAGCAGAAAAAGGCCAACTCCCAAAATAGACTGCTCCAGCCTGTTATCCACCAGGTAAGAGGGGGACTGCTTTGAGCCTGACCCCTGCACCCCCTCAGGATACCCACCTCCCCAGTGTGTGGAGACACCACCTCCCGCATGCCCCAGTTGCTCCCTGTAGCCATGCTATGGGGGGAGCAGACAGGACTATTGATTTTCAATTCAAAGACATTTAGAGGCAAATTCAACCTACTCTCAATTCTGCTAGGTGTAATTGGTCCAAGCTTTGGAATGAATTACCTTCAAAAAACAGCTGACACTGCACTTAATAATCCAGGGCCTTGGAATGGATCACCCCCAACCCACAACTAATTGGCAGAATGTGGAAAATAAGCACTAACTCATGGAATTCATTAACATTACCACTTAAAGGAATGGTTAAGCTATATGAATTTAGAAATGCAGAAAGTGACACTTACGTGTATCATCTGGCATGGAGTAGTGGAAAATTCCCTGAACTGGGAAGCAGAAGATAAGGGCTCTGTCCCTGAATCTGCCACTTAGGAGATGTGCGTCCTTGGGCAAGCTGCTAAGCCTCTCTGGGACTCAAATTCCTACCTTTGAATGAGATGATCTCTCAGTTCCCTCCCAGATCTGGTATTTTATAACCTTGAAACCTATGTAGCCTAAGACAAAATTCACAATTTCTACGGAAAGATGTTACCAGTAAGAACACTCTTGTATCTTAATGCCATAAACAGAACTGTCTGTTCTGCTCGAGTTGATAGACGGGGCTGCCATCTACATAGTTAGTGGCCTGTCATCTGGGGCCTCCATTGTATTCAGCTTTCTTTCCTCAGCAAGGAGCGTAGTACTTGGCACATAGCAGGACCTCAAATGTTGAGTTCATGAGTAAATGAAGAGTCATGTCTTAATGTAGAAATTCTCAAATTTCAGCAAAGCCTAAGAATGCGATTCCCTTGATCCTACTCTTCCATTTACTAATCTATCTATCTCCTCTTTAAAGCCACATCTCAAAAGAGATTAGCTGGATCGGGCACTGTGGCTCAGGCCTGTAATCCCAGCACTTTGGGAGGCTGAGACAGGAGCATCACTTGAGCCTGGGCAACACAGCGACGAATATTTTTCGTCTCTACGAAAAATATTTTTAAAATTAGCTGGGCATGGTGGAGCGCACCTGCAGTCTCAGCTACTCAGGAGGCTGAGATGGGAGGATCACTTGAGCCCAGGAGTTTGAGGCTGCAGTGAACTATGATCACACCACTGCCCTCCAGCATGGGCCATAGAGCAATACCCTGTCTCTAAAAAATAAACTAATTTTTAAAATTAGAAAATAAAAAGAGTTGACCTGCTGACTCCATTTCCTCACTCCCACTCCCTCCTCAGCATGGTCCAATCCATCCCCCCATTTAGGGCCACTGAAACTTTCCTAGGCTTACCAATGGCATCTTCCTTGGTACACCAAACACATCTTTTGCAGCCTTTATCATATCTGATCAGCATTCAACTCTGTTGTCTGCCTTCTTCTGTTTGTAGAATGAAGCAAAGCCTCGGCTGAGTGCAGCAGCTCACGCCTGTAATCCCAGCACTTTGGGAGGCTGAGGCGGGTGGATCACCTGAGGTCAGGAGTTCAAGACCAGCCTGGCCAACATGGTGAAACCACATCTCTACTAAAAATAAAAAAAAATAGCCAGGCATGGTGGTGGGTGCCTCTAATCCCAGCTACTCAGGAGGCTGAGGCAGAAGGATCACTTGAACCCGGGAGGCAGAGGTTGCAGTGAGCAGGGATCACACCATTGCACTCCAGCCTGGGAGACAACAGCAAAACTCTACCTCAAAAAACAACAACAACAAAAAAAGAAGCAAAGCCTCATCTGTGGCTTTGCTGAAACCACATGTTTAAGGTTTCCCTCTGACCTCTGTTGCTGCCCGTCCTCAGCATCCTTCGCAGGCTCACCTTCCTCTCTGGCCACTGAGTGCTGGAATGCCTCAAAGCTCTGTTCTACAAGCAGTCCTTGGACTATTTCATGCATCTCTATGTGCCACTGACTTGCAAGTGAGCATCTCCAGATGAGACATCTCTGAACATCCAAGCATGTGTCTCCAAGGGCCTCCATTATCACCCAGATATCACAAAGGCCTCTCAAATGCAATCTGGCCAGCTCACTCATAAGGAAATAACCCAGTGAAAAACTAGGCAAAACATTTGAGAAGACAGTTCAGCAAAGAAGATACACGTATATCAAATAAGTGCATGAAAAGATACTCCACACTGTCAAACCACACCACTACACACCCATGAGGAGGGTCAAAATTTCCACACACACACACAAAACCCAAACCTGGCAATACCAATTATGATGCAGGTACACAGCAACTGGAACTCTCATACTCTGCTGGGGGGAATGTGAAATGGCTTAGCCATTTTGGAAAATAGTTGAGCTGTTTTTTATAAAAAGGCCAGGTGAGGTGGCTCACACCTGCAATCCCAGCACTTTGGGAGGCCAAGGCAGAAGGATCACTTGAAGCCAGGAGTTTGAGACCAGCCTGGGCAACAGAGTGAAACCCTACCTCTACAAAAAAATAAGAATAAAAATTAGCCATGCATGGTGGCATGCGCCCAGGACTCCAGCTACTTGGGAGGCTCAGTTGGGTGGATCCTTTGAGCCTAGGAGTTCAAGGCTGCAGTGAGCTATGACTACACCACCGCACTCTAACCTGGGTGAGATGACTGAGACCCTGTCTCTAAAAAAAACAAGATAGTCCTGGCGTGGTAGCTCACACCTGTAATTCCAGCACTTTGGGAGGCCGAGGCAGGTGAATTACTTGAGGCCGGGAGTTCGAGACCAGCCTGATCAACATGGCAAAGCCCATATCTACTGAAAATACCAAAATTAGCCAAGCGTGGTGACGTGCGCCTGTATTCCCAGCTACTCAGGAGGCTGAGACATGAGAATTGCTTTAACCCAGGAGGCAGAGGTTGCAGTGAACTGAGATCGAGCCACTATACTCCAGCCTGGGTGACAGAGTGAGACTCTGTCTCAAAAAAAAATTAAAAGATTAAAAAATATATAAAGTAAATAAATAATAAATAAGATAAAATATGAAATATAGTTAAACATAAGCTTATATGAGCCAGCACCCCAACTCTAGGCATTTACCCTAGAGGAATGAAAATCTCTGTTCACATGAAAGCCTGTCCATGAAACTTTATAGCAGTGTTATTCATAAATGCCAAAACAAAGGGGTACACCCAAATGACACACTACTGCTTAGGAATGAAAAGAAATGAACTATTGACACATGCAAGAGCACAGATGAATCTCAAATATGCTGTGCTAAGTGAGAGAAGCCAGGCCCCAAGGATTACCCACTGTATGATTCCACATTGGGACGTTCTTGAAAAGGTAAGAGTATAGAGGCCAAGATGATACCAGTATTGCCAGGTTTTAGGAGTAAGGAGAAGATTTGACTACCAAGGACGACCTGGGGAAGTTTTTGGAAGATGAAATTATCATGTGTCCTAATAGCAGTAGTGATTATGTATGCACAATTGTTCAAAATTCTTAGAAATGTATATTCTCCAAATTAAAAAAAAAAAATTCTGAGTTCTGGCCGGGCGCAGTGGCTGATGCCTGTAATCCCAGCACTTTGGGAGGCCGAGGCGGGTGGATCACCTGAGGTCAGGAGTTCGAGACCAGCCTGGCCAGCATGGAAAAACCTCGTCTCTACTAAAAATACAAAAATTAGCTGGGCAGGCTCATTACCTGTACTCCTAGCTGTTTGGGTCACTGAGGCAAAAGAATTCTTTGCACCTGGGAGGCAGAGGTTGCAGTGAGCCAAGATCAGCCACTGTACTCCAGCCTGGGCGACAGAGCAAGAGTCTGCCTCAAAAAAAAAAAAAAAAAAAAATCCTGAATTCTACTGTGAGTTAAAAAATTAAAATACAGTAAGTCCCCAGTGAAATCAGGATGTCCCTCCACCCATCCCTACCATCACACTGTGGTCCTCCACCCTCCAGCTCAGTGAACGTTGCAACTCACCCAGCTGGGAGGTGGCAGCTCCCTCTCTCGCTACTCCAGGGAGTGCCTCACTCTTCCCATTCGCAGCTCCCCACCTCACTTAGACTTTCTCAGCCAGCCCTTGATACCAGCTCTCTTGGACTTCTGTACCTTCCTAGCTAGTCTCATCATTTCTACCCTTGCCTACTTTTAGCCAATGTTCCATGTAGCAGCCAGAAAGGATTTTAAAAACACAAATTAGGTCATTACATTCTTTTGCTGAAAACTTTTCAGCAAATTCCCATTGCTCTCAGGATGAAATTCAGAGTCTTTAGGGCTGGTCTCCTCCTTCTCACTCTGGCCTCACCGGTGCCTCCACTGTGTTCACCTTCACCCTAGCATGCTGGCCTTCCATTTCCTCAGAAGCATTGAGCATCACACTCCGTCCAGCCCCAGAGCCTTTGACCCATTCTTCTTTTGGTCTAGCAGTTCTTCTCTTCTGCCACTCTGCTATGTTGATTAACTACCACTTTTCTGCCAGATTTCAGCTCCAATGTTCCTTCCTTCTTGCAGATTTCTAGCAGTTCCCAGGCTAGGGCAGGTGCCTTTTTTAAAAAATGTTTTCATATTACCTGGAATCTTTTTTCAGGGCCCTTATAGCAATTTGTAACAAGGCTGAAAATGTCCTGTCCACCTAAGACAGTAGTTCTCAAATTGTGGTCTCTAGACTAACAGCATCAGTGTCTCCTGGGAACTTGTTAGAAATGCACAATTTCAGACCCCGATCCAGACTTTCTGAATCAGAAACTCTGGGGAGGGGTTCCTGAAGCCTGCATTTCAACAAGCTCTTTAGGTGATTCTGAAACACGCTGAAGGTGAAGAACAACCATCCTAGTATATAACTGATCGTTCTATGTCCATGGTAATGAACAACCACAAGAACTGGGTTTAAACCTGTTTAATCAATCAAGGATAAGTTAATTGGATAACTATGCTTCTTTAAGCCAATTATTTTTAATTAGTGATTAACCATCTACATTGTCATCATCAACAATAAAAATAAACCCTTACATTCATATAGGGTAATCAATTTAAGACAGCTTTACAAGTTACCTGATTTGGTTTGCATATTTGTTCGGTGAGATCATTAAGGCAGTCATTATTATCCCCGTTATGTAATGAAAAAAATGACCCACCGGAGGTTAGGTAAATTGTCTCAAGTCACACAGCTGGTAAATGACAAAATTAAGGTAAAAGATATCCAACCTCTAGTCTAGCACCCTATCTGTTGCACCAAGCTTTCAACATGTGTAAGCAATCATTACTGTAGAAGTCAGCTTCATGGATCTTATAGCAGTGTGCAATAAAAGTAATTTAGAACTGACCTCCTTTTAGCAGAAATGTAAAACCTTTTCACCTCCCACATTAACCCGTTTTGTTATCCCCCACTCCACACTTAGTGATAGTAAAGGATGGCATCATCCATCCCTCTGAGCGTGGAGCCTCCACCCTGCAAATAAGGATGAGCACAGCCTCTCTGTTCTCAGTGTGATGCGCCTGGTGAAGAACCTTCACCTGCCAGTGGGGGCTGGGTGGAAGAAGAGAACATCAGGCCTCTTGGCTGGACTCACCTGGAATTTAGCCCTGGAATTTACAACACACAGCTGATGAAAAATTCTGTGGCCTGCCCCTCCCAGGAACATACCATACCCGAAAGTGGGAGCCGACGGGAGAGGGAGCCTTGCGTTCTTGGCTTTACCTGCCTAGGCTGGAGTTTCTGCCACAGTCAACCCTGGGTAAGGAAGGAGTTACGGTTCAAATGCCATGGACTCTCAATGTTCTTACCAAATTTTACTCCATTTTCTTGAATAAATGTTTATTTATTTGCTATATACTCTTAGGACAATTTCCAGAGACTTTAAATACTGAGGTTTGAAATATATTTTTCACCAGTTATGCTGGCTTTGCTGGAGACTGTGGAGCACCTCGTGTGGCCATTCTGGAAGTGGAAATGTAAATGTTTGTTGTTTTTAAGCTGCTAAGATTGTGGTAATTTCTTATGCGGCATAGGAAAGTACTGTGTGGGGAACTAGTGCTCTACAAAATTTACTTTAAGAAACACTGATATAAGCTAATTAAGCATTGAAATAAGTTGAGAATTAAATTAATTTGAAATGATCATATTGAATGATTAATGGAAAATATACTGATTGTACTTATTTCAACAGTGAAGTATTTTTAGATATGATTTTGTTTTTGTTTTTTTTAGACGGAGTTTTCGCTCTTGTCGCCCAGGCTGGAGTTCAGTGGCACTATCTTGGCTCACTGCTACCTCCACCTCCCCGGGTTCAAGCAATTCTCCTGCCTCAGCCTCCCCAGTAGCTGGGATTACAGGCACGCACCCACCACACCCGGCTAATTTTGAATTTTTAATAGAGAGGGGGTTTCACCATGTTGGCCAGGCTGGTCTTGAACTCCTGACCTCAGGTGATCCACCCACCTCGGCCTCCCAAAGTGCTGGGATTACATGCATGGGCCGCCACACCAGGCCCTATGTATTATTTTGCAAGAGCATACTAATCTCATTCAGTGGCCAAAGCACCACCACCACCTAGTGGCAGCAGGTATTAATTACAAGCAAATATATTTTGGAAAGTTAAGCCAGGTTAAGTGAGCCAGACTGCACATTTTGGATGAAGCAGAGACTTAATTCCTATTAATATATAAAAATCAAAATAATCAAATACTCATTACCAAAATATTTAATAAACATTCCTTTAAATAGATAGCTATACTAGTATATTTACTCTTTTTATATTTAAGTACTTGTCAAAGAAACTTGGAGAAGTAGAATTGAAAGTAAAAGTACGTACATTGAGTCAGCCGGGTGTGGTGGCTCATGCCTGTAATCTCAACACTTTGGGAGGCTGACAAGGGCAGATAACTTGAGCCCAGGAGTTTAAGATCAGTCCGGGCAACATGGCAAAACCCTGTCTCTACAAAAAATATGCATATATAAATTAGCCAGGCATGGTGGTGTGTGCCTGTAGCCCCAGCTACTTTGGAGGCAGAGGAGGAAGAATTGTTTGAGCCTGGCTGGTCAAGGCTGCAGTGAGCCATAATCATGCCACTGCACTCCAGCCTAGGTAAGAGAGTGAGACCCTGTCTCAAAAAAAAAAAAAAAAAAGGTACATACATTGAGGTTGGGTGCAATGGCTCACACCTATAATCCCACCACTTTGGGAGGCCAAGTTGGGAGGATCACTTGAGCCTGGGAGTTTGAGACCAGCCTGGGCAACATAGTGAGACCCCGTCTCTACAAAAAAATTTTTAAAAATTAGCTGGGAAAGCTGGGCATGGTGGTGCACACTTGTGGTCCTAGCTACTTGAGAAGCTGAGGTGGGAGGATTGCTTGAGCCCAGGAGTTGAAGGCTGCAGTGAGCTACAGTCGTACCACTGCACTTCAGACTGGGTGACAGAGTGAGAACTTATCTCTGAAAAGAAAAAATTAAAAAACAAAAAAGTATATATATACATTGACATTTAGCCATAAATGAAGATTAAACACTTTCAAAATATATGAATGGGGAAGTAGGATTGGGTATTAGAAGCCAGATTAACACAACAGTTTTCAGGAATACAGCTACTTTGTAAAATAAAGAATACCTATGTTCAGTATTAACATAATTTAGGATTAAAATCCCAGGATACTTTTCTGTTAGCATAATATATCTCTTAGAAATTCTCTGGTACTTGAAGAGCAGTACAGCTGCTCTGGACTTCATCCAACTTAAGCTAATATCTCTATAATTCTTTATACAGCTAATAAAGTCTCTGGAGTTTTCTCACTGTGATTAAATGCTAGCAAAGACCTTGCCAGAGCCACTTAGCAAAGAACTGGCATGGTAGGCTTCTAGTAACTGAGTGGCCACAGGCAGTCATAGCAAAGATGAGAATCAAGTTCTGTGGAAAATATGTCACATCTGAAAAGAGTCGGTGCTGATTTCTGGCATTGCAGATTCTGCAGCCAAGGCGTCCCCTGTGCAGTGTTTGCTGAAGGTAAATGGAATGTATCACTGCTGCCTCGTTTTCCAGTTTTAATTTATGCTGCTCCTCTAGAGAACTATAAGAGTTTTTATTTTTCTCCCTTTACAAGAAAAATCAAGTAACTCACTCACCCCACAAATTATTTGGAATATGAAGAATCAGTGATGCAAAGCAAAACGTTTTCCATACAAATACTGTCAATGTCCCCTTTCCCTTTAGAATAGAACATGTTTTGATAAATTATAATTCTGGCAAAGTCTTCTCCTCTGGACTTTAGAGTGGGGAGTAGGAAGTCAGATTCCATCAAGCCAAAAGGAGATCTGGGTTGCTGCTATTCCATGTCTGATATTCACAGACGGTTGGGAATGGTCATTTCCTAAGGTTTTCTTCCGTTTGAGAAGGCCCGCTGGCCTCAGCAGTCAGCACGTTCAGGGCTGGATCAGCTGTGAGGGTTTCTGTTGCAGCTGACACCTGACTGTTAACTTCACCTGAGAACCAGAGCTCTGGGTGTCGTTTTGGCAACTAGTCAGTCCATAGCAAGGTTAATAACCAAGAACGGAGTCAGAAAGCCCAGATCAGCCAGACACCTGCTGAATCTACAGCTCTTCATGGGAGCATAGCCTTGGGATCTCAGACCTAAGTGACAAAGTGATTGCCAGGGAATATGCAAGGCGAAGTCAGAAGTGAAAAGAAACATGTCTTGGAACAGCTTATCCCAGCATCTCCTGGTCTGACCCATCTTGTCACAAGCAAGGTCAAGAGAGGGTAACCCTCTTGATACACTCTCTCTTTACATTTCAAAAATATTTACTATGGACTAACAAAACCTATAAGTATACCAGGAATACAAAGATAAATGAGAGACTTTCAAAGCTAAAAATTGTAGATTGGACATAAATACCTTCTTTCACTCCCTCCTAAGACCTTAGTAAAACAAGAATAAAACAATTTTGTCTCTTATGGACATAAACCTACAACAATGGGCTATCAGAAGCAGAGACAAAAGTAAACTTTTTTTTTTTTTCTTTTTAGAGACCAGGTCTAGTTCTGTTGCCCAGGCTGGAGTGCAGTGGTGCAATCATAGCTCACTGCCAACTCAACCTCCCAGACTCAAGCAATCCTCCCACCTCAGCCTCCTGAGTAGCTGGGACTACAGGCATGTACCACCAGTCCTGGCTAATTTTTAAATTTTTTGTAGAGAAGGAGTCTTGTTATGTTACCCAGGCTGGTTTCAAAATTCTGGGCTCAACCAAGTTTCTCACCTCAGCCTCCCAAAGGGCTGGGATCACAGGCGTGAGCCACCGTGCCCGGCCCAACAGCCTTTTTGAAACTGGAAAGCTGACGCACAGCAGTGAACGACTTAGCAGACAAGAGAAGGCTGAGTGTTAAGCAGGAAGCAGGAAGGCCACAGGATTCCCAAAAAGCTTAGAACTCAGTGACAGGAGCTACTTTTGGAAGTGGAGGTGAACGTGTGGTTAAAACTAGGCAATTGGTTAAAAATCAATTTAAAAAACAGGCCTAGAAACAGTGACCACACCTCAAGCAATGATTATCCCTAGCACTCAGATTATGTTCTTGAAATACCATTTTCTGCTTTCAAAAGAAAGACATGAGGGCTTCTTGAAGAAATGGCTGATACCAAGCCTGCAGTGAAAAATGCACATGATGAGCCTGGAACATGTTGTCATATGAGTTAAAAAGGAAGCTATGAAAAACTATGAAGGCCATGTGAACAAGATCAGGGG
This sequence comes from Homo sapiens, assembly GCF_000001405.40. Taxonomy (NCBI): domain Eukaryota; kingdom Metazoa; phylum Chordata; class Mammalia; order Primates; family Hominidae; genus Homo; species Homo sapiens. Next base: position 27,852,481 of record NC_000008.11, on the reverse strand, counting down.
CCAGCTTGGAAAGGTTCCCATGGCCAAACACATTACAGCGAATGTCAGTGAGGATGAGAGTTGCAATGAATTAAAATCCATCAAATCTATTGAAATCCATGTATTCAAAATGATGCCATTTTTAAAACCTAAGTGATCTCCTTTGGAGGATGATTTGGAACTAATTCATTATTTTGAAAACTAGTAAATACATGGAAAAAAATTGAAGCATTAGCTAAGTGTGGTGGCACGTGCCTGTAGTTCCAGCTACTCCAGAGACTGAGGCACGAGAATTGCTTGAACCCAGGAGATGGAGGCTGCAGTGAGCCAGGATCATGCCACTGCACTCTAGCCTGAGCGACAGTGAGACCCTGTCTCAACAACAAAAACAAAAGCATATAAATGGCATAACTCTGTCACAAAATAGTAGTGGAAAGGAAATGAATCAAGAAAGAACTGACAGAATTAAAATATCATTTTGTAGCCTTCAATAAATTAATGGATCTAGTAAATTTAAGCATCAATAACTACTAATTTAAAAAGGCAGACAACCAGACATTCTGTACACCTTGATGATAAAAAGTGTACTATCATCTATTGTTTAATTCATGAATCCAGGTGGAATATATATATATATCTCTAAAGTGTTCACTGTATATTCTTTCAACTTTTCTAATTTTTTAATTTAAAAAATGTTTAATTTACTCTTTATATTATTATGTCAATACTATTCACAGGTGAACTATGTAGTGAATATAATTATTTTTCATTTCTTGTACATTTACTCACCATTGAGTTAATAGTCATCAATTTTTTGTTTTGTTTTCTGCACGCTTACTTAATTCAACCCAAAATGCTTTACCATTATCTAAATCTTCATTCAAGCATTCAGATACATCAAGTACCTTATCTATTTCATCTCCTATGGTTATATACTGATTTTTTAGTTTTAGGTATTATCTATTGAAACTTCCCACTAAGGAAGAGAAGGAGTTATTACTTTCCTCCATCACCCTAATATACATATGCACCCTTCCAGAACTCCATTTTCCAAATATTTTTAGTTAGGAAAATAGCAATGACCAAGAGTACAGGCAATGCTCAGAACCAAACAGGCCTGCCCTAACAAAGCATCACTCCAAGCCTAATAGTATGATCTCTGGCCAAATGAGATTAAATTATAAATCACTAATTCTAAGATACTGAAAAAATGCCCTCAAATATTTGGAAATTAAAAATTATATTTATGTTCTAGCAAACCTACTCTGAGTATGTATCCAAAGGAATTAAAGTCAATGAAGCGATATCTGCACTCTGATGTTGATTGCAGCATTATTCATAATAGCCAAGATATGGAATCAACCTAAGGGTCCACTGATGAATGAATGGATAAAGAAAAGGTGGTAATATATACACAATTGAATACTATTCAGCCATAGAAAAGAAGGAAATCCTGTCATTTGCAACAAGATAGATGAACGTGGAAGATGTTATGCTGAGTGAAATGAGCCAGGTGAAAAAAGACAAATACTGCATGATGTCACTTATATGTTGAAGCTAAAAAAGTTGAACTCCTAGAAGTAGAGAGTAGAATGATGGTTATGAGAGGCTGAGAGGGTGGGGGTGGGAGAGAAGGAAAGCGAAGTAGTTGGCCAAAAGGTATAAAGTTTCAGTTAGACAAGAGAAATACATTTTGAGATCTATTGCACAGCAGGGTGACTGTAGTCAATATTAATGTATTGTATCCTCTAAAAGAGTAAACTTCAGATGTTTTGCCACAAAAAATGATAAGTAAATGAGGTGCTGCCTATGTTTATTAATTTATTCCATGTTGTATAATACATATATCAAAATATCACTTTGTATCCCATACATGTATACAATTATGACAATTAAACCTATTAATTTTAAAATTATATTTATAAGTAACTCTGCATCAAAAAATCACAAGAGAAATTAGAAAATAGTTTGAACTAAAATATAATGAAAATGCAATATGCCAAAATTTGTAAAGCCACTAAAGCAATACTTCAAAGGAATCTATAGCTTTAAATGCTCATATTATAAAAGAAAAGAGGTTTAAATCAATTATCCAAATCTCCACTGTAAGAAGCTGGTGACAGAGGGAAGGGAAGCAAATTAAATCCAAAACAAATAGAAGGAAGAAAATAACAAGGATAAAACTATCTTTCGTCACAGATGACATAGTTGTCTATGTAGAAAATCTGTAAAAATCTTAAAAAAAAAAAAAAAAAAAAGGCCAGGTGCAGTGGCTCACGCCTGTAATCCCAGCACTTTGGGAGGCCGAGGCGGGCGGATCACCTGAGGCCGGGAGTTCGAGACCAACCTGACCAACATGGAGAAACTGTCTCTACTAAAAATACAAAATTAGCTGGGCATGGTGGTGGGTGCCTGTAATCCCAGCTACTCAGGAGGCTGAGGCAGGAGAATTGCTTGAACCCAGAAGGTGGTGGTTGCGGTGAGCTGAGATAGTGCCACTGTACTCCAGCCTGGGCAAAAAGAGTGAAACTCCGTCTCAAAAAAAAAAAAAAAACAACCAAACTCCTGGAACCAAGAAGGAATTATAGCAAGATTTCAAGACACAAGGTTAATATACAAAAATCAATTGCTTTCCTATATACCAGCAATGAACAAGTGGAATTTGAAGTTAAAAACACAGTATCATTTACATTAGCACTCTCCCAAATGAAATAAATTCTGTATAAGTCTAAAAAATATATACAAGATCTATATAGGGAAAACTACAACACACATGAAATAAAGAACTAAATAAATGGAGAGATATTCCATGTTCATGGAAAGGAAGACTCAATATTGCCAAGATGTCAGTTCTTCCCAACTTTATAAATTCAATACAATCTCAATCACAATTTTAGCAAGTTATGTTGTAGATCTCAACAAACTTATTCTAAAATTTACATGGAGAGGCAAAAGACCAGAACAGTCAACATAATAGACTGAAAAGACAAAATTGGAAGACTGACAATACCTAACTTTTTTTTTTTTTTTTTTTTTTTTGAGACAGAGTCTCACTCTGTCACCCAGGCTGGAGTGCAGTGGTGCAATTTCGGCTCACTGCAACCACCACCTCCCAGGTTCAAGCAATTCTCCTGCCTCAGTCTCCTGAGTGGCTGGAACTACAGGCACGTGCCACCACACCCAGCTAATTTTTATATTTTTAGTAGAGACGGGGTTTCGCCATGTTGGCTAGGCTGGTCTCGAACTCCTGACTTCAGATGATCTGCCTGCCTTGGCCTCCCAAAATGCTGGGATTACAGGAGTGAGCCAGCATGCCTGGCCAACACCACCTAACTTCGATACTTACTATAAAGCTACAATAATCAAGACAGTGTGCTATTGGTGAAATAATAGACAAATTGATCAACAGAACAAAATAGAAAGCCCAGATGTAGAACCACACAGATATAGTCAACTGATTTTTTTCCAAAGGAGCAAAGGTGATACAATGGAGCAAGGACAGTCTTTTCAGTAAGTGGTGCTGGAATAACTGGACACTCATATGCAAAAAAATATGAATCTAGACACAGGCCTTACACCCTTCACAAAAATTATCTCAAAATGGATCACAAACCTAAATGTAAGATGTAAAACTAAAACTCGTAGAAGATAACACAGGAGAAAACTTAGATGACCTTGGGTATAACGTTAACCTTTTAGATCCTTGATACTTACCCGAAAGAGTTGAAAACTTATGACAACACACAAACCTACACATGAACGTTTATACCAGCTTCATTCATTCATAACTACCAAAACTTGAAAGCACTTAAGATGTCCTTCAGTAGGTGAATGTTACATCCAGACAATGGAATATTATCCAGTGCTAAAAAGAAATTAGTTATTGAGCCTTGAAAAGACATGGAAGAAACTTAAATGTATAGCACTAAGTGAAAAAGGCTAAAAAAGGGTACATAATATATGACTGCAACTATATGACACTCTGGAAAAGGGAAAACTATGGAGACCGTAAAAAGGTCAGTAGTTGCCAGGGGTTTCTGGGGAGAGAGAGATGAATAGGTAGAGCACAGAGGATTTTTAGGGCAGTGAAACTACTCTGTGTGATATCATAATGTTGAATACATGCTATTATACATTTATTTAAATGCACAGAATGTACAACACCAAGAGTGAACCCTAAGGTAAACTATAGACTTTGGGTAATACTAATATATCAGTGTAGGTTTATCAGTTGTAACAAATGCACCACTCTGGTGGGGGATGTTGATAATGGGGAAGGCTGTGCATGTGGAGGGCAGAAAGTATATAGAAATACCATCTTTTCTGCTCAATCTTGCTATAAAGTTAAAACTGCTCTAAGAAAATAAAGTGTTAGAAACTAACCATTAAAAATGTTAAATTGGATTTCATTAAAATTAAATCTTTTAGTGCAGTGGCCCAGCACTTTGGGAGGGCAAGGCAGGCAGATCAACTGAGGTCAGGAGTTCAAGACCAGCCTAGCCAACATGGCAAAACCCCATCTCTACTAAAAATATAAAAATTAGCCAGGGATGGTGGTGCATGCCTGTAATCTTGGCTACTCAGGAGGCTGAGGCAAAAGAATTGCATGAACCCTGGAGGCGGAGGATGGAGTGAGCTGAGATCATGCCATTGCACTCCAGACTCCAGCCTAGGTGACAGAGCAAGACTCTATCTCAAATTAAAAAAAAAAAAAAGTCTTCTGTTGGTCAAAAGATGTCAAGAAAATCAAAAGGCAAGCTACAGACTGGGAGAAAATATTTCCAATCACATACAAAGGAGTTGTGTACACAGTCATGTATTGTGTGTGTACTTATCAATTATACACATAAAATCTATGCGTTTCATTGCATGTGAATTTTGACTCAATACAAATTAAATATATTACATTTTTCAAAATAGATTTTTTTTTTTTTGACGGAGTCTTGCTCTTGTTACCCAGGCTGTAGTGCAGTGTCGTGATCTCGGCTCACTGCAACCTCCGCCTCCCAGTTCTAGCGATTCTCCTGCCTCAGCCTCCCGAGTAGCTGGGACTACAGTTGTGTGCCACTATGCACACACACTAATTTTTTGTATTTTTAATAGAGACAGGGTTTCACCATGTTAGCCAGGATGATCTCGATTTCTTGACCTCATGATCCGCCCGCCTCAGCCTCCCAAAGTGCTGGGATTACAGGTGTGAGCCACCGCACCTGGCCCCAGATAGGATTTTTTTTTAAAGGAACTTATAGCAGGTGCAAAATGATATGCCTTGAGTCTTGATCCAACCTGGAATTTTCAACTATATTCTATTATTCTCTTAGAGTTTTAGCCTAACCACAGTGTGAACTCAGAGGCATGGTATAGCTTGGTAGATACTCTTCCTAGCTTCCTTTCTTTTTGGTTCTCTGCCTGTTCCTGCCACAGAGGAGCAATATCTAGGAAAGCACTTTTGGCCTTTCTCTTTTGACCATATTGCAGTACCCTTCTTGAGGGACCAAACTTTTGTTTTGGCAAGAGGCTTCTAATGACTTCACAAACTCTGCTACTGATTCTACCCCATAAATGCTGGGGTAGAATTGGTTTTGTTCTTTACAGTCCACTTCGACTGGCCAGTGTCATCCTTCTTGATCTATCACCGGGATTACCACAATTTCCCATTACCTGCTCCCACCAATAATCACAGGGAGATTTCTCCATCTAACATGATTCTGATCATGTCACTGTCTTGCTTTAAATCCTTCTGTGACTCCCTAAGACCTACAAAATGAAGTTCAAATTTCTACACCAGAAAAGGCCATGGTCTGGCCTCTTCCTATTTCCCCAGTTACTTTTCCTTGCCTTATTATTGTCTTCCTTGAGACAGGAACTTTCTCTGCAACCCAGGCTGGAGTGCAGTGGCATGGTCACAGCTCACTGCAGCCTCAACCTCATCAGCCCAAGTGATCCTCCTACCTCAGCTTCCTGAGGAGTAGCTGAGACTAAAGGTGTGTGCTCCCATGCCCACCTAATTTCTTAAATATTTTTTATAGAGATGGGGTCTCCCCATGTTGCCCAGGCTGATCTTGAACTTCTGAGCTCAAGTGATCCTCCCATTTCAGCCTCTCAAAGGGCTGAGATTACAGCAGTGAGCCACCGCACCCAGCCTTCCTTGCTCTTTACTGTTCAAAGATTGTGCATCTTTTGTCATGCCTCTACCCATCCTATCCTCTTGCCTGGTGAGCCCTGCCCTGCCCTTGTGCCCATGAAACAGGATCATCATGCAAACTTGTCATACTTCAAGACCCAAGTCAATGAAATCTTGCAGGACACCCCCAGCACAGTCAGGCTCACTATCATCCATTATCTCTTTGACACATTGTATTGCATCCATTTGCTAAGTAGTCTGAATGCTCCCTGAAAGCAAGTTTTTTTTTTATCTTTTCATTTTTTTTAACATCCAGCACTTAGCTCAGGTTCATTTTTTCAAGAGATAAATAAGAGAATGAGGGAGGGAATTGAATGAGTTTTCCCACTTTTGGAGTTTTCTTGAGCAATCCATAAAATGCAAATGCAATCTCTCCTCCCACACACAGGGAACAGACTCATCAAAGTCTTCCTAGTTCAGGCTTACAATTTAAAAATACAAACATATGTCTCATTCACCATAGCAGCCATCTAATGAGCTCTATGCCTAGCTTGGGACTGTTCTTTGATTGAGGGCTGCTAAATTTATGCTGAGAATATTAATAGGTGCATGAAGGGGCATAGGTATTAGGGCCTTAGGAGGCCCTTCCCTTCTGATATCCACCTACCCCTTATGCCTGAGGAACAAGTTTCTTTTGGTTTGCTTTTTCGTTTTTCACAGGGTCTCGTTCTATTACCCAAGCTGGAGTGCAATGGTACAATCACAGCTCACGATAGCCTCAAACTCCCTGGCTCAAACAGTCCTCCCACCTCAGCCTCCCAAGCAGCCAGCGCTACAGGCATACGCCGTCATGCCTGGCTTTTTTTTTTTTTTTTTTTTTTGTAGAGATAGGGTCTCACCATGTTGCCCAGGCTGATCTTGAACTCCTGGCCTCAAGTGATCCTCCTGCCTTGGCCTCCCAAGGCTCTGGGACTGCAGGCATGAGTCACCATGCTCAGCTAATTTTTTTTCTAATTTTTTTTTTTTTTTTTTTGGAGAGACAGGGTCTAGCTATGTTGCCCAGGCTCATCTCTAATTTCTGGCCTCAAGCAATCCTCCCACCTCACCCTCCCAAACTGCTGGGATTACAGTCATGAGCCATTCTGCCTGGCCAATTATTTTTTTTAATTAAAAAACAAACAAACAAACTGAGTGTGTCACGTTGCTGAAAAAGCTCTGGGCTTGTTCTCATGCCTCAGCTTCATGGGTTCTAAAGTGACCAACTTCTCCATTTAACTATCTTCCCTAAGGAAAGGGTCTGAACCAATGATTTTCAGATGTCCTGAGAACATCCGGCTTATTTTTCTTCACCCAGTATGTTTATGCTGCTGTTGTCTTAGTGGCAGGATAATTTCAAACCGCATCCAGTGTGCAGGAGGATTTCCATTCCCTCTAAGTTCCTGACCACCCTATACATTCTAGATGGGTACTTAGTACTTAAAATATAAACCACCAAAAATTATTTCCTATTAATCACTGTATTGATTCACCCTAACATGTTGAGAATCAAGACAGTTTTTTTTTTTTTCTGATGGAGTTAAAAAGCAAAGAATATTGTGGAACAAAAACAATGACTGGGTGCTGAGATTGTGGCCAGATGTCAGGGCTGGCCCGGAAATCTTACACAATCACAGAGGATGGAAAACTCATCTTCCTTAGGCATTAAGTAGGCGTCTTCCCTTAGGGAGGGTTTGAGTTCCCTGCCACATCTTCCCAGTTCACTGGACCACAATGGAGGCAGGAACTCATCAATTACAGGCGACTCAGATCCCAGCACATTTTCCAAAGCACTTCTTGTTTTTCAAGCCCCGTATTCCCAGAACCAGCTAATTTCGCTTCTTATTGGGAGGTAGGAAAAGTCAGAAAACTGCAAATGGAAACCTTTAGCCATTGAGGATGAACAAAGCTGGTGGAGACCAGCCCTCCCTAGGTGGATGTGCAAAGGGTTCCTCCCCGCAAACCCCCACCCACCTTGCTCCACAGCTGCAGCTGCACCTCTCCCAGATGCCAGGGTCTGGACTCAGAGCTCCTCATCCCTTGGAATGACCTGGGTGATAGGAGCATCTGTTATACTGTCTGTAGGTGACTTTTGCTGGGCTGCTGAATGAGAGCTTGTCACCAGAACGACCAAGCCATGATCAGAAGCCTAGAACTTTCACCCCTACCCCTCATTCTCCAGGGAGGAGAGAGGGTCTAGCGATTGGGTTAATAATCAATCATGCCTTTGTGATGAAGCCTCCATTAACATCCCTAAAAGATGGAGTTCAGGGAGATTCCAGGTTGGTGAATGCATCCACGTGCCAGGAGGCTAGTGCACTCTAACTCTATGGGGACCTGTGCTGGGGACCCTTCTAGACCTTGCCCTATGCTGTACCTTTTCATCTGGCTGAAATATCCTCAGTAATAAATTGACAATAGTAAGTAAACTGTCTTCCTGGGTTCTGGGAGCTGCTCTAGCAAAATATTGAACCCAAAGAGGGGTTCATGGGAAGCTCCAATTTGTAGCCAAATCAGACAGAAGTTGTGGGTGTCCTGGGGACTTACTACTTGTGATTGGCATCTGAATTGGGGGCTGGTGTTGTGGGACTGAGCCCTTAACCTGTGAGGTCTGTGCTAACTCTGGTCTGTGTCAGAACTGAATTGAATTGTACGACACCCAGCTGGTGTGGGAAAAGTGGCTGGCATGGGAAAAAGTGTGCACATCTGGTCACAGAAGTGTTGAGTGTGAGTATAGAGAAAAACTGTTTTTCCACTATACACCTGCCCATTGCCAGGCAGGAGACTGGGACTGGGGGTGTTGGGTTCATGTTAGATTCAAGGACACCCATCATAGCTGTGATCCACGGATTGGGAGACCACCACTGCCACTGCAGGTGTCTTTCAAGACCCACAAAGTAAGTGACTAGACACAAGAATGTGGTTGCTGAAACCCTAAAAAAAAAACCCAAACCCCCAAACCCCCCCGCCCCCCCCCCGCCATCCCCCACCGAGCTGTGCTTGCCAGGGGAAACAGGCAAAGGGGCAGGAAAGGGATTCCATCTCATTTCTGCCTTCCAGGTTGCACCAAGTGCATCTCATTGAGAAGATCATAACGGAACCCTTTCGCTGTGTCCCTATGTGGGTGACAGACCTTCCCGGGCTCACTTTCCATCACATTTTTTTTTCTTCTCCCTTTGCTTTTTTTTAAATTTAAATTTTTAACTTTTTAGGGGTACACAGTAGGTGTATATATTTATGGAGTACATGTCCCTTTGCTTTTAAAAAGCTCTTCCCCTGTGGACTTAACACTACAGAAAAGTACCCAAAACAGAATGTCCAGCACAATGATTTATCAAAGCAAACCCTTGTGTAGCATCACTCAGGTGGGGAGCTAGAATGTTAGCACCCCAGGAGCCCCTCTCATTCTTCTCCTGATCCTTCCTACTTTCTTCCTCCAAAGTGATCATGAACCTGATTTTGATGGTAGTCACTTTGGTGGTGTTACCTTGTAATGTTTTTGTCAGTTAAGCATGAACTCCTAAATACTATGGCTTTGTTTTGCCTGTTTTGAGATTTATATGAATAGCATTATGCAATAGTGTATTCTTTTGCATGTAGCTTCTTTGCTGAACATTTTGAGGTTGATCCAAGTCTGTTGCTCGATGGCCTCATCTGAAGACCTAATGGCTTTGGGACACCTGAGAAGCACCCTAGGGATGTGTCAAGTTGATTGGTTGGATATACAGATGTAACAAGATAAAACCTTAACATTTTGATATTTTTCCTCTTCTTTCCTAAAAGTTCCCACCTAACCAATTGAAGTGGTGTCATTTTCTGGGGTAAATACCCGAGGCTCCTCATTTTACACAAGGAAATCGAATATGTGGACACACAAGAAGTGGCTTTAGGGGCAGAGATTTAATAGGCAAAAGAAAGAGAAAGGAGAACTGCTCTCTCTCCTGCAAGAGACAGGGGTGCCCTAGTGGGACTTCTGTCCCGTGGTGGAGTGCACAGGGTTTTATAGACAGGCTTGAGGAGGCAGTGTCTGATTTACATAGGGCCCAAGATTGGTTGGACCAGGTGGGACGTTTACATAGCTGGCCACCCACCCTAATCTTTTATAATGCAAATGGGGTTTCTACTTGGCCAATGCATGTTGCCTTCTCCTTACTGTGCACATGGTTGACAGGGAAAGGGATAGATGGAACCACCATGTTGGACATGCCTAGCCCCAGGCAGCCTTTTCCTACTGGCACAGCTGCCAGCATTCATCCAGGCAAGCTTCCAGTTTGCTTGTCTATGTCCGCAGCTCGATTTTACAGGCTGCTCTTTGTTAGAAAAGAAGATGATTTGGGGGCTGCTTTTCAAGAAAAGGAAAACCTTACTGAGGACTTCCTTACCCTCACTATCTGCCTAATTTCTTCTTAACTCCTATATCACAATTGGCAGCATTTACCTAGCTTCAAAGAGAATTAAAATGCAATAGCAGTAAAAAAGAGAGAAAAAAAGTTAATTTTCTTTTTCATTTTCAAACTAGGCCCTTGAAAATCAAAAGGTGAGGTCCTGCATGGACCAGAAGTTAGAGTTTATGCCGTAAAAAGATGACAGTGCCGATGTTTCTTTGGGCTCAGGCAGCCAAGAGTCAGAATTGTGGGCTCTTTTGCTAAACCAAGGAAACCAGGCCATTTATACACTGAAATAAATAATGATCTAGGTTGCAAGCTATTTTCCATGACAACTGACTAGTATGCAAGATTTTGAGTTCATGGTTGCATTTCACAAATGATAACACTGCACTTGTGAAGTTCAGATGTTTCTGTGGCTAATCTCTGGAGGCAGTTTTATGATTAGAAGATGGGGAACAGGATGGTTATGAGTAAGGCTTTACACCAGTGCCTTCTCTCTCATGCATGCTTTTGGCCTCATCTTATACCTGCATCGATAACCTCATCTCCCTGGAGTTTCTTTTCACTAGCAATGGTTAATTATGAAGCTTTCAGGCTCTGGCTTTAGGCAGGATTTTATTAGCCAGTAAGAGTAGAAAATAGGCTTGTAAAAATGTAGGACTTCATAAAAAGTATAGAACACTATAGATCTTTAAAGAAAAGGTGGTGAGGTCTATAATATAATGCCTGCAGAAGAAAATTAGAATGAGAGTTGAGAGAGAGAGAGGTGAGACACTGTGCTTCTATGCTTGAAAGAGGGTGACCAAAAATGGAAAGGCCCCAGAGGTGGAGGGGTGTGCGTGTGTGTGCACACATGTGTAATGTGGAAGAGATTTTAAGCACATTTGTTAAAGAGGAAGTCTAAGGGCAACATGGTTTCGAATTGCGGCTCTACCAATTGTTAAATCCTGTGACTTTAGGCAAATTACTTAACATTTCTGTGCCTCAGTTTCCTCATTTGAAAAATGGAGTTTATAATCATAGTAACCTACATCATAGAGTTATGAAGATTAAATGAGCTAATACATGAAACAAGACCTGACATACAATAAATACTAAATAAGTATTTGCTATTATTGTTATTGTTTGATTTGGAAGAAAAATGACTATTAAAGGGGGTGAAGGTAAAGACTTAGGAGAGGAGGAGTGATTTGGTTAAGTTTCCTTAGCCCCCATCCCCTGCCTCCTCCTGAGACGGGCTAAGGAAGCTTAGGGATGCTGAAAGATTGGACTTTGAAGGGTAGAAGTAGGTGCTCTATAAATGTGTTTTTTTTTAATTGATGAAGGACAACTTTATTATTTTACACTTAAAAGCTGATGAAAAACCATTACTTATCCTATTAAAGAAAATCTAATATTTCAATTGAAAATAGAGTATACTCATGAAATATTATTTAAGTTTTCTAAAACACAACTTGAAAGCATCCAGCATGCATGATTAATTTCAGTACAGTGAATTCAAGGTCAAGTATACATGTTACATACATCAAAGCTAGATTACAAATTATCGTCCTCATCATCATCATTATCATCTTCTTCATGTTTTTTTTTCCATTGGCAGTAGTTTGTGATGACACCATATTAGTGTAATAAGAATGCCTCTGGACCATTCGTGATGGATTAACCAGAACATTCTGAATTGCTGATGTTACAGGAATTCACGCTTCACAGGGCAATGTGAAGCAGACATCTACACTGTAAACCTTTGCCTTGTGAGGGACATTTGAGTCCTTACTTTAGTTGCCACAAACATGGTTTGGGGGGTGGTGTGCCTAGTGTGTGAACACCTGGTCGGCTAGTAACTGAACCAACATTTAATCTGGGTGAGACAGAAATAATGCAGGGTGTTCACAGGAGAATAAAAACTCCAGACAGCAGTTTCCCATGAGTAGGGGTTATGGGCTGATGAACCCCTGAAAAACAGGGTGTGCACCAAGCTGGCTAAGACCAACTAGACCCAAAGTGGTGCTGGATTTGACCTAGGTTTCACCTAGGACCTCATTATATGCTCATTAACACACTAAATCACACCCACCAGCGCAATGACAGTTCTGGGAACACCCATATTTGGTGTAAAAACGAGTGGCACCACAGTTCCAAGAAATCTCCATCTTTTTCCAAGAATTGTCATAAATATTCCACCCCTTGGTTGAAGAAACCCATACAGAGAGAAACCGCACACCCCACTGTGTGACTCTCTTGAGTACGCCCGCAATCCCCTTTCTTAAGTGTGTACTTTTTCCCTTTGCAACAAATCTCCATACTTTCACTATTTTCCAACTCATCCTTGAATCCATTCTCAAGACGGTGTCAAGAGTCTGGACACCTGCGGGGGTCCAGGACCCACCGGCATTTGAGGACCTCCCCTGGCCCACTGATATCATGGGGACTGTTATTCTTCCCTCAGACGTAGATGCCTTTTTCTGTAAAGACTTAAGCCTGTATGTATGAGACAGAAGTTTGGCAGGACTGATTTCACAAGATAGAGGTCACAAAGACCCCCACTGATAAAACAGATGCAGTAAAGAGGGTGGCCCAAACCCACCAAAACCAAGAGGGCACCCCATAGGGGGCCACTCAGCGTTCCCTTTCCTGGCACACCAGGGTTGGAAAAACCACTCCAGGCAAAGAACCCGGATCAAGATTGAGACTGAAATCCACTAGTGGATGACCTCTGGTCATCCTCACTGCTCATTACAGGCTAATTATAATGATTTAGCTGCCGAAAGACACTCCCCCTGAGTGCCATGACGGTTTACAAATGCTATGGCAACCCGGGGAACTTATTACCCTACATGGTCTAAAAGGAGGAGGAACCCTCAGTTCCAGAAAATCCCCAGGGCCTTCTTGTAAAACTCATGAATAATCCATCCTCTATCTAGCATATGATCAAGAAATAACGGTAAAAATAGCCCATCTGCAGCCCTCCAGGCTGCTCTGCCTGTGGAGTAGCCACTCTTATTCCTTTACTTTCTTAATAAACTTGCTCTCATTTTACTCTATGGGGCTGCTCTCGAATTCCTTCCTGCTCCAAGCCAGGTGGCCTCTGTGGCTGTACCCTAGTTTTGGGGTTTTCCCTGCAACATATAGTTTGGAGCTGTTAAGCAATATCTATTGGGTGGCATTCTAGGACTTGAATACGGCTTGATCAAAGGCGAAGGGGTTTGATTTCTTTGCCTTGCAATATCTAATAAAAATCTCTTGGGGCGGAGAGGTAAAAAAAAACTGGTCGGCGCACACTGGATTGCAATTGCACACCAGTAGCTTTCTTAGCATGGCTTGAGTAAATTTTTGCATCATCCAGAACTGTGGTCACATAGGGGAAGGCAAACTCCAACATGTGATTTATACGTCTTGGCTCATATTCTTTGATCCCCACGACCCTCAGGACCTGCGCCATCCTCGGGGGATGCCTCAGGGCACATCTTCCTGGGGAGAAGCCCTGATCAGAGTTGCGGGGCTTTGTCACCTACATTAATGGATTCCAGTCCCGATCTTGATGCAAGTTCTTTGCTTACTGTGGTTTTTCTAACCCTTGGTGTACCTCGAAACAGAAATGAGCGGCCCCACAAGCGGTACCCCCTGCCCTGAGCTCTGGGCCCCTGGTCTGCCCCACGGCCCATCCCCTCCTGGGGAGCAGATGTTCCTAAATAATCGTTGAATAAATTAAAGAATGTTGAATTGAATGTGGCAATTACATGAGTTAGCAACATTTCTAAATATCTTTTTTTTCCCTCGGCTAAAGATGATTGTTCCTTAAGCTACGCATTTGTCTTTACAGTGTTTCAAGGCCTCATAAACCTATAATAAAATTGACGTCATAATCACGACACATTCAACACAGATGTGAGCGTTTGGAGAGAGCTTCAGCCTTCAGCACAGGCAACTGTGTTCTATTCACCGGGCTGTGCTCCTCGGAAGGGCTGGTGGTTCCTGTAAAAGTTTGTGCTCCCCGCGCCTTTCCTTCCTTCCCTCGTCTTTGGCGCCTGCGGGCACCGGGAGTCCTGGGAGAGGGAGGAGGAACGGCGAATCGGCGGGGCGTGTCCTTCACGCCGCCCCGTAGCTCGGGGCCGAAGCTGGCGCAGCGCGCGACTTTTTGAAAGCCAGGAGGGTTCGAATTGCAACGGCAGCTGCCGGGCGTATGTGTTGGTGCTAGAGGCAGCTGCAGGGTCTCGCTGGGGGCCGCTCGGGACCAATTTTGAAGAGGTACTTGGCCACGACTTATTTTCACCTCCGACCTTTCCTTCCAGGCGGTGAGACTCTGGTAAGAGGAGCTTTTTTTTTGCGAGCCCTGGCGGGGGCCGAGCCCGGAGCCGAGGCCTCTGCGGGGGCTTTCGTGACAGGGGAGGATCTGGTTACAGCCAAAGAAGGATTTTGGCAGCCAGCCCCTTGTGAGCCCCTGGATTGGGGTAAACAGTCTGACCTCCACCCCCGAACCCTGCTGAGCGTGTGAGATGCAGAGGACCTGAGAGTCATGCGGCCCACACTTTCTCTTTGCTTCCCCTTGGAGTTTCTACATCTACTTTGTTTCTCTTTTCTCCTTTACTTTTTCTCTCATTCTTTTAATTTTCCGTTTTCTGCTGCCCGTCCGCGTCGTAGCTTTGTCAGTAGTGTCCAGGTATTTGTTGAGTCCCAGGGTCCCAGGCTTAGGGCCCAAAGGTCACTGACGTTTGACCCGGTAAATCTGTAGATTAGCTTGCTTGAGCGCTGCTCACTTTAATGCTGCCTCTTAAACAGTACTTGATTGTTAAAAATATCTTACGTATTCCACAGAGTATGAAATTCTGCTCACGGTCATCCTACTGCCATTTCTAATTTATCTTCATCTAAATATTCACTGTTTTTTTTGCTGTCATCTTCATGAGAACCTTGTGATTTAGAATTAGTATGGTTATTTAACAATTAATGTTAAGAATGCATATACAATACATAACATAATCTGAAGCAGAGTCTGGGCTACTGGCCAAAAGCTATCTGTCAGCAGTTAATGCCTAAACCTGAGTGTGCAGTCTGGAAAAAAGTGGCCCTCAGACAACTGTGAAATGGATAGGACATGGTACATTGAGGTGCAAATAGCTTAGAGTAGAAGGTGGGACTCAGTCGTAAGAGAACATAATGAAATGTTACGACTTCTGTTTAAACCTAGTTGTTTTTAGAGATAGGTTTTCTTTTTTAAAACGTGCTGCTTCTGAATATCAAATCCTCCGTAGAGTGAGCGGGAAAAGGCAGTGAGACTCATAAGGCTCATCATAAGATTTCCAGGACACTCTACGCGCCAGGGTTTTCTGCATCCTACTTTGTTGGCACCTCCTTGGTTGCTTTGTTTTTCATTTCTCATGCTTGGATGCCCTAGGGCTCACCCCTCTTCTCTCTACAGTTACTCCCTAGATGATCTTACCTAGTCTCTTGGCTTTAATAACGTCTGCGTGCTGCCATCCCACAAACTTAAATCTTCAGCTTGCATTCTAGATCCGTATCCACCCACCTATTTGACTCCTCCACAAAACTCTCCAACAGCTTTCTGTTTCTCAGTACAAGCTGAAATCTTGACTGTGACTACAGTTGAGTAGAAGTCACAGTCCTGTGGCTACAATGCTCTACTTGACTTGCCAGTCCCTACCCTCAGCCTCCCTGACTTTGTCTCATTCTCCCCCTTGCTAGCTCGCCTCTTCGTGAAGATTTCTGCCTCAGGTCTTTGTATTTCTTGTCCTCTCTCTGGAAGACTTTCACTAGATACTTGCTTGGGCCTGCTCCCTCACTTCCTTCAAATGAGTTTCTCAAGGAGACCTTTCTTGACCACTTTAAACTCAAATATTAAGCCCCTTCCCAAGGCCTTCTGCTCCCTTCACTGATATATATTTCCCCTGAAATAGTATATGTTTATCTTCATACTTGTTTGGGTCTTGTTTGCTGCTCTATTTCCAGAGTGTAGAACAGTGCACTGTTAGAGCACATGGTATGTGCTCGAACAGTGCACTGTTAGAGCACATTGTATGTGCTCAGTGTGTGCATATTGACTGAGTGAATGAAGAGTAGCTTCACATAGGTAGATAGAAATCTTAGAAGAAGCTGGATGTGGTGGCTCACGCCTGTAATCCCAGCACTCTGGGAGGCCAAGGCGGGTGGATCACCTAAGGTCACGTTTGAGGCCAGCCTGACCAATATGGTGAAACCCCATCTCTACTAAATACAAAAAATTAGCCGGGCATGGTGGCACATGCCTATAATCCCAGCTACTTGGGAGGCTGAGGCAGGAGAATTGCTTGAACCTGGGAGGCAGAGGTTGCAGTGAGCCGAGATTGCACCATTGCACCCCAGCCTGGGCAACAAGAGCAAAACTCTGTCTCAAAAAAAAAAAAAAATCTTAGAAGATCTCTGAGGTGCCACATCACAGCATCCCATGGGGAAAGATAACACAGATGGAAGAAGGGGAGTCAGAATGACATGGGGAAATTATTTCCGAAGTAGAAATACCTCCTGCAACCCACTCTGCTAAATAGTTTATCCTTTCCCAAAGTTCTGAAACTGGTTTCAGAAATTCTGCTGTTCCTACCGTCAAGTTAAATGGGTCACTTCATAAAATTATTATACTCTTGACAAACACATGTAAAGGGGCTCTTCGGTGTTCTCAGGACAGGTAAATCTGAAGACAATAGTGATTGTAGCTACATTTTAAACAAGATGAACAAGCTTGTCATTAATAGTTAAAGCTGGGCCTTTGAGATGATTTTCTTCCCCTTAGTACAGTTTTTAAAGATGCTATTATTAAGGGCTCTATAAAAAATTTAAGCAAATCTGTCTGCCTCCCAACTTTTTATAGACAAATGAGCTTATAGACATGTAGGAACAGTTTTGCTTTATAATAAATAAATCTAATAGGAAACCTAATTTTTTAAAAAGAAATATAATTTTTAAAATAAAAAAATTCTTAAATATGTTACGAAGAAGTAAACACATTGAGTTGCTTTGTTTATATATGTGGTATGTACATTTTCTTTTCTTCCGTTCTTTTTTTTTTTTGAGATGGAATCTTGCTCTTTTGCCCAGGCTGGAGTGCAGTGGCACGATCTCTGCTCACTGCAACCTCCGCCTCCCAGGTTCAAGCGATTCTTCTGCCTCAGCCTCCTGAGTAGCTGGAATGACAGGTACACGCCACCACACCTGGCTAATTTTTTTGTATTTTTAGTAGAGACGAGGTTTCGCCATGTTGGCCAGGCTGGTCTTGAACTCCTGATGTCAACTGATCCGCCTGCCTTGGCCTCCCAAAGTGCTGAGATTACAGGCGTGAGCCACCATACCCGGCCTCATTTTATTTTCATAGACAATTTTTATAACCATTTATTGAGATAATTAATGTATCATAAAAATCCACCTTTTGAAAGTGTAAAATTCAATAGTTTCTAGTATACTCAGAGATGAATATATTAAACCATTATCTGGTTTTAGAACCTTTTCTTCACCCCAGAAAGAAATCCCATACCCACTGGCAGTCATTCTGCATTCTTTGTCTCCCAGTCCTTAGTAACTATTCAGCTATTTTTGTCTCCATGATTTGCCTATTCTGGACATTTCCTAAAAATGGGATCATTGGACGGGCACGGTGGCTTATGCCTGTAATCCCAGCACTTTGGGAGGCCCAGGCGGGCATTATCACAAGGTCGGGAGTTCGTGACCAGCCTGGCCAATATGGTGAAACACCGTCTCTACCAAAAATATAAAAATTAGCCAGGTGTGGTGGTGGGCGCTGGTAGTCCCAGCTACTCAGGAGGCTAAGGCAGGAGAATTGCTTGAACCTGGGAGGCAGAGGTTGCAGTGAGTCGAGATCATGCCACTGCACTCCAGCCTGGGCGACAGAGTGAGACTCCATCTAAAAAAAAAAAAAAAAAAGGATCATCATATATGTAGCCTTTATGTGTCTGGCTTCTTTCATTTAGTATAATGTTTTCAAGGTTCATTCTTGTATATATCAGCACTTTATTCCTTTTTATGACTGAATAATATTCCATTGTATAGATATGCCACATTTTGTTTATCCATTCATCATCTGATGCAGAGTTCTGTTGTTTCTGCCTTTTGGCTGTTATGAATAATGCTGCTTGAACAGTTTCCTTAAAGGATATAAGAGAGCTGTTAACAACTGCTCCTGGGAAGTATAACAGGGAGACATACTGTTTACTTTTTTGTACTAGGTGATTTTTTTTTTAGCTAAGTGCATATATTACTTTATAATGAAAACAAAAATACCCAATCACTAATATTATGATGGGGGTAAGTAATTGTACTTTTTGGTTTTAGTTTCCTCATTTTAAGTAAAATTGGGCTAAATGTTTGTTGAGGTCCTTTTTAGCTCTCAAATTTTGTTTGTGATAACGTGAACGATAATGTTATAGGCTTTTTTTTTTTTTTGAGACGGAGTTTTGCTCTTGTTGCCCAGGCTGGAGTGCAATGGCACGATCTCGGCTCACCGCAACCTCTGCCTCCCAGGTTCAAGCGATTCTCCTGCCTCAGCCTCCCAAGCAGCTGGGATTACACGCATGCGCCACCACGCCTGGCTGATTTTGTATTTTTAGTAGAGACGGGGTTTCTCCATATTGGTCGGGCTGGTCTCGAACTCCCGACCTCAGGTGATCCACCGACCTCAGGTGATCCACCCACCTCAGCCTCCCAAAGTGCTGGGATTACAGGCATGATCCACTGCGCCTGGCTATTGGCATTTTTCTTCATGAATGAGAGTTGTATTCTTTATATCTGCTGTGTAACTTGCAATTTGTTTTCATCGTAGGACTGAGAGTGGCTTTCACAATGGAAGGGATCAGTAATTTCAAGACACCAAGCAAATTATCAGAAAAAAAGAAATCTGGTAAGATAGCAGATGTAAGATTTTTTTTTTTACTATTGTTGTTTCTCTTAGAAATGTCCTAGTATTATTTAGTTTGATCCTTTATTATCGGTCACTTAGAAACTTTAATGTAACTCCCCTTTATGATGTTAATCTTAACAAATAAGACTTATTTTATAGGCCACGGTTTGATCATCTCTGGACTAATTTTATTGACAATCTAACAGGTTTGGAGGCTCTCCCTGCCCAAGAATCAACTTAGCTTGACCCATTAAGGAACTGCTTTACCTTTCTCCCTCTCATCCATACATTGCTCTTGTGAGGGAAAGATATTTTCCAAGGCAACTCAATGGACAAAGGAAAATCTTTTCAACAAACACCTAGATATCCACGTGCAAAAAATAAGCCTTGACCCTTAACTCCTATTATATAAAAAATAGCTACAATTAAATTTCTAGAAAATAACATGAGAAAATATTCTGTTGTCCATTTCTAGTGACAGATTTTTCATATTGACCTTGTATCCTGCAACCGTCCTAAACTCACTTATTCTATTAGCTTTTTAATAGATTGCTTGGGATGTTGTATATGGTTGGTCATTTGTGGATGAAGAAAGACAGTTTTACTTTGTTCCCCAGTCTGTATGGCTTTGTTTCTTTTACTTTTTTTAATTGCACTGGCTCCAGTATGTTTTTGAATAGAAATGTTAGTGGATATACTTGCCTTGTTCCCAATGTATTATGTTAGATGTAGGTTTTTCACAAATACCCTTTATTAGTTTGAGGAATTTTTCTTCTATTTCTAGTTATTATCGTGAGTGGGTATTGAACTTTGTAGAGAGCTTTTTCTGAATCTATTAAATTTTCTTTTAAAATCTCTCAATGTGGTAAATTATGTTAATTTTCAAGTGTTAAACTGAACTTCCTTGTGTAAAGCCAGTTTGGTCATGATATATTTTATATATTGCTTGATTTGCTGATATTGTCTATATTCATGAGGGATATTGGACTGCAGTTGTCTTTTTGGGATATCTGTCTAGTTTTAATATTAGGTTATTCTGTATTCATAAAGATGAGAAATGTTTCTCTTTTTTTAATAGAAATATCTTTTTCTTTAACTTTGTGTAGAATTGGTATTATTCCTCCTTAAATTGGTGGAATTCACTAGTAAAGCTATCTGGGCCTGGAGTTTTCTTAGTAGGAAGAGTTTAACTGTGATTTCACAGTTAATAGATATAGGGCTATTCAAGTGATCTCTTATTTTCTTTGTGAATTTTGTTAGTGTTTTTTAAGGAATTTGTCCATCACTTCTAAATTTTCAAATGTACTGGTGTGAAGTTATTCTTGATACACCCTTATTAACCTTCTAGTGTCCTTTTTCATATCTGGTACTAGTATTGTATATTTTCTTAATTTTTTTCCTTAATCAGTCTGACTTGAGGTTTATGTATGTTGGTGAATGTTGCATGCACTTGAAAAGGGCATTTTTTTCTACTCTTACTGGGTACGGTGTTCTACAAATGTCAATGTTCTACAAATGTCAATGATATTCTGTATACTTTTTATATTAATTATGAGAGAAGAGAGTTGAAGTTTCCAACTACAATGTGGATTTGTCTGCTTCCCCCCACCCCCAATTTCTATCAGTTGTTGCTTCATGTATTTTGAAGCTTTGTTATTAGGTACATACACATTTAGGATGGTTATTTCTTTTCTTTTTCTTGTTTTTTTGAGTTTCCTTTTGTCACCCGTAATGGAGTACAACAGTGTGATCTCGGCTCACTGCAACCTCTACCTCCTGGGCTCAAGTGATTCTGGTGCCTTGGCCTCTGGAGTAGCTGGGATTACAGGCGTGCACCACCATGGCCGGCTAATTTTTGTATTTTCAGTAGAGACAGGTTTTCGCCATGTTGGGCAGGCTGGTCTCAAACTCCTGGCCTCAAGTGATCCACTCTCCTTGGCCTCCCTTTCAAGTGCATGCAACATTCACCAAGACACATAAACCACAAGTCAGATCCCAAAGTGTTGGGATTACCATGCCTGGCCTAGGATGGTTATTTCTTTTGATGAATTTATACCTTAACTGTTACGAAATACCCTTCTTAATCCTCAGTGGTACTCTTTGTTCTGGAGTCCACTTTATGTGATAGTAATGGAGCCACTCCAGATTTATTTTGATTTGTGTTTTAATGATGTTTTTCAACCCTTTACTCTTGCCCTATTTGCGTCTTTATATTTAAATTGAGTTTATTATAAATGGCATGTCTCGTCTTGTTTTTATCCGTTCTGACAACTTTAATTTCCTTTAACTGGACTGTTTTGCCATTAGCTACATGTGGCTATTTAAATTTGGTTATTTAAATTTGGATTATTAAATGTGGTTATTTAAATTTGGATACAAATTAATTAGAATTAAATAAAATTACAAATTGAGTTCCTCAGTTGTATTAGTCACATTTTAAGTGCTCAGCGCTCAGACAGCACAGATATAGACATTTCCACATGGCAGCATGATGTATTGGACAGCTCTGTTTAGACCATTTATACTCAATGTAATTGTCTATTGTTGGATGTAAATCGGCTGTTTTGCTATTGTCCCATAGCTCATTGATGATTTTTTTCTAACCTTTTTCTCTCTTTGCTTCATTTTTGATAGTTTTTGTTGCTCTGTCTTAAGATTTAGTTATTCTTCTGCTCTAAGATGATGTTATTCTTATCCATTGTATTTTTCATTCCTAAGCTTCTATTTTGTCTTTTTTTTTCCGTTATGCTCAGATTTTCCTTTGTATCATTGAGCACATTTTTAAGATTTGTCTTAAGGTTCTTATCTGCTAATTTTGCCATTCCTGTCATTTTTTTTTTTTTTTTTTTTCTTGAGACAGAATCTTGCTCTGTCACCCAGGCCGGAGTGCAATGGTGCGATCTCAGCTCACTGCAACCTCCACCTCCTGGGTTCAAGCAATTATCCTGCCTCAGCCTCCCGAGTAGTCGGGATTACAGGCACGTGCTACCACGCCCAGCTAATTTTTGTATTTTTAGTAGAGACAGGGTTTCGCCATGTTGGCCAGGCTGGTCTTGAACTCCTGGCCTCAAGTGATCCACCTGCCTCAGCCTCCCAAAGTGCTGGGATTACAGGCGTGAGCCACCACTCTTGGCCTCCTGTCATCTTATGGTATGTTTCTATTGATTGATTGATTTTTTAATTTTTTGAGATGGAGTCTTGTGCCCTGTCGCCCAGGCTGGAGTGCAATGGCGCTATCTCAGCTCACTGTAACCTCCGCCTCCTGGGTTCACGCCATTCTCCTGCCTCAGCCTCCCGAGTAGCTGGGATTACAGGCACGTGCCACCACACCTGGCTAATTTTTTGCCTCTTTAGTAGAGACGGGGTTTCACCATGTTGGCCAGGCTGGTCTCGAACTCCTGACCTAGTGATCTGCCTGCCTCGGCCTCCCAAAGTGCTGGGATTACAGGCGTGAGCCACCGCGCTAGGCCTCTATTGATTTATTTTTCTCCTATATTGGTCATATTTTCTTGCTGCTTTCATGCCTGGTACTTTTTGATTGGGCAGTAGATATTTTGCATTGTCTAGTACTGGATTTTGTTATTCCTTTAAAGAGTGTTTGATTTAGTTATGGTCTGAGGTTAAGTTACCTGCACATTAGCCTGTTCCTTTTGAGACTGGCTTTTAAGCTTTGTTTTGAATGTTTATCTGGGGCTAAACTTTAGCTGTACTATCTAGTTGTGACCCTTTAGAGGACTTTACTATGTGTTACAGGGTTACCATCCTCTAGCTCATGGTGATATGAAGTGTTCCTAGACTTGTATGATCTCTGGTAATTGTTGAGCCAATTGCTTTCCTCTGGTGCTTTCCCAGCTTTGGGGCATCTACACATTGTTATGTGCGGATAAGTACTTGGCCAAACACTCAAAGAGAAACTGTTCAGATCTTTGGAGTGCTCTCTTTGGAGCTCTCTAGTTCTCTGCTCCACAAATTCTAGCCGCCTAGTCCTTCTTGACCTCTGATCTCTGTCTCTTCAATGTGACAGGACTTCTGGATTATGTGACCTCTGTCCTGCAGTCTGGAAACTGCCTTCAAGCAGTAAGTTAGGGCAGTGATAGGGCCCACCTCATTTGTTTCTCTTCTCTCAGGCATCACAACACTGCTCTGCCTGTTGTCAAGTGTCTGAAAACAATTATATTTTGTCTAGTTTTCTAGTTAATGGCGAGATGGTAACTCTAGGAGCAGTTAATTGTCCAGGAGTAGTTAATTATTTTTCATGAGCAGAAGCAGAACTCCATCTTTTCATCTTTTTTTTTTTTTTTTTTTTTTTTTGAGACTGTGTCTTGCTCTGTCACCCAGGCTGAACACAGCTCACTGCACCTGC
Organism: Homo sapiens; assembly: GCF_000001405.40. Taxonomy (NCBI): domain Eukaryota; kingdom Metazoa; phylum Chordata; class Mammalia; order Primates; family Hominidae; genus Homo; species Homo sapiens. The sequence goes on along the minus strand of NC_000008.11, from coordinate 27,828,692 downwards.
ACCCTTAACCTCCTGGGCTCAAGTGTTTCTCCCAAGTAGCTGAGACCACAGGTGTGTGCCATCATTCCTGGCTAATTAAAAAAATTTTTTCGTGTGTAGAGATGGAGTCTCTTTATGTTGCCCAAGCTGGTCTCTACTGGGCTCAAGTGACCCTCCTGCCCCGGACTCCAAAAGCGTTGAGATTATAGGCATGAGCCACCACATCCAACCCCTTTATCTTTTAACAATGTTTTAAAAATGTGAAAACAGTTCTTAGCTTGTAGGCCATACAAAAACAGGCCATTTCCCAATCTCTGCTTCAGAGTTACTGTAGGATAAAACTCCAAAAGTAGGCTTGGTCAAAAGATACCCATTTAAAATTAGGATATATGTTGTCAAATTGCTCTCCAAAAAGACTGTGCCAATTAATACTCTTGGCAGTAGTATATTGAGAATGTTAAGATGCTTTATTTTTATTTTTTATTAATTTTATTTTTTATTTCTCTGACATTTAGTATTATGTTCAACTCCAACTATAAATATCCCGGCCTCTCCGTTTATGCAGAAGCTTGGCTTTGGTACTGGGGTAAATGTGTACCTAATGAAAAGGTAAGTATAAGATTTCAGATTAACCTTTTTTCATGCAACTATAATTCTACTGTACTTGGAGACAAAGAAGTAGTCTGAAAATTCCAGTATTTAGATTCGGTTGTCTGCTCCTGATCCTGGCTGATGGCTGTATTCCGGTCCCTAGACCCTTTTGTAACTTTGCCTGTAGCTCTGCCTCTGCTTTTCTCCTAGCTTCCTCCTGATGGGTTATTAAAGGGGAAGTCATTTACTTTTTAATTTTTCCTTGGCTTCCATAAGAAGGGGAAGTGGCAGGGGAAAGGGTTCCTTTGTGGTAATTAAACCAGATTCTTCATGAGAAAACCTCAAAGAGGAAGCCAGTATTGGGTGATGTCAGTGACTGCTGTCTTTTCTGCAGCGTTGCCCTCCTAAGATATGCTCTTCTAAAAGAAGTAAAAGATTTTCATTTCTTATGGCATTGTTATTAAGAAGGGTAAATACATGATTTTAAAGTAGGAATATTGTGTTAAGAAAAATGAAATAATCGAACAAGTATGGTGCCAATATAGCTGTCAACAAAGTGTTTTTTTAAATTACTTTTTTATTATTCATATATTTTTTTGAAACAGAGTCTCACTCTGTTGACCAGGCTGGAGTGCAGTGGCACGACCTCCCAGGTTCAAGCGCTTCTCCTGCCTCAGCCTCCTGAATAGCTGGGATTACAGGCGTGTACCATCACACCCAGCTAATTTTTGTATTTTTAGTAGAGACAGGGTTTTGCCATGTTGGCCAGGCTGGTCTCGAACTCTGGCCTCAAGCGATCTGCCCGCCTTCGCCTCCCAAAATGCTGGGATTACAGGTGTAAGCCACCATGCCCAGCCCAAAATTACTTCTTTTAATCATTACTCTGTACCTAGTTTCATGTTTATTAAGTGGCAAACAACTACATCAATATATATTCCTTAATGCATTCTTGGAATCAGTCTAACTAGTCCAACCCTCCGTATCTTAGCTTCATCTAGGTTTACATTGTTTCCAGATAGAAATGCTTTCTTTAATAAGAGGCTAATTAAGAATAATTTAGTAATTATATACAATGGGTATTCCTGAAGCATTTTTGCAGTTTAAACATTTTTTTTGTATGTTTGTATGGTATTGTTTTCTAATTTGTTTTTTAGTGTTAACTCCTATTTTGAAAGAAAAAAATTCTCACAGGTTTATGGCTAGTTTCATTTTTTTCCCCCTTTTTAAAAAAAGTTTTTAAATGTAAAGTGTTTTTAACAAAGTTACACTGTATGTGGTTTAGTCAAAAAGCTTCAAATAGCTGATCTTTTTTTTTTTTTTTTTTTTTGAGACGGAGTCTCGCTCTGTCGCCCAGGCTGGAGTGCAGTGGCGCGATCTCGGCTCACTGCAAGCTCCGCCTCCCTGGTTCACGCCATTCTCCTGCCTCAGCCTCCCGAGTAGCTGGGACTACAGGCGCCCGCCACCACGCCCGGCTAATTTTTTGTATTTTTAGTAGAGACGGGGTTTCACCGTGTTAGCCAGGATGGTCTCGATCTCCTGACCTCGTGATCCGCCCGCCTCGGCCTCCCAAAGTGCTGGGCAAATAGCTGATCTTGAAGAACAGCAGTGCCTGCCTGACCCTACACTCCTCCTGATTCAGCCCTGTCAACCTGGGATTTCTTTTATCCATAACCTGCAAATTTCCTATGCTTCTCTGCTGAATTATATCCTGTGTTTTTAGGTATCTTGTGTCTTATTATTTCTTGATTTACATCCCGTTTTCATTTAGGACATCTGGTAGCTCCCCATGAATCGGTGCACAGAAGATATATTTTTTTGAGAATTTGCATTTCCAAAAATGTTTTCATTTTACTCATACTTGAATGGCCCTTTTTGGTTTTCTGGGTTACAATTCTCATTTGGAAACAATTTCCCTCCAGAATTTTGAGAATATCAGTCACTGACATTGTTTTTTTTCTAGCTTACACTGTTGCTGTTGAGAATTATGAAGCCTTTTTGACTGCTAATTCTTCATATGTAATCCGTTTTATGTTATCTGTCCCCCCCACTGTCCTGGATCCTGGTATGATCTTCTGTATGTCGGTAGCATTCTGAAATTTCACAATGACATGAGTGGATGTGGGGATCTTGGAATCTGAATAGTTCCTGTTCTTAAATTTCTGAGACATTATTTTAAAAATTACTTTGTTGATGATTTTCACCTCTTTTTCTCTGTTCTCCATCTGGAATCCAATTATTTGAATGTTGAACTTACTGATTTCTCATCTACCTCTTTTTTGCTTGGTTTTCTTATTCGCTATCTTTTTTCTGAGATTTCCCCAGCTTTATCTTTCAACAATTCTATTGAGTTTTTATCTTGTTTTTAATTAATTATCTTTTTAAAAATAGCATCTTTAGTCTCTTGGAGTGCTAGAAATGTTCGGTATCTAGGTGTTGATAACACAGGTATATGCACATGTAAAAACTCATTGAGCATTTAGTATGCATATGGTGATTAATTATTAACCTGCTTCTGTATTACAGGTTCTCAACTGACAGTAAACCTCAGGCTAAAGACTTGTTTTATACCTTCCAAAGCTAGTCTACCATCTTTAGAAGCTGGGGAAGGGGGGTGGGCAGCTGCCAGTTGGTACAGAATTAAGGAGGGTATCTACGAGTCCACCTGTTTTTTACCATTATTATTTAGAGACAGGGTCTCATTTTGTTGCCCAGGCTGGAGTGCAATGGTGCCATCATAACTCACTGCAGCCTCAAACTCCTTGGTTTGAGCAATCCTCCTGCCTCAGCCTCCCAAGTAGCTGGGACTACAGGCGTGGGCCACCACATGTGACTTTTAAAAGTTTTTTGTAGAGAAGGGGTCTCACTATATTGCCCAGGCTGGTCTCAAACTCCTGGTCTCAAGTCATCCTCCTGACTTGGCCTCCCAAAGTGTTGTGATTATAGTTGTGTGCTAACCCTTCCAGGCCTACGTGCTTTTTAAATAACTTGCAAGCAGTTCATTGGGGCTAAGTCAGTTACTTTCTTCTGCTTTCCAGCTTCTGAAATTTTGTTGCTGTTGTCTCTTCTGCTGTTATTTCCATTCTTGCTGGCTTGTATGTCTAAAAAATATCCATTTGCTATTATGTTAGTGGGCTTGGAAAGGATAAAAACAATGTGTATGTTTAAGCTACAATTTTAACCCAGAAGTCTATATTTTTTTTGTTAAATCAAGTTTGCATTTCTTGGTTAAATCCAACATAGTTTTGATGTAGTATTTTTAAATAAACTGATGGATTCAGTTTGCTAATATTAAAGTTTATTTCAATTTTTGCATCTGATATAAGTGAAGTTGGCTTGTGGTTTTCCTTTTTCTACTGTCCCTTTTGATTTTTTAAAATTAAAGTTATATGAGACTCATAGTACCTTTTCTGTTCCCTGGGGAAACAGTTTGTATAAGATTGAATGGTAAATTCTTTGAAAGCTTAGTAAACTCACCTGTAAAATCATCTGCACTTTGTATTTCTAGTAGGAACATTTTAAACTGGTGATTAAATTTCTTCATTCATCAGTTTTCTTAGATTTTTCTAAGTCTTTGACCATTTTGTCTTAAATGATTGCATAAAGATTTTATTTACTTACATATTTTTTCTCTTGTATCTGTAGTTTTGTTTCCATTTTTATTTGTGATATTGTCTTTATTTTTTCTTGTGTAATCTCATCAGAAATTTGCCTTTTTTCTATTAGTCTTTTTAATGAACCAGCTTTTTGCATGGTTGAGTATTCAGATTTCATAAATCTATTCTTATTCGATAGATTAGAATATGTTATGGAAAAGGTGAAGATTGACTTGTTTACTAAATTCTAAACTTTCAAGAGCTAAACTTTCAACCCTTGAAATTTGAAAAATATATTTTTCATAATAAAATGATATGCAGGTGCTCATCATTATCCTCAAATGCTGCTGTTATTTAAAACTGGAGGTTTAAGAATAGTTTAGATCAACTTACGGATGATAGATGTACATGAATTAAGAAATCTTGTGATCCTTTTAGTATAGGCTTTTTGATTAAACAAAAAAGGTTCTGCAGTCTTAGAGCTATACCTGTGAGGGAGTCCAAAGCTAAACAGATCTTTGATTCAATCTCTTGTTTTGTGTTCTTACCATTAAACTTTCTGTCTTAAACTTCTGAGGCTCTTTCACTAGGTTTTGTGCTGTTATGCTGCATATACTTAAGTATTTTGTGATTTGCTCTACTCATAAATATCTACCACCTCAGGTAAACCTTTCCCTGACTTTATTTTACCTATTTAGGCCTTAAAACATTTATACCTTAAATATTTGTAAAATGGCTGAATCTTCCTAGAAAATAGAAAGTTTAAAATTTTCTCATTTGTATGTTCATCATTATCTCCTTAAGCACATATCTTTGAGCATGTGGTAAAAGGTATAAGGTGAATTGGTCAGTGTAGGGGAGCAATAAGAACAGCATGCTGTTCTTTGGATGATGATATATGGGTAAAATGTTCTTGATTATCTCTTCTTTAAATTTCCTAATGTTTTTTTCTTCAGGATCCTATAACTCATCTCTGATACATATAATTAAATATTTAATAAGTTGTAGTCCAACATGCTCAAATGGAAAAATTGGAAAGTTACAATTTTCAGGTTTAAAGTTTGTAACATTCCATCTTTACCCTTCAAATTCTTTTCATCCTCTCCCTTCCACAGTATAGATAGTAAGACTTGTTTTAGTATATTAGATCTTACCTCCCAATTGAAATGGAAATGTAGCAGAGGTGTTCATAGTCCAAACTATTTTAAATTCTGTTTTTAAAAGCAAATTTCTTTCAAGCTTTTTCCCAAAAATTTGGAAGTCATTTTAAAAAGTATTGTGGTTTTATTGTTTTCTATCCTTTTTAAATGAATTTTTTTCTTAGATCTCCAAGAGGTTTGTCTCATTCTCCTTGGGCTGTAAAAAAGATTAATCCTATATGTAATGATCATTATCGAAGTGTGTATCAAAAGAGACTAATGGATGAAGCTAAGATTTTGAAAAGCCTTCATCATCCAAACATTGTTGGTACGTTTAAATTTGGTAGCAGTATCTGGTATATTATTTTGTTTATTCAGAAACAGCTTATATGCTCTCTTAACTGGTTTCACTAATAGAAATGAAGAGGATGGGGCTGGATATTTAATGGGTATCAAATTAATGTGATTGGTCTAAAATAAAAATTTGCATATAGTATTTTTTGATGCCTAAGTATATAAACTTCATGAGAACAGATATAATAATTATGTTGCTAGTTCTATGAAGATTTTAAGAATATAAAATGATCTTCATTTAGATAATTTAAATCCATTTAGGTAATTTCCTGGATTTCATTTTTCATTTTTAATACAAGTAGGGCTGGTGAAACTATTATATTTAGGGAAGCAAAGGAAAATAAAAGTATTTTAATTTGTGGTACTACTGGCAAACACTGAAGGCATTTTAAATGAGATCTACTGAATTAGTCTTGTAAATAGTAGCTGTTTCATTGTATATTTGTCAGCGTTAGTCCAGATCCATATTTTCAATCACGTTACTATAAAGGACTTAAATATTATTGTTCTTCTCTATATTAGTGAAGAAATGTCATGTTTTCTTTAAGGTTATCGTGCTTTTACTGAAGCCAATGATGGCAGTCTGTGTCTTGCTATGGAATATGGAGGTGAAAAGTCTCTAAATGACTTAATAGAAGAACGATATAAAGCCAGCCAAGATCCTTTTCCAGCAGCCATAATTTTAAAAGTTGCTTTGAATATGGCAAGAGGGTTAAAGGTAACTATGTCATTATATTTTAAATGACTTCTGTTTTTGTTCATATTTTAAATGAACAAATAATCACTTTGCAGGACATCTTTGAATGTGGATGGATATTGTTACTTGTCAGTTCCAAAAAGGGGTTAGCGGAAAACAAAATAGAGGCTTACATTTCTGCTTCCAAATTACATTCATGTGTAGCTTAATATGTTCTGAGAAATGTGTCATTTGGCAGTTTCATCACTGTGCGTGCGGACATCATAGAGTGTACTTACACACACCTAGATGGTAGAGCCAACTACACACCTGGGCTATGTGGTATATATAGCCCAGTTCTCCTAGGCCACAAACCTGTATAGAATGTTACTGTACTGAATACTATAGGCAGTTGTAACACAGTGGTAAGTACTGTGTGACTAAACATATCAAAACATAGAAAAGGTAAAATCAAAATATGATATTATAATCTTATGGGACCACCGTCGTATATGTTGTCCATCATTGACCAAAACATCCTTATACGTACATGTGGCCCTAGTCATTCATTGTCCCACATGGTCTCAACAATTTATGTATGCTTCACTGAAGATTCCAAAATTATTTCTAAAAATTACTAGACTAGCCTCAAAATTGTGGTATCTTTTGAAATCTGCAGTTGTATCTTCTGATATAAAGTATGTAGGATTAGTTAACTTACCAAGTTAACCAATTTATAAGTATAGTTAACTTATAAGCTGTCGGTATATATACATACTTATATATAAAAATAGTTAACTTGGCTGGGTGTGGTGGCTCACGCCTGTAATCCCAGCACTTTGGGAGGCCAAGGCAGGCAGATCACGAGGGCAGGAATTTGAGATCAGCCTGGCCAACATAGTGAAACCCCATCTCTACTAAAAATACAAAAATGAGCCGGGCATGGTGGCGGCACCTGTAATCCCAGCTACTCGGGAGGCTGAGGCAGGAGAATCGCTTGAACTTGGAAGGCAGATGTTGCAGTGAGCCAAGATCGCGCCACTGCACTCCAGCCTGGGCAACAAGAGCAAGACTCTGTCTTGGAAAAAAATAGTTAACTTATAATTATTTATTTTATAAGTATAAAAGGTTAGCAGAAGTATCTATTTCTAAATAAACTTTTAGACTTCTGGTCAGTATGGCAGACTGAGATAACATGGGATGTTCCCTTCTCTTGTTTCAAATACTTTGAAATGCTGGGCACAGTGGCTCATACCTGTAATCCCAGCACTTTGGGAGACTGAGGCAGGCGGATCACTTGAAGCCAGGAGTTCGAGACAGACCAGCCTGGTCAACATGGTGAAACCTCGTCTTTACTAAAAATACAAAAATTAGCCAGGTGTGGTGGTGCCCGCCTGTAGTCCCAGCTACTTGGGAGGCTGAGGCAGGAAAATCACTTGAACCCAGGAGGCGGAGGTTGCAGTGAGCCGAGATCGTGCCACTGCATGCCAGCCTGGGCAACAGAGTGAGACTCCGTTTTAAAAAAAAAAAAAAAAATTTTGAAACGCTGGACAAATGTAAACCTAGAGTTTAGGAAGGGAGTTCAAGTTGTTATATTTGGAGGTTATCACATTTTTTTATTAGTTTGTGTTTCTGCACATATGTGTTAAATTTTTTACTATTTTAGTATCTGCACCAAGAAAAGAAACTGCTTCATGGAGACATAAAGTCTTCAAATGTTGTAATTAAAGGCGATTTTGAAACAATTAAAATCTGTGATGTAGGAGTCTCTCTACCACTGGATGAAAATATGACTGGTAAGTTGTACTCTTAAGTTTTAAAATTTTGTTTTTAATACAGTGTTTACATTTTTAAATACGTAAGTCCACATGGATCAAAAATCAAAAACTATTTTTAAAAAGTATATGGTAAAAAGTCCCCTTTTTTTCTCTCTCTCCCAGTCAGCCTGCAGTCTTCTCCCTTGCCACATGTACAGTATAAATTACTGTATTATTATTAGTAGTAGTATTAGTATATATTTTAACTGGAGTTATCTTTGGGAAATATTTCTAACTGGATTGGGATCTTTAAGCAGTAAAGCATCTGGGAATAGAAAGTAAAATTTAGTAAGGTTGTGTAAAGCGGTTTATTTAGCATGAGTAAAGTGACAAGATTTAGGAAACTGGTAGAAGAAACTGGAATGAAGCAGAAAAGAGGGGTGCTAATGAAGGCTGGTCTTTGGCTCTTTGCCCTTTCTTCTCTATTGCATAGCTTCTCAGGGAATTTAAGATATGTTCTTGGTGAGAAACAAGAGCCAGCCTCAAGAGAAAGCCTCTGCTTGCAACATATTATTTAGTAAATAATACTTAAATTTGTCTCTTTATATCAACAGAAGTTAAACAAATGGTTAATAAATGCTGTTTAGAACATATAAATGCCTGAATTTCTAGCTGAAGTAAAAGTTTACAAGTTGAGTTGAAGGCAAGAGTCAGAATGAATGGACAGACTTTATAAATAAATGATGTCTGTAATCATTAATAAAAATAGAACTGTTGTGAAACCTTATGCTAAATAACTTACAAAATGGGAACTTTAGAAAGTAAAAGGATAAATTGTCAAACATAATAAAAATGAGGGTTTTTAAAGTATTTTTCTCAATGCTTAATAGAGCAAACAGACAAATGTAAGGATGTTAAAGATCTGAGTAAATAGTAAGGCAAGTACCTCTGCACCATAATATTTATTAAAATTGACCATATTCTTAGATCACACAAAAAAACTTCGAATTATAAAAAGTATGAATAGTCTAATAGGTGATATTCCTTAACATCAATGCTGTAAATCTAGAAATTTGTAATAAAATAGGAAACAAAAACTCCAAACTTTTTAGGAATTTAAAACACTTCCGAATAATTTTTGGCTAAAAAGAGAAATCAAATTCCATTTATAAAATATTTAGAAAATATAAGAATATAACAAGTCAAACCCTATTTGATATGTTCAAAACTACTCAAAGGAAACATTTTCATTATTTAACTTTTATGAAGTTAAGTTGAATATTCAACTGAAATTGAAAAAAATGACGCCCTAAGAACAGAAAGCAGAAATGAATGAATTTGATAGCCTATAAATTCTACATAATCTTAATGTGATCTATTCTAGAACATGTCAGAATTAATCTGAAGTTCCTCTTTGAGGATACATGTTCAATCAAACATGGCTGGGAAAACTCGATGAAAGGAGGAGGAATCTTCCTGAGCAGATAAAAAGTTTTATAAAGCTACAGTAATTAAAGCGATGATACTCATGCCAAAATAGGCAGAAAAATAGAACATGAGAGTCAGGAAATAGTTCCCAAATAGAGGAATTTGTTGTGTGATAAAGGTGACATTTTTGTATTAGTGAGAAAAGAGGTAGTTTAGTCAGTAAATGATGTTATCTGGACATTTTAGAAAAAAACACAGCTGTTTTCTATCCTTACACTTGAATCCCCATATATTGAAGATTGGGGGAAAAAGTAACAGTAGAAAAAATTGTAGATAAATAGTTCTTTAATGTTGGCTGTGGAGAGGACTTTAAAGAAGACACCAAAGCTAGAAACCATCATTAAAAAGCCATGGGTACCTCCATTTAAAAAAAAAGAATTCTATATCACAGTGGGTTGGAGAGGGGCAGGGAGCTTAAGACATTAGAAACTGAGATAAATGTATAAGATATTTAATATTTCTAATGCATTAAGAGTTATTAGTAATCAATGAGAAACAGATAAAAGCTCTATTATGAAGAGACTGTTGAGAAATGAAAAAAATGGCAATTAGGAAAATATATATGTAATGTTCTTACTAATGTTTTAAAAGCTAAATAACAATGAGATAATCTGCTATCAACACTCATCACACTGTGTAAATTATCTGTTAAACGTTTCTCCATTCCTCCATTAGGCTTGTAAGCTCTAAGAAGGGAACCTTGTATATCTTGTCCACTGAAATATCCTCAACTCTAGAATAGTGCCTGACTTGTAAATATATTATTGAAGGAGTAACAAGATTGCTAGTAAATAAAAAGATTGCTAGTATGAGCAACAATGTAGGTTAACATGTCCTCTCATACACTAAGTAGAACTTGTAACTGCTGTTTTACTGAGGTTAGAATAGGTTTTGCTGTGGTAACACAGACCTCAAAAACTTCAGTGACTTACAACAACCAAGGCTTATTACTCAAGCTGCATGGCCATTAGCACCTTGTTCTGTGTCATTCTCCCTTTAGGACTTATACTGATGGAACAGCCACTATATGGAACATGGCCACCATTATGGGGAGGGTGAAAAAGCATTGGAGTGGTACTGTCCAATACAGTAGTTATGAGCTGCATGTTGCTATTTACATTAATATTAAAACATTGAAATTATTTTCTCAGCCACCCTAGCCACAATTCAAGTGCTCAGAAGCTACATGTGGTTAATGGTTACCACATTGGACAATGCAGATTTAGGAGATTTAATCATCATAGAAAGTTTCATTGAACAATACTGCTCTAGAAAGTCTTGCAGTGATAGTTAAATGCTCAAGCTCAGAAATGACACAAGTCATTTCTTGTGGTAGAACCTTTCAGGTGACAGTTTGGAAAGCTGTATTTAAAATAAGAAAAACCTTTAAAAATGTTTATGCCCTTTGACCCTATAGTTTCATTCTTAAGAACACAGTCCAAAGAAGTAATTGAGTAATTAGGCAGTACAGGCATTTTTTTTATAATAACCTGATATATTATTTCCTGCAAAACTTCATTGCGCAAAAGTTTCAAGATATAACTAGGTTTATAGAAAAAAAAAACAGGGTTAAAACCTATGCAACTTTGAAAACTAAAGCAGTAACAAAAACAGTTAATAATCCTAATAAAAGATACTAACACATTAAATCTGCAAGGGCATAAACATTTTAAAATATTTTTCTTATTTTAAATGCAGATTTCCAAACTGTCGTCTGAAAGGTTCTACCAGAAGAAATGACTTGTGTCATTTCTGAGCCGGAGCAAGACTTTCTAGAGCAGTGCTGTTCAGTGAAACTTTCTATGATGATAAAATGTTCCTTTGTAGCCATAAACCCTGGGTTTATGCTGAAGGTTACATATGAGAGTATTTTCAATAGATACTTTTCATCAAGATGAAAAATTTGATCTGGCTTTCTCACTAAAAATATATATATATTTTTAAGCGTGTGGGAAATGTGTTGGCAGCTCCTTTACCTGGACTCACTCACAGCTTTTGTAGTTAGCAATAGCAATTCTTAAAGCTACTACACCAGGCATATGCTCAGGGAAGGCATTTCTGTAGGCAAAGGCTTTCTATTTGTGAGATTTGCCTCTGATCACTTCAAAAATAACATTTATGTACTGGGAAAAATATCAATCTTTTTACTGTTTCAAAAATACACATTGTAGCAGAACAGACTATGCAACAATGTGTGAGAATGTCCACCAATAAGGGGTGGTTTAATTTATACTACCACACAATAGAATACCATATATCCATAAATTATACGGGTTTATATTTATAGGCATAAATATATCCAGTGAGATAAACAGAGTATAAAATAGCACTTATATGTATTTACATATATGAAGAAAAGTTTGAAAAAAAATACCCAAATCTTAAAATTTTTTTTAAACAGGTAATATATTAACATTTCACAACTAAAATATAGTATTCTGGCTGGGCGCAGTGGCTGACACCTGTAATCCCAGCACTTTGGGAGGCCGAGGCGGGCAAATCATGAGGTCAGGAGATTGAGACCATCCTGGCTAACACAGTGAAACCCCGTCTCTACTAAAAATACAAAAAATTAACCAGGCGTGGTGGCGGGCAGCTGTAGTCCCAGCTACTCAGGAGGCTGAGGCAGGGGAATGGCGTGAACCCAGGAGGCAGAGCTTGCAGTGAGCTGAGATCAAGCCACTGTACTCCAGTCTGGGCGACAGCGAGATTCCATCTCAAAAAAAAATAAATTAAAATAAATAAATAAATAAATAAATATATATATATATAGTATTCGATGAAAAGCCAAAATCTTAAGTGTTTATCTCAAGATAAATTTGCAAATATTAATACTATATACATGTCAGGCACCATGAATATAGAGTACATGAGACAGACACAGTCTTACCCTGTTGCAGCTCCTAATCTAGGATGGAAAGCAGCTTTTGAATACTAATGAGACAAGATGACAGTTATGATACAAGGAATTATAAACACAGCAGTGGCCCTTAACCTAGTCTAGATGTTGAGGAAGGCCTCGCTAAATGATGTTTAATAAGCTGAGAATTGAAGGATAAGTAGGAGCTCCAGTTTCATCATTTTTCAGTTTGGGATAGTAACTAAAGCATGTCTGCTTAAACTCTTTGAATGTAGTAAAGGGAAATAAAGTATAAACTGTTTCTGTATCAACCAAAAGAAATGACTGAACCATTAGTTTATGATCTCATCAAACTTTTGTTGTCAGAACAATCCATCTTCACAGGGAGCAAACCCAATCACTAACATAGGTGGCAGGGGGCCCAATCCATTATGTTTAAATACTATGTTAAATTCACTATGTCACATGCTATTATGTTTACAGACTTGGAGAACTGTAAACATACATACAGGAAATGCACTTGTGGTTCGAGTCTCAAATTGGAGCCGTTATTTTAGACCCAGAGTTCTAGAAAACTACTTTTTAGCCTGATGGATCCTTGTAGGAATCTGACCTACTTAGAATGTATGTGTACACACACATATACGTGTATATACTGAACGGTGTAAGTATCCTTCCTTATTGCCACAGAGTCACTGCCCATGTGGGCCATGTCTATAGGCTTTTCTCTTGTCATGAATTCCATGAAGTACCTCTAATATATAAGGTACAGTATAGGGGAAAACCTTTAAGGAGCTTATAATGTCCATGGCTACCTTCTAAACTGTAATGCCCAAAGCAGAACTAAGTACAAAGGCTACCATAGAGACACCACTCATCTTTCCTTCTTGCCTGCTGGTACTGGGTACCCTCCTAGTCTGGTATTTTTGTTCTCACTTAACAGAGCCTGCTCATTTATCAGGCATACCTCTCAAAATGTTAACGGAATAAATGAGTGCTTGTTAACTGGAATCTTCAATTTCCTGGCTTATGGATTCTCACTTTTCCTTCTTTTACCCCTCCCTTTTGTTCTTTAAATGTTAGTTTCATCCTCTTTTCCTTGTAAAGTTCTTGAGACTCTCAGGGCAGAACTTTCCTTCAGTTCTGGAGAAATTTCTTTCAGTAAACAGCCCCACTGTGTCTTCTTTCTATTGTTTCAAAATGAATTATATTGTTTTCACTCTAACCTTATTTGTGAGGAAATGCAGATTATAGTAATCAAATACTGAAAATTTTCATTTTTTAGTATAATACACTCTAACACTGCCTAGTGAATATTCTGTCTGTAAGAGTTTGAGTTTATCCTAGTTATAGCAGAAGTAAAGGTTTGTATGACACTATGGGAGGAATCATAGAGTATATTTGTTGGCCACAATGGAATTAAGTTAGAAATCACTAACAAGATATCTAAGGAAACCCCAAGTATTTGGAAATTCAGTAACACAAATTTAAATAACCTATGGGTCAAATAAAATGACAAGGGAAATTGGAAAATGTTTTGAATAATTAAGGAAAATACAGCATATCAAAATGTGCAAGCAATAGCTAAAGCAGGGCTCAGAGGGAAATCTATAGTTGTAAATTATATTGGAAAAAAGGAAAGTTCTAAATCAATGACCTATGTTCATTGATTTAATCTAGAAAAAGAAAAGCAGAGCAAATCCAAAGGAAGGGAATAAAGCTATGAGCAGAAATCAATGAAATAAAAAACAAATACTATAAAATATTAACAAAGCCAAAAGCTGGTTATTTGAAAAGATAATGAAATATATAAAGCTTTATCTAGACTGATCAAGAAAAAAGAGAACACAAGTCACCAACAACAGGAATGAGAAAAGGGTTATTGTAAATTCTACACACATTTAAAGAATAATTAGGCTATTATAAACGGCTTTATGGCAATGAATTTGACAACTTAGATGAAAAGGACAATTTCTTTGAAAAATACAATTTACCAAAATTAATATAGGAAGAAAAGGAAATCCACATAGCCCTATGTCTACTAAGAAACATTCCCACAAAGAAAACTCAAGACCCAGATGTTTTACTGTTGATTTCTACCAAATATCCAAGGAAGAAATGATATGGATTTTACACAAACTTTTTCAGAAAATAGAGGAATAAGGACCTCTGCCCAGTCTGTTTTTGTGGTCAGCATAACTCTAATATGAAAACCTGACACATTGTAGGACATCCTATCGGTCCTGATGTGATTATTATACACTGCATGCCTGCATCAAAATATCACATTAACACATAAACATGTACACCTGCTATGTACACAGAAAAATAAACTGATAAGAAAAAAAAATCATAGTCCAATATCCTTCACAAACACAGGTATCAAAATCCTTAACAAAATATTAGCCAATTCAGTCTAATACTACATGAGAACACTACATCTTGACCAACTAGGACTTATTCCAGGAAGGAAAAGTTGTAACATTCAAGAATCAATGTCCTCACTATGCTGTACGTTAGGTCACCAGAACTTACTCATCCTGCATAATGGAAGCTTCGTGCCCTTTGTTAATACTGTACACTTGAGATTTGCTGAGAGTAGATCTTGAGTATTCTCACACACACAAAAAAATGGTAACTATATGAGGTGATAGATATGTTAATTAGCTTGACTGTGGCTATGAGGTCAGTGTTTACATATATCAAACATCAAGTTGTATACCTTAAACATATATAATTTGTTAATTATACCTCAAAGCTTGGGGGAGGAGTCAATAAAATTCACCATATTAACAAAATTGTTTAAGTTCTAGGGTACATGTGCACAATGTGCAGGTTTGTTACATAGGTATACATGTGCCATGTTGGTTTGCTGCACCCATTAACTAGTCATTTACATTAGGTATTTCTCCTAATGCTATCCCTCCCCCCTACCCCATGACAGGCCCCAGGGTGTGATGTTCCCCACCCTGTGTCCAAGTGTTCTTATTGTTCAGTTCCCACCTATGAGTCAGGACATGTGGTGTTTGGTTTTCTGTCCTTGTGATAGTTTGCTGAGAATGATGGTTTCCAGCTGCATCCATGTCCCTGCAAAGGATATGAACTCATCCTTTTTTATGGCTGCATAGTATTCCATGGTGTATATGTGCCACATTTTCTTAATCCAGTCATTGACGGACATTTGGGTTGGTTCCAAGTCTTTGCTATTGTGAATAGTGCCACAATAAACATAAACGTGTACATGTGTCTTTATAGTAGCATGATTTCTAATCCTTTGGGTGTATACCCAGTAATGGGATTGCTGGGTCAAATGGTATTTCTAGTTCTAGATCCTTGAGGGATTGCCACACTGTCTTCCACAATGGTTGAACTAGTTTACAGTCCCACCAACAGTGTAAAAGCATTCCTATTTCTCCACATCCTCTCCAGCATCTGTTGTTTCCTGACTTTTTAATGATTGCCATTCTAACTGGCATGAGATGGTATCTCATTGTGGTTTTGATTTGCATTTCTTTGATGACCAGTGATGATGAGCATTTTTTCATGTCTGTTGGCTGCATAAATGTCTTCTTTTGAGAAGTTGTCTGTTCATATCCTTTGCCCACTTTTTGATGTTTTTTTTTTTTTTTTTCTTGTAAATTTGTTTGAGTTCTTTGTAGATTCTGGATATTAGCCCTTTGTCAGATAGGTCGATTGCAAAAATGTTCTCCCATTCTGTAGGTTGCCTGTTCACTTTGATGGTACTTTCTTTTGCTGTGCAGAAGCTCTTTAATTAGATCCCATTTGTCTGTTTTGGCTTTTGCTGCCATTGCTTTTGGTGTTTTAATCATGAAGTCGTTGCCCATGCCTATGTCCTGAATGGTATTGCCTAGGTTTTCTTCTAGGGTTTTTATGGTTTTAGGTCCAACATTTAAGTCTTTAATCAAATTTGAAAACTACATATCTCAATAGATACCGAAAAAGTGTTTGACAAAATCCAACATCCATTCTTGATTTAAAAGTTAGTTTAAAATCTAGTTAACCTCTCAGCTAACTAGAAATAGAAGGGATCTTAGCTTGAAAAAGGCTGTCTACAAGAAAAACCTGCAGGTATCATACTGAAGTAGGGAACAAGACCAGGATGCCTGCTCTTGCCAGTTTTATTTAGCAGTCCTATAGCCCTAGCCACTAAAATAAGGCAAGAAAATGGAGAAGGCAAAATTGGAAAGGAGACGAAACTGTCCCCGTTTGCAGTTGATATGTTGTTTAGGTAGAAAATCCCAAGGAATCTATAAAACAGCTATAGTGAAGTTAGTGATTACATTTCTGTGTATTAGCAGTATATAATTGAAAATGGAATTGTTTAAAATCTATTTACAAGTACCAAAACCCAAAATATTTCGGAATAAATAACCAAAAAAGTCTAAAACCTCTGTAATGAATACTATAAAGCATCACTGAGAAAATTCAGTAAGATATAACTAAGTGGAGAAATATATGACTGCGGTTTGGAAGACTCAATACTATTAAGATGTTAATGCTTACTAAATTGATCCAGAGATTTAGTCCAATCCTAATGAGAATTTTAGCTGGCTTTTTCATTGAAATTGACAAGTTGACTCAAGTTTAAATGGAAATGTGAGTGGACCTATTTCTTTCTTGGGCTTTAAAAAAGAGCCTATGTGTGATTGGTCCCTTTCCCTTTTCCTTGACATAGCAATCATGGAAGCATAGAAATGGTACTTCTCTCAGCCTAATATTGTTCACAAAATGAAGAAATTCAGGTCTAGAAGTGATCTGCTCAAGGTCACGCAGCTTGCACACACATGTCTTTGAACCAACCCAAGCAAGGCAGTCTGGCTCCAGAGTCTGTAATCTCAACATCCACATTCTATATTCCTACTAATTTGTAAGAGAATTGCTGTTTCTCTACATACCTGCCAACTGACCAGCTTCTTGAATATTTACCAACCTGAAAGGTAGAAAGTAATCCTTATTGAGGTTGAGTGTATTTTTACATTTTCTGGCTACACTGATTAACCTGTGAACTACTTGTTCAAATCGTTCGCCTGTTTCCCTTTGGGTTGCTTGCCTTTTCGTGATTTGTAGCTCCTGCCTTCATAACCATCTTGCTTGTTTCAGTGACTGACCCTGAGGCTTGTTACATTGGCACAGAGCCATGGAAACCCAAAGAAGCTGTGGAGGAGAATGGTGTTATTACTGACAAGGCAGACATATTTGCCTTTGGCCTTACTTTGTGGGAAATGATGACTTTATCGATTCCACACATTAATCTTTCAAATGATGATGATGATGAAGGTATGAATACAATTTCTAACATAAATCCCAATCTCTTCATTTCACACTAAAGATTATATAATTTTATCTTTCTAAGATATGTATTAGTACTGATGACTGATTTGGTACCACCAAGGTTTAATCTCACACAAATGAGACATAGATTGAGAATAGGGAGAAAAATTGAGGCTATCCAGAGAAGCAAAACATTATCTTAAAAACTCCCCTTTCCTGAGAAAATGATTGATTGGAAAACTATCACAGGAAGGGTAAAAGTAGGGGTCGATAACCTATAAATCCAAGACTAAAGCAAATCTACTTGATGGCAGGACAATTGAAGACATTTCCATTCTGTCTGTGGCAGAATGGAAAGCATACTGGACCATAAATTCTTGTTTCAGGAGAAGGGTGAGCTATTAAACTTTTCCATGACATAAAGTGATTTTGTTTATTGTTTCAATCTCTAACTCCTTCAAGATAAAACTTTTGATGAAAGTGATTTTGATGATGAAGCATACTATGCAGCGTTGGGAACTAGGCCACCTATTAATATGGAAGAACTGGATGAATCATACCAGAAAGTAATTGAACTCTTCTCTGTATGCACTAATGAAGACCCTAAAGATCGTCCTTCTGCTGCACACATTGTTGAAGCTCTGGAAACAGATGTCTAGTGATCATCTCAGCTGAAGTGTGGCTTGCGTAAATAACTGTTTATTCCAAAATATTTACATAGTTACTATCAGTAGTTATTAGACTCTAAAATTGGCATATTTGAGGACCATAGTTTCTTGTTAACATATGGATAACTATTTCTAATATGAAATATGCTTATATTGGCTATAAGCACTTGGAATTGTACTGGGTTTTCTGTAAAGTTTTAGAAACTAGCTACATAAGTACTTTGATACTGCTCATGCTGACTTAAAACACTAGCAGTAAAACGCTGTAAACTGTAACATTAAATTGAATGACCATTACTTTTATTAATGATCTTTCTTAAATATTCTATATTTTAATGGATCTACTGACATTAGCACTTTGTACAGTACAAAATAAAGTCTACATTTGTTTAAAACACTGAACCTTTTGCTGATGTGTTTATCAAATGATAACTGGAAGCTGAGGAGAATATGCCTCAAAAAGAGTAGCTCCTTGGATACTTCAGACTCTGGTTACAGATTGTCTTGATCTCTTGGATCTCCTCAGATCTTTGGTTTTTGCTTTAATTTATTAAATGTATTTTCCATACTGAGTTTAAAATTTATTAATTTGTACCTTAAGCATTTCCCAGCTGTGTAAAAACAATAAAACTCAAATAGGATGATAAAGAATAAAGGACACTTTGGGTACCAGAAGGTGTCTCAGCATTATTTTATACTTCATTGATTTGAGTGTTGTCATTAAACTTGAGTAAATGTGAGGTTTCTTTCCCTCTCTTGGCCTTATTTTGCTAATCTATAAAGTGTTTTGGATCAGTAGTTTCTGTAAGCCACAGTCCCCTGGGAATTTTCCAAATTACTGAATTGCCAATGTAGGTGGTATACCTACATTTGGGTGTAGACAGAATTTTAAAAATTACCGACACAGGGCGTTCTCAGAAACATTAGGAACAACTGCACTCTGAACTTTAAAAATGCCTAGAAATCACTGAAGGCCTTTTGGTATAAGATTGTACCAAGCAATAGGACACAACATTAATTTGCATATATTCCATCAAAATAATGTGACAAGTAAATTGGAAGTTGTCTTAATTTGTAGAAAAACGTATGTATAATTTTGCATCCTGATACTCAATAGGGTCTCTTATCCTCACTCTGACATGTGTCACTCTTCTTTGCCAAGCCAACAGAGCAGCTTCTCCAGGGCATTCTTTTCCTAGCAGGAATAGCAGTTCCTGCTTTAAGACTTAAAGCAGGAACTGGATCTTTCTTGAATTGGCTCTTTAATACATAAGCCATTGCTTTTCATTGAGAAATTTATTTCCACTTCCTACAGTTGAGATATCTAATAGGAATAAACTAATACCAAGGACAAGACCAGCAAATTCACAGCCCTTGTCTATGGTAGACATTACAAAATAATCCCAGCATGCACTGCCCCTTGAGTCTGGTGAGGTCCTAGAAATCCTCAACACAAGATTGCAGACAATCTGCTACCAACTGGAAGAAAATTTTTTTTATTCTTGTTCTAGAACTTGCTCTAAGTCTCAGATGTTATCTTTTTGGACATTTGCCTCATTCTCAAAAGAGCAACATGTGACTTGGCTGAGGGCTTTTTTTTTTTTTTTTTTTGAGACAGGGTCTTGCTCTGTCACTCAGGCTGGAGTACAGTGGGGCAATCATGGCTCACTGCAGTCTCAACCTCCCAGGCACAAGTGATCCTTGCACCTCTGCCTCCCACTCCGAGTAGCTGGGACCACAGGTGTGTGCCACCACACCTGGCTAATTTTTTTTTTTTTATTTTTTGTAGAGACAGGGTTTTACCAAGTTGCTCAGGCTGCTCTGGAACTCCTGAGCAACCTCTGTCTAGGCCTCTCAAACTGCTGGGATTATAGGCGTGAGCCACCGTGCCCAGGACTACCTTTACACTGAATTAATTAGTAAATCAAAATAGCCTTCTCTCAAGTGGCTTTCTCACCTCCCAGGAAATCTTTCCCTTTAGAATCTGTAGAAGCCTCCAGGAGCTTGTTATGCCTCCATAAAAGGAGATAATCAGCAGCTACTTGAGAAATGTTGAAGATGATTCTTTCATGTCTCCTGGTACCTATTTAATCTTCTACAATCTGTTGATTAGAATAAAAATTAGAAAGGATTTTAAACTAGACAAATGCTACATATAAAAACTATATATAAAAAAATGCTATATATATCAGCTAAGAATTTGGGAAAAACAAAACAAGTCTCCCGTCTTAGACTACTATAACAAAAATACCATAAACGAGGTGCCTCAAACCACAGAAATTTCTCATAGTTCCAGAGACTAGGAAGTCCAAGATCAAGATGGTATCTGGTGAGGGCATCCTCATAGAAGGCACCTTCTGGCTGTGTCTTTACATGGTGGACAGAGCAAGGGAGCTCCCCGACCCTCTATTTTTATAAGGGCATTAATCCCTAAGGGTTCCTTCCACCATCATGACCCATTCACCTTCCTAAAGACACTACTTACGATGGTATTACATCATCTTGGGGGACAGGGTTTCAACATACAATTTTTGGTAGAACACATTCAGACCATAGTACCTCCCTTCCAATGGGGGGAAAAAATTAAAACTTACAGGAAATAGAAAACAAACCTATGATAGGATTAACAATGCCAATCTTCAAAAATACTAACAAAATTGATAAACCCCTAGGCAAAACTCATCTGTGGAGAAAAAAGACATGTCATGAATGAAAAAACCTTTACTACAGATCCTACAGATACCCAATCTTATTCAAGAACACATGAAAAGTCCAAAAGAAAACTAGTTCACTGAAGCCAATAACATTAAAAAGAAAAACATCAAGACCAAATTGGGTTTGGTTTATTTAGTTCAGGGAGGCTAGATTGCTTTAACATTCAAAGAACAATGTAACCGCCATATTAACAATAAAGAAAAATCAAAATCATCTCCAAAGATAGAAGAAAGACTTTTTATAAAATCTGAGTATCTGTTCAAGATGTTTGAGAGCTTCCTAGAAACCTAGGAATAGACAGAGGAACTTCCTTAATATTAGAAATTTATCTACAAAGAAACTATAAACCTTATATTTAATAGTAAAATGTTGAAAACTTTACCTATTATCAGCAATGAAACAAATATGCCCCCTACCATTGCTTTTATTCAACACTGTACTAGACTGGCAATCTTAGAAATGCAATATTGTAAGAACAAAAAAGCTGTAAGATTCTAAAAGAAAACTCATTCACAGATATTATGTAGATAGAAATAGATAAATTAGAATTAATTAAGTTTAGAAAGATTGTGAATACAAAGTCAAAACAGAAAACTTGTAGTTTATATATCAGCAAACAAGATGTAACTTAAAACACTTTTCCCAATGGCTTAAAAAAAAGTAACAGCTGGGCATACTGGCTCATGCCTATAATCCCAGGACTTTGGGAGGCTGAAGTGGGTGGATTATTGGAGGTCAAGAGTTAAAGACCAGCCTGGCCAACATGGTAAAACCCCGTCTCTACTAAAAATACAAAATTAGCTGGGCGTGGTGGCATGCACCTGGAATCCCAGCTACTGGAGGCTGAGGCAGACAATAGCTTGAACCCGGGAGGTGGAGGTTGCAGTGAGCCAAGATAGTGCCAATGCACTCCAGCCTGGGCAACAAGAGCAAAACTCCGTCTAAAAAAAAAAAAAAAAAGAAAGTATCCAATACTTGAGCAAGTCTAAAAATCAGTCCTCCCAAATTGATCTATAGATCTGACACAATTCCAATAAAATCCCAACAGGCTTTTTTGTTGTTGGTAGCTTTTTGTGGAATAAATTGATTCTAAAATGTATATGGAAATGCAAAGTCCAATAATAGACCGAAGAAAAAAAGTGGGACCATGTACTAATACTATAGCAAACATTGATACTATAATTAACACAGTCTGGTATTAGCATAAATAGAACCTATATAAAATTAGTAAGAATACACAGGCAGAAATAGACATACACATATATTGGCACAATTTATGACAAAGACCCCCAGTAGAATGCCTGAAACCATGGACAGTACTCAACCTGATTGCCCTCAATAGGAATATGTTTCTGTGCATGTCTTCTGCCCACAAATTTAATGCCTTTTCCATCTTAACTGAGCACTTATCACCCCACTGTGGCTACTCTGAATGGTGGGCAATTTAAAACTTATGAATTCCTTACTTCTAGAAATTTCCATGCAATATTTTTGGTAACAAACTGTGGGAAGCGAAATTGCAGATAAGGGGGGATGTACAAGGTGATCTAGGCTCATCTTGTACATTCATTGCCCTATCCCTAGAATGAGCCATTTCTCCAAAGAGCCCCAGGTCCTTTTGTGGAAGAAGGTATTAGTAAGCAAGATCTGGCTGGGTGCCGTGGCTCACACCTATAATCCAGCACTTTGGGAGGCTGAAGTGGGAGGATCACTTCAGCTCAGGAGCTCAAGGGCCTCAGGAGCTTAAGGACTGGCTGGGCACCATGGTGACACTCTGTCTCTACTAAAAAAAGAATACAAAAATTAAGCAGACGTGGTGACACACACCTGTAGTCCCAGCTACTTAGGGAGCTCAGGCGGGAAGATCACTTGAACCTGGGAGGTCGAGGCTGCAGTGAGCCGTGTTTGTACCACTGCACTTCAGCCCAGGGCGGGGGAAAAAAAGAAAGAAACCAACCAAGATCTGGGTGGTAGGTGTGCTCATTGCCATTAGGGTATCATTGCTTTGAGACCATCTCAGTGCACTTGCTTCTTGTATGTGTTATACTTAAAAACAAAACAAACAAACAAACAAAAAACACCCAACCAAGACAACAGTATCAATAGCAAATCATGCTAAATATTTAAAATAGAAATAGTTCTTGAAATACAACATATCTAAGACATACTGAAGTGAGGCAAGATGCAAAATAACTGCATATGTATTTAGTTATTCTAAAGTAATAAGCACTAAACTCAAAGCAGGATTAAGGGAAGCCTCTTCTTTTTTTTTTTTTTTTTTTTTTTTTTTTTTGAGACGGAGTCTCGCTCTGTCGCCCAGGCCGGACTGCGGACTGCAGTGGCGCAATCTCGGCTCACTGCAAGCTCGCCTCCCGGGTTCACGCCATTCTCCTGCCTCAGCCTCCCGAGTAGCTGGGACTACAGGCGCCCGCCACCGCGCCCGGCTAATTTTTTGTATTTTTAGTAGAGACGGGGTTTCACCTTGTTAGCCAGGATGGTCTCGATCTCCTGACCTCATGATCCACCCGCCTCGGCCTCCCAAAGTGCTGGGATTACAGGCGTGAGCCACCGCGCCCGGCCGGGAAGCCTCTTCTTTTGGCAATCTCTATTTCTGTATTATCTGAATTTTATTTAACATATACTATTTTCATAATAAAATAATTAAAATCAGATTTAGTTGTATAAAATAAAGAATTTTAATTGATTCATAACAAAAGCATTAAGCAAACAAAATGTTAATTAAAAATTTTAAATAAAATATTTAAAAGAAATAAGTGCAGAAAATAGCATTAAAATGTTTGCATAATTACATACATTTTAATACTTCCACATTCTTTTGGGGACCCAGGCTTTTAAATTTTGGAAACATGTTAACTTACAGGCAAATAAAATGAATGCAGATGAATAGTTTCTACATATAATTACAATCTGGAAAACGACTTGCCTAGAGTCTTATTGCCAGTTAGCAGTTGAATGATTTTTCAGAATCAAAACAATTTGAACAATGTTTTGCTTTTTAAAGTATCCAAGAATTACACTAGAAAAATGTGTGAACATTTAAGTGTATTTACACAGTTCCATGGTCTCTCATCCACCAGCCTATGTATATTTACTAACCTTGGTTCTATTACCATACATTTTGTAAAGACTTTTGCCAGGTATCTCAGAACAAGTAAGGTGCATTTTAAACAAGCAAAAAATTAGAAAATGAAAACATCTAATCCAACTAGGCATTTTGTTAATGACATCAATTGTCAGTAACAGGTTCCCAAAGTAGTACTACCAATATTTCCATACAACAAAAATTAACTAAGTAATAGTGCAATTACTAAGTATAATTTTAATTAAATCTGATGACAGGTAAACATTTATTTTCAAAAAGATTGAACACTAAGCTATCAAATTCTGCTCTACAGAAATGCATATGGGATAATCTTATTCCTTACCATCTTGTTACAAATAAATTCTAAACATTTTCTAAAGATATTCAAACTGAGTTACTACAGACGAGTGCCTATCAAGTGAAGACTCTGTATAGAGAAGTCAGGAATTAGGCTGGGCACGGTGGCTCATGACTGTAATCCCAGCGTTTTGGGAGGATCGCTTGAGCCCAAAAGTTTCAGACCAGCCTGGGCAACACAGTGAGACCCATGCCTCTATTAAAAAAAAAAAAAAATTCAGGAATTCCCTTTACAAATTGGGCACAGAAATTACTTGCCCAAGTTTAAATTTGCCTGTTTGCTTCTGATGTGGCATTAGATAATCCTGGTCTAAGAGTGGGCTTTATAAAAGACCAGGTCACATTTCTAGAGAAAAATCACTTTGTATTTAATACTCTTACAAAGAGTCAGGTAATTTTCCAGTTATAGCTACAAAGTTTCATAATTAAACATTCAGAGTGCTAATCAGGGAATCACCCAAAGATTTTTCCTTTGAATCCCCAGATAATTTTCAACAAATTTATTCCTGACTTTTCAACTCATAAGGAACAAAACTGTGATATGTGTGTGTGCGTGTGTGTGTGTGTGTGTATGAGTGTGAGTCTCGGTATTTTTTATTTTGATATTAAATAGTTTGTATTTTATAATAAGGAGCTCTTTGAACTTATCCAGATAGTAACTCCTTTATAACTGAAATCAGCTTTAACTATTAAAATTATATACGAGGAAATTAGGGGTGTTGCAGTACTTGGTTGCAAATAACTTGCCATCTGGTGTTGGGTCAGAAAATGCTATTTCATCAGTGCTGAGAAAACAGCCAAACATGAAGCAATTCCTAAAAGAGAAGAAAAGATGATTTAATGATGGAAGCAACTTAACATTCTAATTAACATGAGCACAATTTAAGTAAATACTCTTGACTTAAATCAACCTTATTTTTAGTAAGTGAAAAAATGCCTTATATTTTAGAGACAGAAGTCTAATGATATCATTTCACAGATGGGAAAACTAAGGTCCAGAAAAAATTCTGATGAGAGGCAAAGGGAACCATCCACCTAACTCTAGGATATCCATGGTAAAGAGCAACTAATATAAGATCATATTGCTAGGCCAGGCGCAGTGGCACACGCCTGTAATCCCAGCACTTTGGGAGGCCAAGGCGGACGGATCACGAGGTCGAGACTATCCTAACACGGTGAAACCCTGTCTCTACTAAAAATACAAAAATTAGCCGGGCATGGTGGTGCATGCCTGTAGTCCCAGCTACTTGGGAAGCTGAGGCAGGAGAATCACTTAAACCCAGGAGGCGGAGGTTGCAGTGAGCCGATATCTCGCCACTGCACTCCAGCCTGGGTAACAGAGTGAGACTCCAACTCAATCAAAAAATAAAAATAAAAAAAAGATCATATTGTTAATTAAAAGCCAAAGATAATTAGAACCAAAAAAAATCAATCTTAAGCAGTAACTATATATATATATATATAATATATATATATATATATATATATATTTTTTTTTTTTTTTTTTTTTTTTGAGACAGAGTCTCACTTTGTCGCCCAGGCTGGAGTGCAGTGGCACGATCTCTGCTCACTACAAACCTCCGCCTCCCGGGTTCAAGCGATTCTCCTGCCTCAGCCTCCCGAGTAGCTGGGATTACAGGCATGCACCACCACACCCGGCTAATTTGGTATTTATTTATTTTTTTTTAGTAGAGACAGGGTTTCTCCATGTTGGCCAGGATTGTCTTGAACTTCCAACCTTAGGTAATCCACCCGCCTCGGCCTCCCAAAGTACAGGGATTACAGGCAAGAGCGACCGTCCAGCCTATATATATTTTTTCAATGTAAACATCCACTGAGAGCTTTAAGAAGGGAAAAACTAATCTGCATTTTGACTACAACTCTCCTTGATCTTGCTTACCTTAGGATTAAAAGTAATAAGGAAATGGTTAAAAGAATTCAACATCTCCTACAGCTTGTTTGTGAAAGAAAAAAAAAAAGAATTAATCAAAATTGAGGGATATTCTATAAAATAACTGACTTGCACTCTTCAAATTTTTCCATGTCAAAAGACTGAGAAATTGTTCCAGATTAGGGAAGATGAAGATTAAAGAGACGTGAAAACTAAATGCTGAATGTGATACTGGGCAAAAAAAAAAAAAAAAAAAAAAATGCCATGAAGGACATTTGAGACAACAGACAAAAGTGAAATATGGACTGTCAAATAAAAGCATTACATCAATATTAAATTTCCCAAATTTGATAACTGTATCATGGTTATATAAGAGAATATTCTTGTTTTTAAGAAAAACACACCAATGCATGAAGGGGTAAAGGGGCATAATATATGTAACAAAATAATTCAGGAAGGTTATCTAAACATAGAATGGTAAAGCAAATGAGGTAAATGTTGAACTTAATAGATCTTGACAAAGGCTTCCTACTACTCTTGTTCTTTCGTAAGTTTGAAATTATTTCGGAATAAAAATTTAGAATTTGATTCAATTAGAAGATATAAGCTTCTAATATATTAACTATAATTAAATACATAATATGGTAGAACTAGGTTAGATACTGGTATTCCTCATACCAAATTTATATATCTAATATAAAACATAGAAAAGTATTTCATAACTAATCAAACAAAAATCTTTAAGATACCAATTTTTCCTACTGATACCCTTTGTAAGTATGTGTGATTGACTAGGATTTATGGCCCAAGATCCGGTCCCCATAATGGTGTTGGCATTTATTTTTTAAAAGTGGCATAGAATGCAAGAGGCTTGAATAACACTATTCCAAAGTGTGGTCTTTGGTTTGGTTAAAGTGTGCTTACTGGTTTGTAACCTATTATCTACACGATGAAATATGTGTAGAAATTGAGAGAGCAAGTGTTGTGAAACTCATCCATATAACCTAGATTAGGTAAATTAGCAAACAGGCTTGTTTGTGACATTGGAAACTTTAAACATCAATACATAGTGTCAGTTCAAAGTGTGTACATGGGAATTAAAACTGGACACTCATTTTTTTGGTTGAGATATAACTCATATACTGTAAGACTCACCCTTTAAAAGTGTACAACAGAGTGGTTTTGTGTATATTAACAAATATTGTCCAGTCACCACCACTATCTAATTCTAGAACATTTTTATCATCCCAAACCCCGTACTCATTATTAGTTGCTCTCCATTCATCTTTCCTCAGTCCCTGGAAACTACACATCTACTTTCTGCCTCTGGATTTGCCTGCCTCTTATGGACATTTTATGTAAATATAATCATACAATGTGCGATCTTCTGCAACTGATTTATTTCAATTAGCATAATGTTTTCAAGGTTCCTCCATGTTGCAGTGTGTGCCAGAATTTCCTTTATGGCTGAATAACATCCCATTGTTATTATTGTATCGATATATCACATTTATCCATTAATCACAGATTGGATTATTTACACTTTTTTGGCTTTTATAAATAATCCTGCTATGAACCTTCATGTGCAAGGTTTTGTGTGGACATGTTTTCTTGAGTATATACCTAGGAGTGAAACTGCTAGGTCACATAACAGTTTAACTTTGAGAAACCATCAGATTGTATTCCACACCAACTGCACCAGTTTACATTCCTACCAGCAATGTACAAGGGTTTCAGTTTCCTCTACATCCTCACCAACACTTGTCTGTTTGATTACAGTCATCCTACTGGGTATAAAGTGGGATCTCACTATGGTTTTGTTTTGTGATTTCCCTGATAAAGATGTTGAGCATCTTTTTATGTTGAATTAACCATTTGCAATTTATCTTTGGAGAAATGTCTACTGAAATTCTTTGTCCATTTTTAAATTAGGTTGTCTTTTTATTGTGTTATAAGAATTATTTTATGGGTATTAGACCCTTAGACAAATGATTTGCAACTATTTTCTCTCGTTCTATGGATTGTCTCACAAATCCACTTTTTTAGTTATGCTTATGAGTTATACCAAGTCTTCATTATCTAGTCACTATCAATGACCATGTACAGCTTCTGTAATTTTTCAAACCTTTACTTTGTATAGATTATATTTATTGAAGCGTAATTTCACATCTGTTAAGTCTAAAACAATTTGAGATTGTAGTTTTGTTTTTTCTATTTTTTTCTAGCAATCCATTTTTATTTTATTAGTGTTGGTCTGTGACAAATTAAACTAGTCCTTTAGCACAGGTAGTTTGAAAAGCAGTGGGCTAGTATGTTTCAGACCTGGAATGTTGCACCCTAGACTGAGTACATCTAGTATGGTTTTTCTAGTACCAATACCTTCCTTAGCCTGACTTTAATAGTATTTATACTGAAGTATCTTACCAATATCCTTCCCTTTAGCTCAGAAGCCGAGAGGTTCTGGGAAAGCTATGAATCTAAGGTTCTGGATCTAGATCCATTTTATTTCTTACCTGAGGGTATCAACCAGTCGTCTTGCAATGCGCTTTCTTCTCTTCAGTCTGAAAACCCAGATTCTACTTATCCCACAGACTGCAGGTTCTGGTACATCTGAACATTGCCAAGCCCTAGGACATTCCGTAGAGCTTGGGGATTCTGGACCAATTGGTTCAGACAGGACACGAAATGCCTGCAATGATATACAGAAGCATCTATAGCTAACACCACAGATGAGTTCACACTGCTTTAAAAAAAAATTCCTTAAATAAGTATCAAAAATTTAACTTATATCTCCAAGTATGTTAAAAAATATTTTCTATTTCTTAAATTCTTATCCCTTTAGTCACACAATGCTTTAAAAAAACTAGTGGTGTTGAGACATTCACAAATTCTAGTGTGTCCCATAGCATTACGAGACTTTCCTCTTAAACAATTGTAAACATTAGACTCTTCCTTTTAATAAAGTATATAAAACTCTCTCATTCTCTCCATCCTAAAATGTATATATGACCACCTAAAGAAACCAGTAACACTAAAGAAGATTTATATCTATTAACTATGAAATTTGGTTGGCATTTCGTTTCTTAAACATTTTTATTTTGAAATAGATTCATAAGAAGTTGAAAAAAACCACTACAGAGGAGCATGTATCCTTCCCTGAGTTTTCCCCAATGATTACATCTTCCATAACTGGTATAATACCAAAACCATGAAATTACCATTGGTATAATGGTGTGTATAGTTTCATGACACTTAATCACACCTGTATATACATTTAACTACCATCACAATCAAAATGCAGAACTATTGAGTCACCACAAAGATCTTCTTCCTCATTATAGTCACATCCACACTACCCCCTCTCCCATCCTCAGTCCCTGACAACCACCAATTTATTCCCCATGGCTATGAGAATGTTATATATTATATAAATGAAATCATATACCATATGACCTTTTGAGATTGGCTTTTTCCCACTCAGCATAATGCCCCTGAGACTCATCCAAGTTGTTAAGTGTATCAATTCTTTGTTACTTTTTATAGCTAAGTAATATTCCATCATATGGCTGTATCATAGCTTATCATTCACCTAAAGCATTTAAGGACACTTTGGTTGTTACCAGGTTTTGGCTATTACTAATAAAGCTGCTATTAACATTCTTGTACAGGTTTTTGTGTGTACATCAGTTTTCCTTTGTTTTACTTAAATGCCCAGGAGAACAATGGCTGGATCATATAGTAAATACATGTTTAGTTTTTTTTTTTTTTAAAGAGACGGAGTCTCACTCTGTGGCCCAGGCTGGATTGCAGTGGCACGATCTCGCTCACTGCAACCTCCACCTCCTGGGTTCAAGTGATTCTCCTGCCTCAACCTCCCAAGTAGCTGGGATTACAGGCATGCACCACCACGCCCAGCTAATTTTTGTATTTTTAGTAGAGGCGGGGGGTTTCAGCATGTTGGTCAGGCTGATCTCGAACCTGACCTCAGGTGATCCACCTGCCTTGGCCTCCCAAAGTGCTAGGATTACAGGTGTGAGCCACTGCGCCTGGCCTATGTTTAGTTTTTAAAGAAACTTCAAAACTTTTTCCAGAGTGGCTGTAATATTTTACATTCCTACTAACAAGGTGTGAGAGATCTGGTTTCCCCATATCCTCACTAGCATTTGGTATTGTCTCAATTCTTTACCTACTGTTACCCTTCTGACAGGTGTGTATTTAGTTTTTAATTACGAACAACACAACATTGTTTCTGACCTGAGAGTAGAAGAGAACAGTTAGTTAGCTACATCTTGCCTATTATCAGGACATAACAGTCTACTTCTTTGAGATCGAAGAAGGAAAAGGCCTCTTAAATAAATACACAACATAAAAAGATGTAAACTGTAAAATTAGTAATGTTGAAGGGAAAAAAAGTGCAGAGCTTTTGTAGGTGATATAAATTGTTATCAGCTTAAAATAGGCTGTTATATTATAGGATATTTTATGTAAGCCTCATGACCATAAAGCGAAAACCTATAGTAGATACATAAAAGATAAAGAAATCAAAGCACACCACTACAGAAAATCATCAAATCCCAAGGAAGACAGCAAGAGAGGAAGAAGGGAATATATATAAAACAACCAGAAAACAAAACAAAATGGCAATAGTAAATCCTTATTTATCAATAATTACTTTAAGTGTAAATAGAATATGTTTGCCAATCAAGACACACAGAGTGGCTAAATGGATAAAAACACAAGACTCAACTAAATATTGCCTACAAAAGACTCACATAGACTGAAAGTGAAGGGTCAGAAAAACGACTCCATGCAAATGGAAACCGAAAGAGAACAGGAAGTACCTACACTTACATCATACAAAATAGATTTTAAGTCAAAAACCATCAAGAGACAAAGAAGGTAATTATATAATAAAAGGGTCAATTCATTAAGATAAAACAGTTGTAAATACATATGCATCTAACATTGGAGCACCTAAATATATAAATATTTAGGATTCTGAAAGGAGAAATAGATAGGAATACAAAATTGTAGGGGACTTCAAGATCCTACTTTCAACAATGGATACATCGTCCAGACAGAAAATCAATAAGGAAATGAACTTTTTTTTTCTTTCTTAAGAGATAGGGTCTCACTATTGCCCTGAGCGGAGTGCACTGGTGCGATCATAGCACACTGCAGCTTCGAACTCCTGGGCTCAAGTAATCTTCCTGCCTCAGCCTCCTAGGTACCTGTGACTATAGGCATGCACTACCATGCCTGGCTAATTTTTGTAAAGACAGGGTCTCACTATGTTGCCCAGGCTGTTCTTGAACTCTTAGCCTCAAGCTATCCTCCTGCCTCAGCCTCCCAAAGTGTTGGGATTACAGGTGTGAGCCACTGAGTTCAGCCAGTAAACACTGAACTTACACTTCAGACCTAATGGACCTAACAGAAACACATATAGTATTCCATCCAATAGCAGCGGAATGAATGCACACTCTTTTCAAGTGCACACAGAACATTCATAGCAGTATAAAATTAGAGATCAATGACGGGAGGAAAAGTAGAAAACTGACAAATATGTGAAAATTAAACCACATGCTCCTGAACAACCAATGGATCAAAGAAATTAAAAGGGAAATTGACAAATTTCTTGAGACAAATGAAAATGGAAACACAACACACCAAAACCTATGGAATGCAGCAAAAGCAGTTCTACATAAAAAAAGAAGAAAGATCTCAAGTAGCCTAACGTTACACCTCAAATAATTAGAAAAAGAAGAATAAAGCCCAAAGTTAGTAGAAGGAAGAAAATAAAGATCAGTGGAGATAAATTAAACAGGGACTCAAAAAATAGAAAAGATTCGCAAAATGAAGAGTTGGTTTTTTGAAAGATAATTGACAAACCTTTAGCTAGACTAAGAAAAAAGAAGACTCAACTAAACAAAATCACAAATGAAAGAGGAGACATTACAACTGATTATCACAGAAGTACAAAGGATCGTAAGAGACTATGAATAATCATATATCAACAAATTAGGTAACCTATAAGAAATAAATTCCTAGAAGCATACAACCTACCTATACCAAATCATGAAGAAACAGAAAATCTAAACTAACCAATAAAAAGGAGATTCAATCAGTTTAAGAAAAAAAAAAAAACTTGCATCATAGGAAAGCCCATCTGTAATGACATCACTGCTAAATTCTACCAGATATTTAAAGAACTAATACTAATCCTCAAACTCTTCCAAAAAACTGAAGAATACCTCCAAAGTCATTTTGCAAGGCCAGATTAATCTGATACCAAAGCCAGAAAAGGACACTACAAGAGAAGTTACCAGCCAATATCCCTGATAAACAGATGCAAACTAGCACATTAAAAGCATAGTACACCATGATCCAGTGGACTTTATCCCTGGATGCAAGGATGGCTCAATACATGCACATCAATGTGTTACACCATATTAACAGAATGAAGAACAAAACTATATGATCATCTCAATACAGAAAAGGCATCCAACATCCTTTCATGATAAGAACTCTCAACAAATTAGGTACAGAAGGAATGTACCTCAATATACTAAAGGCCATATATCACAAGCCCACAACTAACATCATACTTAGCAATGAAAAGTGGAAATCTTTTCCTCTTAATCAGGAACAAGACAAGGATGCTAACTCTCATCATTTCTATTCTACATAGTTCTGGAATTCCTCGCCAGAGCAATTAGGAAGAAAAAAGAAAGGCATTCAAATTTAAAGGAAGAAGTTAAATCATCTGTTTGCAAATGACATGAACTTATGTACAGAAAACCCTAAAGCCTCCACCAAAAAAACTATTAGAATAAACAAATGCAGAAAAGGTGCAGGATACAAAATCAACATACAAAAGTCAGTAGTGTTTCTATACAGGAAAAACAAACTATGATCTATCTTAAAAAGAAGTCAAGAAGACAATCCACTTATAATAGCATAAAAAACCCCACTTATGAATACATTTAACCAAGGAGGTGAAAATCCATACACTGAAGACCAGAAAACACTGATGAAAGAAGATGAAGAATATCTACATAAATGGAAGGATATCCAGTGTTCATGGCTTGAAAGAATTAATATCGTTAAAATGTCCATACTACCCAAAGCAATCTACAAATGCAATGCAATCCCTATCAAAATTCTAATGGCATTTCCACAAAAATACAAAAAACAGTCCTAAAATCTTGTGGAACCATAAGAGATTCCAAACGGCCAAAGCAATCTAGACCAAAGAGTAAAGCTGAGGGGCACTGCACTCCTACTGGCATTAAAAAACACAGCAGCCAATGGAACAAAACAGATAAAATAAATCCAGGCATTTAGAGTCAACTGGTGTCTGACAAACATGCCAAGAACAAACAATGGGGCAAGGACACAGTCTCTTCAATAAATGGTGTCGGGAAAAATGAATATCCACAAACAGAAGAATAACATTGGAGACTTATCTCAAACCACATACAAAAATCAACTCAAAATGGATGAAAGACTTAAAATGAGGGACCTGAAACTGTAAAACTATAAGGAAAAAAATGAGAAAAAAGCTTGACATCGGTCTGGGCAATAATTTTTTGGCTATGACCCCAAAAATGTGGGCAATAAAAGAAGAAATAAATGTAACATCAAACTGAAAAGTTTCTGCATAGTACAGAGTGGATAAACACAAACTAACCAACCTACTGATTGGAAAAAAAATTTGTGTATACAATAGGGGATAATATCCAAAATATATAAATAACCCAATACCAAGAAAACAAATACTCTGATTAAAAAATGGGCAAAGAACCAGAATAGATATTTTTCAAAAGAAGACATACAAATCAGGAACAGACATATGAAAAAATGCTCATTCAACATTACTAATTCATCAAGGAAATGCAAATTAAAACAAGATCACCTCACGCCTGTTAGAATGATTACTATAAAAATGCAACTACCATATGCAGCAATCCCACTTCTGAGTGTATATCCAAAGGAACTGAAATCAGTATGTTGAAGAGAAATCTGTACTCTCATGTTCATGGCAGCATTATTCATAGCCAAGATATGTAATCAACGTTAAGTGTCCATCAATGGATGAATGAATAAAGAAAATGTGGTACATATACAGGTGGAATACTATTCAGCCTTTAAAAAGGAAATCCTGACATTTGCAACAACATGAATGAACCTGGAGGACATCATGCTAAGTGAAATCAGTCAAGCAAAAAAGAAAAATAGTGCAACATCTCACTTACATAC
This sequence comes from Homo sapiens, assembly GCF_000001405.40. NCBI lineage: Eukaryota > Metazoa > Chordata > Mammalia > Primates > Hominidae > Homo > Homo sapiens. The sequence continues at coordinate 27,793,970 of NC_000008.11, read as the reverse complement.
TGAATCTAAAGAAGTTGACTTCATAGAAGCAGAGTAGAATGGTGGTTGCCAGAGGCTGGGGGAGTGAGAGATGGGAGAAATGGGGAAACGTTGGTAAAGGGTACAAAGTTTAAGTTCGCATGAGTAAGTTCTGCAGATCTATTGTATGGCATGACTGCAGCTAATGTATACTTGAAAATTGCTAAAGGCCGGGTGCGGTGGCTCATGCCTGTAATCCCAGCAATTTGGGAGGCTGAGGCAGGTGGATCAGGAGGTCAGGAGTTCAAGATCAGCCTGGACAACATAGTGAAACCCCGTCTCTACTAAAAATACAAAAATTAGCCAGGCATGGTGGCACGCGGCTGTAGTCCCAGCTACTTGGGAGGCTGAGGCAGGAGAATTGCCTGAACCCAGGAGGTGGAGGTTGTGGTGAGGCGAGATCGTGCCACTGCACTCCAGCCTGGGCAAAAGAGTGAGACTTGGTCTCAAAAAAAGAAAAAAAAAAAAAAAAACAAAGAAAAAGAAAATTGCAAGGAGAGTAGATTTAATGTTCTCATCACAATAAGTTGGTAAGTATGTGAGGTATAGCTATATTAGCTTGATTTAGTCATTTTACAATGTATACCTATATCAAAATATCACATGTACACTGTAAATATTTGCAATTTTTGTCAGTTATACCTTAATAAAGCTGAGGGGGAAGGAAAAGGCCAAACTGATCACTTATACTGGCAAAAATACAAAAAAGCTGCTTTTCTCTCCAACTTCTAATAACACAAGGAGAAACTACATGTCTTCTAGAACATTGCTAATTAGTACCTAAATTAGATTCTAATTAAGGGATAAGTAATGACTATTTTGCCAAAAATATTAACCTTCACTAAGCCACATGTTTAAAAATTTCAGTTTATAGATTTGTTTACTTAAAATCACTAGACTTTATAATCCAGCTGTGTTAATGACTACATGAACATAAAAGACTGGCTTACCTATCCTGTTTATACAAAGCAAAATTCCAAATATTAATGGAAATAAATAACTTCAATTATCCACTAGGTCAAGGATATTTCAGTAGGAAGAGTGTCATTAATGGTAGCAATCTTAAATGCTGAGACTTCTCCCAACTTTTCTTTATTTTGCCTGCAAATTATGCCAATAATTTAAAACAAATATACCATACCTGTTTGATGGGTTCTGCAATTAAACACCCAACTACTCTCTTTTCATCAGATATAAAAAGAAAAGTTTTTATTTTGTTTGGACATTTAGGAACAACTTGCTGGAAGCCCAATTCATTATCAACAAGTTCTTGGACATCTTCTACCTAATGATTTTAAAAACCAAGACAGGTGAATGTTTTAAAAAGTACAATAGAAACTATACATATTTATATACACAGAATGTATGATTACTGTTACTTTAGCCTCTTTAATTTCTATTTCTTAAATTTATACACCTCCAAAATTATTTCACTATTGATGCATGTAGCTGCTACTGTGGAAACAAGGTTTTAAGAACCTATTTTAAAGATCACTTTCAGCAGAAATTGAGACACCTGGGAGGGATAAGGAATAGGAAGCATTAAAACAGATTTGTTTTAGCTTTATTCATTATTCACGGTGGCTAAACATTCAACCTCAGAAACACAAGCAACACCAATATAAGAAATAGACCCTGGGGGCCATTAATTTCTCAACATTGAAAGCTTAGTTTATCTTTCACAAGGGAAAGATGAATATAAAAGATAAGCTGTGGAGCCTTATCTGCCTTCTTTACTCCTTTGTCCTACAATTCTTAGTTTTGTATAAATTGCTATGAAAGTAATCATTAAGCAGGTACCCAAGTGAATTATCTGTCAGCAAAGGCAGTTTGCACTTCAACATAGGTTGATTTCTTGGGGGTGGGGAAAGGCAAGAGATAAAAAGATAATGTTCCATACCTTTTTGATAGCAAAGCTTGGATCATGTGGCAGAACCAACACGATTTTCCCATCCCAAAACTCTGCTACTACACGTTCTTTCTTCCAACCCTGCCAAAGGAAAACAAAAGGGTCACAGTTTAATTTGTGAAGAGGAAAAAAAACCAACATTAAATAATTTGATGTGGAGAAGACAAAAGGCTAAACAATAATAGATATAAAAAGAAGAAGATGAAATCCAACTAAAAGTAATGTGGGAAGAGAAATAAAAGATGCCTAAAACAGGTATCTGGCCTCAACAAGCTGATATCCTATCTGAAGACATGTATATGACTATAAAACAAGGTAAAGAGGTAAAGGTGCGGTGGCTCACACCTGTAATCCTAGCACTTTGGGAGGCCCGGGTGGGTGGATCACTTGAGGTCAGGAGTTCAAGACCAGTGGGCAGGTAGGGGAGGGGTAGAAGAATAAGCCAAATTCCAAGAAAAGGCTAAGTAAAAGTCCTTATACGTTTGTCCCTTATGCTTGACAAGACCACAGATGGGTGCAGTCTTACAACTATTTTAATCTCAACCCCCAGCATAGTGCTTTGGCATGTGGCCCTAGTCTTTGAATGATACTGAAATATTATGGTACTGAAAAGGGTTTAAAAACCTTGGTAAGATGTCAGTGAGCATAATGGGGAAGGTGGTTAACTTGCCTTCAGGCTAAGGCAACTAACTGAATAAGCAAAGGTGCAGAGAATGGCAAAAAAATCTGGTATAACTGACTGATTGGAAAAAATGAGGTTGAAATATTAGAAATAAATTTAATAAGATCCATGACAAAACTATAAAATGTTCCTGAAAGACATCAAAGATATGAATCAATCAGAGGTATACTAAGTTTCTAAGTATACACTAGGTTTATACTACAGTATATACTAAGTTTATATAATAGTATGTGCTATACTAAGTTCCTAAGTTATACTAAGATTTTTTTTCTCTAGAGAAAATGGCATTAGTTTGACTAGTTTGAATAAAAATTCGAATAGGTTTTTCATTTGGGGGGAATGTGATAGGCTTTTTAATTGAAAGAGTAAATGTGCAGAAAAAGTCAAGACATTTTTTACAGAGAAGGATGAAAGGGAACTTACCTAACTATACAGTATGAAGCTACATTTATAAAAGTATGGCACTAGCACAGGAACAAATGGATGGTGCAGAAGTGTCCAATAACAAACCCATTTATATGTGGGAATTTGGTATGCATTAAACGTGGCATTGCTAATCAGTGTGGAAGATAAACTAGTCAAACAGTAATGTTGGCACACTTTGCAGTCCTTTAGGAAAAATATAAGGATCCATCTCTAACACTATGTCTTGAAAAAATTCCAGTGGATTAAATGTCTAAATATAAAATTTATAGCTATAAATTTTTTTAAATATAGGAAAAACTTACTAATTTTGGGACTGAGATGATGTTCCTGACTTAAGAAACCAAAGGTCACAAACTAGCTAAATAAAAATGTTTTCTTTGTAGCAATATACACCACAAAAAGGTTAAAAAAATCCAAGTAATGGTATTTGCTTGTATATGCAGAAAATATCTCTGAAAGATATATAGATGAATCTGTTAATGCTGGATGCCTATAGATAGGGGAACGAGGTTTCTGGAAGGGGTATGGAGAAACACTTTTCACTGGATATACTTTTGCATTCTGTGAAATTTGAATCATGTGAAAGTATTACTATATCAAAAATATAAATTCAAACCTTAAAAAAAGGGACAGGGAGAATGTATTTGTAACCCAGGAATGATATTCAAAATATATAAAGGATAACATGCCCAGTATGTTTCCACAAATTAAAGAAAGAAATCCCGTATGGTATAGTCTGGCTTCATCAGAGAATGTGGCTTATTCCAGCGGCAGGAGCTTAGAGCTGGAGAGGGAATGTGTCATGTGACAAGGTGGGCAGGGGCCAAATATGAAGAGATCTGTCAGCCAAGGTAAGGAGTCTGGGTTTTATTCCTAGTGCAACAGAAAGCTGTCAAATTTGAAGCAGACAATGTCAGAACCTATGTTTTAGAAAGAACTTTCTGGCTGATGTAGAGATCAGATCAGAGAGGGCAAGAATTTAAACTACACACATACACACTTTCTCTTTTGTATGTATTTTATATGCACATATATAGGAAAGGTTGAGGCCAGATTAAAGAGCACCAAACTTCTGGTGGGAACTTTTTCTTTCCAGAAGTATGTAGAATCATACTAGACTTATGTTTCATCTATGGCTTTTTTTTTTTTTTTTTGAGATGGAGTTTTGCTCTTGTCACCCAGGCTAGAGTGCAGTGGCACAATCTTGGCTCACTGCAACCTCCACCTCCTGGGTTCAGGCGATTCTCCTGCCTCAGCCTCCCGAGTAGCTGGGATTACAGGCACCCGCCACCACGCCTGGCTAATTTTTTGTATTTTTAGTAGAGACAGGTTTTCGCCATGTTGGGCAGGCTGGTCTCAAACTCCTGACCTCAGGTGATCCACCCACCTCGGCCTCCCAAAATGCTGGGATTACAGGAGTGAGTCACTGCACCCGGCCTAGACTTATGTTTTAAAACGTTATTTCTGGTAGCACTATGGGAACCCAGAAAGCAAGCCATTTCAATAAACAGGCTAAAAATATTGTGAAGGCATTAACCGTGGCAATAAAAATAGGGAAAAAGGAATGTATCTGAGTAGCAGGTACAATCATAAAGATAGGGCCAATGATAGGATGTGTTTGGACTTGAAAGGTGTTTAATAAATGGGTGGGACCTCTCCTCTCAGAAAAAACCTGGAGAAGTCATGGGAAGGCTATTTTTTTCCTAAGGCTACCTATAAAGACAACACTATAGTGGGAAGAGAGTATCTCTGCAGTCTCTGAATTTTGTATATCTGGACTGTTCAGCTCTGCTCAGAATGCAGTGTTTACAAAATATTTATCTTAAATTGAGATAGTAAGCTTGAAACATCATCATTAAAAGTTAACTTTTCCGGCTGGGTGGTAGAGGTGGTGGAAAAGAAATGTCTCTTTTAGTTTTACTTCTAGAACAAACTGAAAGACTATGTTTTGGCTCACCACATATTTGATTCCTTCCAGAAACCTGTGGTGATGCTGTACATGCTGCATTTCATCTTCAGGGTTGGAAGCAGTATATATCATACCACAAGACTTGCACACAGTAGCCCCAAAATGTTTCTGACCAGCGTCCTATAATTGGGGGGTAAAAAAAGAAACCCATTTAAATATAGCACAAATAGCTCTAAATTAAGTTCCTATAACCATTCATTCAAATTTCACCTAATTTTTTTTTTCCTGCTGACACAAGTGAAAAACTAAATGAAAATCTGGTTACCATATCCTCCTTCCCTCCCCCAAGACAAAATGAAATGAGATCAGGCCAGGCACAGTGGCTCACGCCTGTAATCTCGGCACTTTGGGAGGCTGAGGTGGGTGGATCACTTGAGCCAAGGAGTTAGAGACCAGTCTGGGCGACATGGTGAGACTCCATCTCTTTGGGGGGGGAAAAAAAAGAGACAAGAGACCTAAAAATGCAATAAATTGATGAAAGGGAATTATTTGAATGGACAGTGTAAAAACCAAAGATTTTTTTATTTTTACAAGATTATTTACTAGACTCATGGTTCTAAGAAAGAATAAGATTAAATTGTGGAAATTACAGCTAAAATGAACAACGGAACTTTTTAATGAAACCCTTAAAGACCTGAAAAAGCCTTATTTCAAACAGGGAGGGCAAAAATTTTAGGACTTCTATATTAATTATACAATATTTTTCCTTAAGCAGCTAAGAATATTAAATTATTTTAAACAATATTAAAATTATTTGACCCAAGAGTTGACAAAAAATAGAGTGCAGGAAAAGCACAGATAAATTCAAGAATATTCAATGTCACCACCTACAACTCCCATTCTGTCACATAAAACATTGCTTAATGACATTGAAAATACCAAGTTCTGAACTGTCTAATACAGGGGTTGGCAAGCTTTTCTGCAAAGGGCTAGATAGGAGAAGCTTTGTTTGGAATTTACTCACGATGATGAGCTGGTCTTTTGTTTTTTTACTTGTATCTCTGGTATTAGTATTTTTCTGGATATTGGTCTGTTTCATGAAGTTGACAGATCCCACAGAAAACTGTTCTTCACCTAAAGATCTTGACACAGAAAGTTGATATATATAAATTTACAATTTTGGAGGAATTACAAGGGAAAGAAAGCAGCCATTTATCAGAGTACCTTGCAATTTTTAGTGCTTTCTATCTGACATTAACTTGATGAAGTAATAAGGACAGGAACAAAGAGAAACCTGAGGCCTACTCAGAGAGGGTCAGTAATTTACTCAAGGTAAAGTAACTAGTAAATGGCAGTGTTAACACTCAAATCCTGGTCCTCTGACTCCAAGTCCTAGGGACTTTCTTCCACAATATCAGATGCACATAGATGCACACTTTGGAAATTGACTTTGCCCTTTAAAAAAAGATTTTTTTGCTTTATCAAATCTTAGGACAATATTTACCCCATACAGCTATGAAGAAATTCCTGGGGTACTGGAGAAAATAAGTATAATACTGAACTTCACAGATCCACAGGAAATCAGAGTCACCATCATATTATGACCCAGCACCTGGGCAATGAAGCTTCTAAATTTGCTTTTCCTCATACCAAAAGCAGCATCTCACTACTGTGAAATTCTTAAGGAAAAAAAAAAAACAAAAACATATTTAGGCTGGATAGCTGTAGTTGAGACAACCTTTACCTATTATGAAAGAATGTTGAGATTCACTTATAGAGGTTGCAAACTGGAGCCCCTCAGGCCAAATCTAGCTAGCAGATATGTTTTGGTTGGCCCATATGGTATTTAAAAACTTTGGATTAGCTACCAATATTTTAAAATCTAGAGATTTCACTTAAAAATGTGTATTTCCAATATTAAGAGACATTGTAAGATCACTAAACCTCTACTCCATCAAAGAATCTATGAGTTCGAACTTGGAATAGCACATGCCCTTTTAAGTGGGCAATTCTTCAGCTGGCCCTAGTCTCCACCCAGCCTGCTGGTTCTGTAGGTACTGAGTTTGTAACCCTTGCCTTGTAATGAAAGGACCTTGGTTTTCCAGGGACCAAAGGAGTAGAAATCCCTAAAGAGTAGAAGTAAATAAGAAAGAAAAAAAAAAAAAACCCTAGTACCAAAAGTAAGAAGTTCAAACAACAGGAAAAAAAAAAACCTGACAAAGTAGAAAAAAAAAAAAAAAAAGGTGGAGCATTAGCTCCACTGCATTAAGCTAAGTCAAGCTATCTTCTTACCATTTGTCTGAAAAGTAGTTTTCAAACTGACTTGACAAATCTATGCTAAGAAATACATTTCACATGACTAGTACAGACATAAAACCAAAGTTTCACTAAATATACTTGCTGTGTGAGAGATACACTATTCCACTAAAAATAAATGCTATTGTTGGAGGCCAAAAGAATGAGGGTTGTGACTAACTCAGTATACCACTGGAGGCTATATGAGCAAACAGCAAACTGTTATCATGAATGCAGGTTGTTGGCAAACTGACAAACTGCATCTGCCACCCAGAAGGAATGCTGAGGGCAGTCATGCCCAGGCACAGTGTTTCTTGCGATTATCTATAGGCACATTTGAAGCCTGTTAGCAATCACGTGAACCTGTGATAAATCAAGCAGCTGACCTTTACCTCCTCCTCCCTGCTCTTTCTACCCAATAAATATAAAAGGCTGTAAAAGCTCAGGGCCCTTGCTCACTAGCAGGAGCTCCCGACCCCTTCTTTAAAAAGATCCTTTTGTCTTTGTCTTCATTTCTGCGTTCGTCCACCTTCGTTCAGTCCCATAGTAACTGTCACAAGATATGACACCCTAAACTGGTCTGATGAACTACTAATGGGCTACTTCCTACAGTATGAAAAAACACTTGTTCAAGTCACTGACCCTTTTCACCTTATGCAGCCTTTGCTAGGCTCTCCCTGACTCTGCATGCGTGACAGCCATCTCTTTGCTTCCATTTTAGCAACTCTAACACTATATTTGTTTAAATGTCTACCCTCCTCTAACCATAACCTCCTTGATAGCAAGACCACATTAATTATCTTCACATCTCTAGAACTCAGTATAGTTCAATAGCATGTGATACTCTCTAAATGTTCATTGAATTTTAAAAACCAAAAAACAAATGTGCGACTAAGCACTTTGAGAATCTGTAATCATCTGAAGTAATAGATTAAATCTCAAATTGCTGATAACTGACGTTTTGGAGTCTACAAAAAGAGCAATATCATATTATTTAACAAATAGTATCCCACTGTCTTTTTTTTTTTTTTTGAGATGGAATCTTGCTCTGTTGCCCAGGCTGGAGTGCAGTGGCACCATCTTGGCTCACTGCAACCTCTGCCTCTTGGGTTCAAGCTAGTCTCCTGTCTCAGCTTCCTGAGTAGCTGGGATTACAGGCATGCCCCATCATGCCCAACTAATTTCTGTATTTTTTGGAAAGACGGTTTCCCCATGTTGGCCAGGCTAGTCTCAAACTCCAGACCTCAGGTGATCCACCCACCTCGGCCTCCCAAAGTGCTGGGATTACAGGCATGAGCCACTGCGCCTGGCCTGTCTCTTTATGCTAGACTAAATTAGTATACACTTTTATCAGTTAATTGTGGTAGGCTTCTGCTATGGTTTGAACACGTCCCCCAAAGTTCATGTGTGAAAACTTAATCTCTAGTGCAACAGTTTTGGGAGGTGGGGCCTAATAAGAGGTGTTTAGCTCATGATGGCTCCACCTTCATGAATGGATTAATGTTGATTATTGAAGGATGTGAGGCTGCAAGCCAAGCTCTCTTGTTCTCTCATGCACACTCTCTTGTTCTGCCTTCCGCCATGGGATCATGCAGCAAGAAGGCACCCACCAGATGTGGCTGCTTGATCTCGAACTTCTCAGCCTCTATAACTGTGAGCCAAATAAATTTCTGTCCATTATAAATTACCTAGTCCATGGTATTTTGTGATAGCAACACAAAATGAACTAAGACAGCTCCCATCTTCAATAAAAGGTCATGAAAGATGACAACACAGGTGAAAAATGGGAAAGGTGAGAAAAACTAGAAACAAACCTTTGAAGAGGGAAAGCTGTGCACCCATCCTAATCACTGAGGCAATTTAAGGTGAGGTGCTCTGAGAGTAAGGAAAATGTAGCCGGGAAGTTCCTTGCTTAATATCTGGAGTTATTTATAATCAAATGGGGAGAGAAGAATCAAAGCTGCTTAGGAAGAGGATGTTTAGACCATAAGAAACTACTTTTTCAGAGCTCTGCCGCCTATCATGCTCTCTACCCATCCATGCCTCCTCCATTGCAGTCTTTAGCTTGGGTACTGGTAGCTTCAGCTATACTTTATGATAACATTAAGCTGCTGCAAGTTACTTACTCCTCCAGCCAGCTTTCTCATCTACAACATGGGGTAATAATGGTACCTACATCATGAAGTTGTAAATGCTTATTAAATTGTAGCTACTATACTATCACCCAGGGAAGGCAATATAACCTAATGGGCATTTGGTTCAGATATGGATTCTAGTCCTGGTCCTAGCACCTAATAGCTGTGGCAACTGTGGCTAAATTACTAACAGTTTCTTAGGCTGAAAACAGAATAATAGTATCTAACTTCTAAGTTGTTGTGAAAATTAAGATAATAGATATAAAACTACTTATTATGGGTAAGGTATTATATAATAATGTTAGCAATTATTATTACTCAAGTATATAAAGATCTTTTCCATCTCTCAACTCTTAAGTTCTTATGATGTTTCTATGAGGGACTGATTTCATCACCCTATTCTCAATATTATTCTCCTATTCCCCTTAGTGAGGAAGAAAAAAAAACTCCCCAAATTAAGTAGCATGAGACTGAAAAAGAGACCCAGAGGAACTGTATAATTTACAAGGCTTGGACTTTAAAACAATAACAATTCTCACCTTTTTGAATTGACTGAAGATGCACTGAAGATTGGATAGACAGTGGACTTAGGAGAAACTGGTAGGGGAAAAATCATGATAATGTGTATTACCAAATAAAATCAAAGCTTTAATTCATAAGATTTCAAAGGTTAATAAGACAAAATAATACTCAAGATCAAGATTTAACAAAGAGGCAAAGGTAATTCCATGGAGGAAAAACAGTCCTCAACAGATGGTGCTGGACCAATTAAATGTCCACATGCAAAAAAATTACACCTATTCAAACCTTATGTAAAATTAACTCAAATGGATCACAGATCTAAATGTAAAACTATGACCAGGCGTGGTGGCTCATGCTTGTAATCCCAACACTTTAGGAGACCAAAAGTGGGAGGATCGCCTAAGGCCAGGAGTTCAAGACCAGTCTGGGCAACTTAGTGAGACTGTGTCTCTGTAAAAAAATTAATAATAAAGGAAAAACATAAAACTATAAAATGTCTAGAAAAAATATTAGGGAAAAATCTTCATGAACTTGGATTTGGTAATAAGTTTTTACATACAACAGCGAAAGCATAATATATTTATAAAAAATTAATTTGGACTTTATCAAATTAAAAAATTTTGCTCTACAAAAAATAAAGAGAATGAAAAGGTAAGCCACAGATTGAGGGGAGAAAATATTTGCAATCATATATCTGATCAAAAACTTGTATCCAGAATATATAAAGAATGCTTATGGTATGTCAATAGTTCAGCAATAAATGAGAATTACTACTGATACACCCAACAACATGGATGAACCTTAAATGTATTACTAAGTGAAATAAGCCAGACCCCAAAGGATATATATGTGTAATGTTTTTCCTGGAAAAGGTAAAACTATAGAAATAAAAAGCAGATTAATTGTTGCCAGGGGGCTGAGGGGAAGGAGAGTAACAATAAAATGTAGGCATAGGGAAATTTTAGGGTGAAGGAACTGTTCTGTATGGTACTGTAATGGCTAATACGTAATTCTATACATTTGATAAAACCCACAGAACTGTAAAAATCACAAAGAATGAACTCCAATGTACATCAAATGAGAAAAAAAAATACATATAAATATCAACCAGGCTACTGAGGTAGCCTAAGATGGAATGCAGACTGTGAGAAATGAATCTAACTATATTAGAACTGTATAGCATAACGACACTGAAGGAGGTAGGGGGAAAAAGAGAAGCTGTCCTAAGTAACTTTAGCAAATGGTGTTTTGACTAGAAGTTATAAGGATAAAGACAAAAAGATTGCACTTAAAATTGCACTCTAGGCCGAGTGCAGTGGCTCACGCCTGTCATCCTAAAAAATATATTATTTAATATATATATATTATTTAACTATATATGGAATTCTACAAAGGGAAAAAATTGAAAATATATCACATTTAGAGAAGAATGGCATGAGCTGATATAGGATTCCACAAAAGCTTACTTCAGCAATAATTACATATAGAAAAAGAGACTGAATTAGATAAGATTCATCTCAACCTCAACATGAACTATGAGATGAAAGGTAAGGGAGGCCAAGGCGGGTGGATCATCTGAGGTCAGGAGTTTGAGACCACCCTGCCCAACGTGGCGAAACCCCGTCTCTACTAAAAATACAAAAAAATTAGCCGGGCATGGTGGCAGACACCTGTAATGCCAGCTACTTGGGAGGCTGAGGTAAGAGAATCGCTAGAACCCTGGGGGCAGAGGTTGCAGTGAGCTGAGATTACGCCATTGCACTCCAGCCTGGGTGAGAGTGAGCCTCTGTCTCAAAGAGAAAAAAATTGCACTCTAATTGGTTATTTCTCACAGGGGTATGAATTAACAATTATGAAACTGTTTTACATGTTTACTGGGACAGAACAAATAAGTAGATGGATAGTGAATAGTAGGAACTAAGTGTCTCACTGTCCGAGAAGGAAGTTACAGATGAAAAAAGGATAGAATAAATCCTGGAGTACTGGATTAGAGTTGGAAATATCAACGTCCAGCTGGCAATATGCAAACAAAGAAATAAGACAGAAAATGTCACAGATAAGACTAAAGACACATGACAATTAAACGTAATATAGTACCTTGGAATGGATACTGGGACAGAAAGAAAACATTAATAGAAGATTCCAAATAAAGTTTAGAGTTTAGTTAACAGTAATATACCACTACCAATATTTGGTGAACTCCAAATAAAGTCTAGTGCTTAGGGCCAGGCACAAGGGCTTATGCCTGTAATCCCAGCACTCTGGGAGGCTGAAGTGGGGGGATCACTTGAGGTCAGGAGTTTGAGACCAGCATGGCCAACATGGTGAAACCCCATCTTAACAAAAATTAGCCGGGCATGGTGGTGGATGCCTGTAATCCCAGCTACTTGGGAGGCTGAGGCGGGAGAAATGCTTGAACCCTGGAGGTGGAGGCTGCAGTGAGCCAAGATGGTGCCACTGCACTCCAGCCTGAGCAACACAGTGAAACTCCATCTCAAAAAAAAAAAAAAAAAGTCTATACCAATACAAGTTTCTTAGTTTTGACAAAAGTATTATAACATAAGATGTTAAGAATGGAGGAAACAGGGTAAGAGATACACTGCTACTCTCTGTACTTTAACTTTTCTGTAAATCTAAAATTATGGCAAAATAAAGTCTATTAAAAGAAAAGAGCAAAGTTAAAACAGCAATTGATTTGAGGAAAATAGTAAGCTGAGAGTGGGCTAAAAAAACAAACTTTAACTTTGCATTGAAAAATAATTAGAGCTCATCCTCTAGAAACAAGGCCAAGGCAGGTGAAAGTCTGAGCTGCTATTGGTAAGTTACTTAACCCAAGTCCATTTCCTCATCTATAAATGGGCATATCAGGACCTAGAGTAGTAGGGAGAATTAAATGATAAACTGTAGTTATTAAGTAATAAAGTTTTGGTCTTTTTATATTACTTTTATGATTTCTCCCATATCCTTATACCATTTGTATTATTTTTATTCACTATTTTTCTTTAAATTGACTTAGACAATGTACTAAAATATATTTTAAAAGAAAAATTTATAACTATTTTAAGTAGATGCCTTTTTGTTATATTTTCTATTGTATCAGTGCTTTGAGCACAATCTATGAAAAACATAACGTATACTAAATATTTAGCACTGCCTTATATTCAGCACTCAGTAAATACTAGTTATTAACATCATATCTCAGAATCATAAAAAAAAGCTTTATGTATTCATAGTTTAGTAAGCTATTTAATTGAACACTGACAGCATAAATTAGGAATAGGATTTCAGAATTGACAGGAATTTAAAAATTAACTTTAACTCTTTAGAGATATCTTCCTAGATCATACAGCTAATTATTAGTAAACCTAGACAAAAATCCATGGTTCTTGATGCTTAATTTCAGTGTCACTTATAAAACTTAGTAAGTTCTGCTCACAATTGGGCTTTGATCACAAATATACATAATAGTTTTAACTTCTATTATTTTGGGTGAAAGATAGAGTAGGTATGATTTTATAATGAGAACACTCAACTCTAGAGAGCTTAAGTAACTTGGCCACAGCCATAGACCAATTAAGCCTAATATTTTGTCTAAAATTTTAACCTAGGATCTCCTTGTTTCTTGTTTTTCAAAACGCAATGCACTGCTTTACTACAGAAAACAGTGTCACAGAGATAAACAAAGATACTAACCACAGGCACGCTACTGAAAAAAGAAAGACCCAGAAATTACAAGAATTATTATTGTATAATGTATGTAATAAAGCATTATTTTAAGCAGCTAAATTCATGCGAGTTTTCTCTTACTTGTCTTATTCTCACCAAGAGAATCCTCTGAAGAAAAAGCCTCATTTTTATCAACTTTATGTTCCTTTGAAGAAACTCTGTCATCTGATGAATCCTGAAAATAGGTTTAAAAAAAAAACCAAACATCTGTAATTTTTAACTATTTTCTAGTGAATGAATCCCAGCAGATCTATTTCTAAAACAAAAGATTTGGTTTATTATGAATTACATTTCATAATGTGATTTTCAATCAATTTTCAAACTATTTTTAGGAAAACTTCCCCTGTATTCACTAAGCGTACATTACCTTTAAAGCCAGAGTACAGCAGGGCCCGGTGGCTCATGCCTGTAATGCCAGCACTTTGGGAGGCCGAGGTGGGTAGATTGCGAGGTCAAGGGATTGAGACCATCCTGGCTAACATGGTGAAACCCTATCTCTACTAAAAATACAAAAATTAGCTGGGCGTGGTGGCACCTGCAGTCCCAGCTACTCGGGAGGCTGAGGCAGGAGAATTGCTTGAACCCAGGAGGCGGAGGTTGCAGTGAGCCAAGATCGTGCCACTGCACTCCAGCCTGGCAACAGAGCAAGACTGTCTCAAAAGAAAAAAAAGCCAGAGTACACGTGTTGTAATCTGTCATCCTCTCAAAAATGTGTTATACTTCCTGACAGAGATGGCAGAATGATTACAGACCATCACTTCCATAATGAAATGAACAAAAAAGCCAGTAAAAATGGCAAAAGTTTCCCCAGCAGCCACCAAACTGGAAAGGGACAACTTTTTGCCATAAACTTTAAAAATCAGCAGCTAAGGAAAGAACATTCTAGAGTCACTGGAGAGTAGCAGGAATGTGGGAAAAGCAAAGTAGAAAAAAATCCTGACAGATTTCCCTCATACTAATTTGGGAATTACTAGGGAATATATAGCTTGGGGAAAAAGGAAAAAAACTCTTGGTTAAAGTAGAACTTCTACTCAAAACCATAATATCCCAGCAGAGGTGGGATAACCCATCAGTTTAACACTTTTCAGGGCTCCATGAGTTGGGGAAAGGGTATCCTCACAAAAATCAGATTCACCGGCCAGGCGCGGTGGCTCACACTTGTAATACCAGCACTTTGGGTGGCCAAGGCAGGTGGATCACAAAGTCAGGAGTTCAAGACCAGCCTGGCTGAGAGGGTGAAACCCCGTTCCTACTAAAAATACAAAAATTAGCCAGGTGTGGTGGCCGGTGCCTACAATACCAGCTACTTGGGAGGCTGAGGCAGAGAATTGCTTGAACCTGGGAGGCGGAGGTTGCAGTGAGTTGAGATCATGCCACTGCACTCCAGCCTGGGCAACGGAGTGAGACTCCATCTCAAAATAAAAAAACAGAAAATCAGATTCGCCCTTAGCTAGCAGAGACGAATCCCAGACATGGGTATTTAGCAAAATCTTGAAAGAGCATAGCCCCGTTCCACAAATTTAAAATGCACAAAAGCCCAGCTTCCCAAACTACTGAAAACTAACTCAATACCAAACCCGTAAAGTGAAGCTAAGAAAAAGAAAATAAGACAGAAAAGAGAATTACAGAATTCTCTGTTACACTGGTTACAGAGAATTCATCAGGTCACCATTCATTTGGTACACCACCAGGCTGTACCAAACAGATAAGAATAATCATCAGGAGATGCATGGGGAAACTGCAGACTCTTCCTTTGTTTTACTGGATTGAGACAATTTTAGCTTGAGTTACGCCCCAAACTTTCAAAAAACTTAATTTTCATACAAATGTATAAGTATAAAGCACAGTTTAATACATTTTGATAAAGCTTACTCTTGTAATCAAAATCCCTATCAAGACACAGAAGTGTTTTGTTGATATAAACAGAAAATGAATTAGTAAAATTAGACTGTCATGGCTTAGCTAGCAAGAACGTATCTCATTTAACAATCTACTTGGCCATACTCGATAAACAGGAAAAAAAACAAACATTTACAGTGAGGACTAAAAACTTAAATGCCTTACAAGGGCAGCAGTAAGTAAAATGATCAAAACTAAACTGATCTAAATAGATAGATATACACTGACTTAGAGAAATGAAGAACCCATATTTGTCAAATGGTATGATACTCAGCCTGATATTCAGCTCTGATTATTGCCATGTAGAAATGAAGGCTCAGCTTTCAATATTTCATGAGACACCAGAAATGTTTTTCTTGTATTTAAAAATAATTTTGGCTCCAACTTTTAAATTATGTAGGCCAAGCAAAACATTTATGGGTGAGATTTGGTTTACTGGCCACCAATTTATTATCTTTGCCACTGAGGTTTGAAATTTAGGTGATTACGAGAGATATGGACTGGGGTTGAATTTGAGAGAAACTAGTGAGGAAGGCAATGATGAGAGGTGGGTTAGGAAAGACATGACTATAAGCCTGAGTGTACTGGGTATCATATAAGCCTATCATTTCTCCAGCTACAAGGGTTGTGATGAATATAAACAAGCCACCATACATGGAAGCCCTGATCTGGAGACAACCTCTCTTAAGGTTGCTTCAATGGCTTTCTGCCCCTAGCTGCCCCACAAAACTCAACTTTTTTTCTGATGAAGGATATAAACAGGAGGTCAGCAACAGAAGTTCTAGACCAGCATGGTCTAATATGGTAGCCACCAGCTACATGTAACTATTGAGAACTTAAAATGTGGCTGGGCCAGGTGCAGTGGTTCACACCCATAATCCCAGCAATTTGGGAGGGTGAGGCAGGTGGATCACTATAGCCCAGCAGTGCGAGACCAGCCTGGGCAACATGGTGAAACCCCAGCCTCTACAAAAAATGCAAGAATTAGCCGGGTGAGGTGGTGTGCATCTATAGTACCAGCTACTTGGGAGGCTGAGGTGGGATTGCTTGAGCCTAGGAGGTTGAGGCTGTAGTGAGCAGTGTGCCACTGCACTACAGCCTGGGTCATAAAGAAAGACCCTGTCTTAAAATAAATAAATAAATAAACTCCTTACAGTAACTAAACACTATGCTATCTGGCTTTATAAAAGCAGTCCAGAAAATAAAATTTTATTCAACTATGTCATTTATACTGAAGTTTTGTTATACAGCCATTTTTAAAGTGATATATTTAGCTTTACCTTTATTAATTTCTCTTTATTTTTACTGCTTGCACTCAGTAGTCCAATTTTCAATTTCTCTTCTAGGACCAAGCACTTTGGCACTTGCCTTGTCGCAAAAGTTTTTTTTTCACTGACAGTCTCTACATCAGAATCTTCAATGACTTCTGATTTACTCTTTTGGGTGCGTCCCAGTGACGGCTCATTTTCCAGGGACGATTTTCTAAGAGAAGATTTTTTTCTAACAAAAAATGCTGCTCCACCCTGGAGTGTAACTTGTGGTTTTATTTTTTGGCTCAGAACCCGAGGAGCATTGGAATTATTTTCAGCTGAATGACAATTATTTTCCTTCTCCACAATTGGCTTATAGATCACTCGATTTTGCTTGGAATTTCTAGAATTCCTTGATACAGGCTTGATGTGTCTATACTTTGGTTGATACTTAGCAGTTAAACTCTTCTGTGGTTTTTTGTTGTTCTTCTTGGAGCAGACTGGTTTTCCTTGCATTTTTTCTGTCACAATGGGAAAAGATTTATCTTCATCATTAGTTTTTAGACAAGTAGATCTACTCTCTTTTATCAGCTTTCTCTCCAGTGGATTGAGGTACCACTTATTTTGGTTGTAAAAAGATACAGTGGAGAGCGCAGATTTAAATGGTGAGCCTTGATTTGCTGATGGCAGTCTATTTATTTCAGTTGTTTTGAGCGCACTTAAAACAAAATGCTCTTGTTGAGAGCAATGCAGGTTTTCTTCATTTTTATCACTGTTTTGATAAAAACAGTGCTTTTTATTAGGTGATGGAAACAGATTTTCAGTGAAGTGTAAAAGGCTATAAAAAGAAACAAAGTCCATTGATAAGATTATTTTGCGTCAAAATTTACATAAATCTACTGCTAAGTAAGCTCTACTTGTAGGTCATATTAAAAACAATACATGTACCCCCCATACACACAATTTTCTATTAGTTTAACAGTAGGATTCTCAAATTCTGTCTTTATCAAATAAAACATTCAAATATCTTCCCAAAGAGTTCATGAAAACAAATACTATATACAAAGAAGCTATGATAGACATATATGCATGTATGTTTTAAAATCGATTTCTATGTGTTGGCCATATATAAATTATAGCTCATATATTTTGCTCTATTGTTTACAAGCCCCCTATAATAACTGTCTGTAATGAACTGACCCCCTGGGGCTTTTCCTGGGTAGAGTAATTAATATCTGAGTACACAGTCTTTCTAGAATTGTTTCCAGACAAGCATCTACTGTATGCAAAACACTGTAAAATATTATAGGGGAACAGAAAGGAAAAAGGTAATAGCTGATTTGGTATATTTCCTAGCTATAGAAAACAGCTTTCTTCAATGTGCTGCTTCTATGTCAAAAGAAAAAAACAAAAACTAAAAAACAGCTTTGATTCCCTTGAAAAGGACTAAATAATTCATTATGAAAACTTAATGTATTTCCAAGCTAGAATTAGAATATAGGTTATCAGGTTATCACTGTAGCCACAAGGAGTAGGCTAGTGGAAGAACGAAAATTTTAGAAAATAGGAGAGAACAAGAGAGACAAGAAGGTGGATTTTTCTAAGAGTTTCTATTCACAGGCTGAGATTCACCTGTCACACTTCAAAGAATCCTGCTTCCTCTTCCTTGGAGTAAGAGCTGCCATTTTCTTTATTGAATTCCTAAAAGAAATGACAATAACCACATTCATCAAAATATTAAAAATCGCTTTATCAAAATTATACCCCCTTTAATTAGTCTATTTCACACCAAGTTAAAACCCTATTTTCTGGGAGGTCTTCCTCGACATTGCTCTCCTTCCACCCCTCCAAGGGTTACACGCGCTTGTTCTGCTTCCATGGCACCCTGTATTTCCCTAATAGTCCATTTAAGACATTTTCTTGTTTCCCCATCTCAACAGCCTTCAATGAAGGCAGAGACCGTCTGTAACTTTTCATCAGAGCCCAGCAAGAAAACGGGTGAAGCACAGTCCTCTGCCATTTTCCTAGCTGATGAGCCCGGAGCAAGCCGTTTGCTTCCCTTTTTATAAAAATCTCTTGAAGTCGTAAGGCTGCTGAAAACAAATGCTAGAATGCACGAGCAGGCGGCTACGTGGCTCGTCAGAATTCATTTCCTTCCCCTTCCCTGGGATCAGGGAAATTCCCCCCAAAGCAGCACACAAGCGTTATTTCAAAGCTATTAATGAATGAACAAACTGAAAGGCCAGGGTCTCTGGGAATTCAGGTCGAGCTGCGGCTTAAGGGGGGACCCCTCTGGGGCTAAGCGAGGAAAGGTAGGAGAGGAAAGCGTCCCGACCCTGAACCCGGTCAGGGAAACAAACAAACAAACAAACCCTAAACCCAAAACAAGGAAACGCCGGCGTCGGGAAGAGGGAAACCCGGCGCCTGTGAGCGCGGAGAACGAGTCAGTGGCTTCTTCGGTCTCGGGCCTGCGGACCTGCCGAGCGCCGAGCAAAAGCTCTTTCCCCGTGACATTCGCCCCCACGTTCCACAGGGTCTCCCGCTCGCCTCAGCCTTCCACAGCCCCCCGCCTCGGCCTACTCCAGAGGTTACCTGCGCCTCAGAGCCCGGCGAGCTCTCCTCAGCCTAGCCAGCCGCTCCGTGAGCGTCTTCAAATAATCGCGCGCCAGGCTAGGAGGAAGCCGCTGCGTTCCGATTGGCCACGGCTCAGCGCTTCCAGGGGCTGGCTCGGTGATTGGTGGAGCACCAGCCCTTGCCCCGCCCACCCTGGTGGCTGTTTCCAAGATTCTCGCGCCCTGGTGAGGTGAAAAATCTCTGAGGGAAACCACGCCACCCACAATCCCCTGCAGCAACGCCGGACTCCGTTCCCGGGGCCTTGTTTAGGTGCATTCTGGGAATTGTAGTTCTCGGTCCAGTTGAAGTTGAGATACATTCTGGGGTCACGGGGTAAGAAATTTTTGTAAAATGGCCTCTCCAGCCTGGCGACAGAGCAAGACTCCGTCTCAAAAATAAATAAATAAATAAATAAATAAAGGCCTCTCCAAGATTCTCGATGCACTTATTTTTCACATTTGAAGCTTCATTGTCAGTTTCACTTTTTTTATTAGTAACTTTAGGTTTCTATTTATTTTTCAAATTAAAATATAAAACTTAACACCTGCTATGTGCCAGGCATTCTTAGATGCTTTACATGTTTTGTTTCATTTACTTCTTACCACAATCTGTAAGGCATTAATATCTATTGCCATTCCCATTTTACAAATAATACAACGGAGAACCCAAAACAATTGCTATTTACAGAACAGAGCTAAATTCTTACTTTGGAAAACCAGAAAGTTCCTAAAACGGTTATTGTTAGCTATTGTTACTATCTTTGTGTCACCAGCTCCTGGTACAGTGTTTCTGGCACATTTTTAGTTTCAAATAAGTTTAGAGTTTTATGTTTATTTTTTCAAATTTAATTTTCACAAATTTGTATGTCATCCTTGAGCAGGGGCCATGTTAAAGTTCTCTGTATCATTCCAATTTTAGTATACATGCTGTCAAAGCAAGCATGTAAATAAATTTCGTTAAGTGACGCCCTCAATTTCATAGAATGAAGTCAGTGACAGTGATGTAAGAGTGTCAGTTTAAAAGGAAAAGGCTGAGGCAAAAAAAAAAAGAATGTAGAGTTTGCTTGAGTTAAAGCGGGGACAGCTGCCCAGAAGATTCCAACCCCCCTCCCCCCACCGCCCTCCACCAGCAGGCTTGGATATGAGCTCTGTCTGGCCTTTGCTACAAGCAGGTTTTTAAAGACGAAGAAGGGGGGCAGGAAGTGGGCTGATACACAACTGTCAAGCATTCTCATTGATGTATAGAAACTACAAGCATCAGTGATTGGCTAGACATTGTTAAACTATAGGGTGTGGGTCATGTCATAGTGTCTTGTGTGGCAGTGTTAGGTTAGTAGGTAGCTACCTGTGGCAGAAGCAGGTAGTTTCAGTAGATGAATACATAGCTCAAGGGGGTGGTAGAACATGATGGGGTCTTATCTTAATGCCTCTCCAGACCTAGTAATTTAAAGGGACTCACATTCCTCAGATAAAAGTGCTTTCTCAAGAGAAATAATCAGGGCAAAGCCAAGTGCTGTAGGAGCTTTACATGAATATGATTATTCCTACTTTATAGCAGGAGGACCTCTGAGGTTCAGAGGTTTGGGATGGCAGGCCTTCGATTTAAGCCAGAACAAAGTCCAATCCCCAAGAGGCATATTGTCCTGGTGAGTATCAGAAACAACTCGTTTGTGTGCTATGTTCTAAACCCTTGGCGCCCATTAACTTATTTAACCCTAAAAAATATCCTGTGAGTTAGCTGCTCTAGTATCATCTTCATTTCGCTGCTGAGGAAAGTGAAGCACAGACAGGTTAACTAACGTGCCCAAGATGCCCAGCCTCTTTCCCTTAACCCACAAATCACTGAACCAAACTCCTTGCCACTACACTTCGCCTCGCCAGGATTAAAAATGGCGCCCACGGCCGGCGTTATGACGCGCCCCGACGTCCGCCGGAAGTGCACGGAGGAGTTCCGGGGGCCAGGCGGCCGCCGCGAGTCTGGTATCCTGAGCTTCGTGAGTTGAGCGCTGCTGCTCCGCGGTGGAGTCACCGCACCGCTCCCGGGATCATGGTGTTCTACTTCACCAGCAGCAGCGGTGAGTGGGCGCCACGTCCTCCTGGACCCTGCTGGACAGCGGGCTCCGAAGCCGGGACCCGCAGTCCGCCGCTGCGCCTGACCCTCGCTCTAAAATGCCTTCTGGATGCGAGTGCCTCTTCCCGCGGCCTCTCGGTCCCCCAGCACATCCGTCCCTCCCACGGCTGCAGGATTTCCCCCGGCGTCCCCTCGTCATGGCGTGGGGGGCGCGGAGGGGCGATGCCACTGCTATGTTTGTATCGGGGAGTTCTCGTCCCCTAATCGGAAAGACGTCCCGTCACTCCCTGGGATTGGGCAGAGCCTGTGGGCTCCTCCACACACCTTATCCCAAGTCTTCTTCCCACCTTCCATCTGCGGCCTTTGTTCTGGCTGAACCCTTGTAATTATCCCCTGTGAGAAAGGAGACACCTGCTAACAACTTTTTCTTAAGGGAAGCGCGACTTACCCTTTCAGGAAGGGGTTGTAGGGTCTGGGATGCAACAGAAAACAATAAAAAGACCCTGGGATGTCCACCCAGCCACTCTCCGGGCAGTTGATGTCCCAGATCTCAGAAGTGACCTATGGTAATGCTTCTGACTTATCTTTGACAGATAAGGAAAGGGTGCCCTTCGTTCCCAGGAAATGCAGTGTCCCGACTTGGTTTCGTTCTGTTCCTGTTATTCCCCTTTCCTAAAATCAACCCCCAGCTAATTCCCTTAAGACAGTTTTGGCCCATCTTTTCCAAGATGCCTTTCCTGATGCTAGCTCCTACCCCAAGATTGCTTAGCTATTCCTTTCCTGGGACCCACTTAACGTTCCAAGTATGCCTTTGGCATTGCACTTATCACGTGGTATTAAATGGTGTCTGCTTGAGCTAGAGTGTAAGTCCCTTGAGGGCGTGGACAGGATCTCTTTACAGTAGTCCCTACTTGTCCTGTATTTCGCTTTCCGTGGTCACATCATCACAAGAAGAAAAGGAGTGAGTACAGTACAATAAGGTTTTGAGAGAGAGAGAGAGCAGAGTCACCTAACTTTTATTACAGTACGTTGTTATAATCGTTCTATTTTATTATTAGTTATTGTCAATAATCTCTTACTCCACCGAACTGATACATTAACTTTATCATAGGTATACATATATAGGGAATACCAGTAGCCATGCGTCCCTTAATGACAAGAATACATTCTGAGAAATGCTCCATTAGGCGGTTTCATTGTTGTAGCAACACGGTAGAGTATACTTAAACCTGTGGTATAGCCTACCACAAATGTAGGCTGTACAGTATACCGTTGCTCCTAGGGTACAAACTTGTACAGCACGTTGCTGTACTGAATGGCTGTAGGCAATGGTAACGCAATGGTGTTTGTGTATTTAAACGGGTCTCAACGTAGAAAAAGTGAGTTGCACCACGCTGTTATGATGGCTACCAGGTCATCAGGCAATAGTGATCAGAATTTTTCAGCTTCGTTATAATGTTATGGGACCACCATAGTATGTGTGGTTTGTTGCTGACCAAAGCATCATTATGTGGCAAGTCCCTTTATATATGGAATTCAGTGTTGTCCTCGGTTTCAGGCATCTGCTGGAGATCTTGGAAGACATCCCCCACAGATAAGGGGGGACTACTGTACTTGTTTCCCTAACGTAGTGACTGGTTAGTAGTTCTCAATAAATGCTTGTTGAATAAATGAATGCCATTTTTTTACTTACTTATAGCACTTTCTATTCTATTGCTACTCTATATGCTTGTTAAAGGTGAGTTTTTTGTTTTTGTTTTTGTTTTTTTTTTTTTTGGAGACGGAGTTTTGCTCTTGTTGCCCAGGCTGGAGTGCAATGGCACGATCTCGGCTCACTGCAACCTCTGCCTCCCGGGTTCAAGCGATTCTGCTGCCTCAGCCTCCTGTGTAGCTGGGATTACAGGAATGCGCCACCAAGCCTGGCTAATTTTGTATTTTTTTAGTAGAGACGGGGTTTCTCCATGTTGGTCAGGCTGGTCTTGAACTCCCGACCTCAGGTGATCTGCCTGCCTCAGCCTCCCAAAGTGCTGGGATTACCAGCATGAGCCACTGCGCCCGGTCTAAAGGTGAGATTTATTTTATTTATTTTTGAGACGGAGTCTTGCTTTGTCACCCAGGCTAGAGTGCAGTGGCACGATCTCAGCTTACTGCAACCTCCATCTCCTGGGTTCAAGCGATTCTGGTACAGCTAGGATTACAGGGACCAGCCAACATGCCTGGCTGATTTTTGTATTTTTAGTAAAGATGGGGTTTCATCATGTTGCTCAGGCTGGTCTTGAACTCCTGAGCTCAAGTGATCTACCCACCTTAACCTCCCAAAGTGCTGGAATTACAAAAGGTGAGTTTTTGTTTTGTTTTGTTTTTTGTTTTTTTGAGATGGAGTCTCCCTCTGTCACTCGGGCTAGAGTACGGTGGTGTGATCTCAGTTCACTGCAACCTCTACCTCCTGGGTTCAAGCAATTCTACTGCCTCAGTCTCCCAAGTAGCTGGGATTACAGGCACACGCCACCATGCGTGGCTAATTTTTGTATTTTGTTAGTAGAAACGGGGTTTCACCATATTGGCCAGGCTAGTCTCGAACTCCTTACCTCAAGTGATCCACCCGCCTCGGCCTTCCAAAGTGCTAGGATTAAAGGCGTGAATCACCACGCTCAGCCAAAAGGTAAGATTTAAGTGAAACTAGTTCCACATTGTTTGTGTGGGTTTGAATAAGGCAATACTTTCTCTTTAGAAGTAAGATTGAGGCTCAGGGAAGTTGTAACTCACAGACCCTACTCTTCCACCTTCATCACACTGACATCTCCTTATTTTTCTCAGTAGTTTAGCCTTCCACAGTGTGTGCCATGAGCTATTTCTCTGTCTCTGTACATGTGGTTTGTTTTACCCATATTATTAAAATTACTAGAAACAAAATTCAAAACCAGCCTGAAAAATCATATACCCTTATAGGCCTCTAAGCATTTTCGTCCTTGGCAACTCAGGCATCTCTTTATAACTTCTCCAGTTGTGAATCTTCAACAACATAGATATCCATATAAACCCAACAATGGAAAAACAAATATACAGGCAGGGTGTATAGGTACTGAATGTATTTTGTGCTGTTCTATTCCCCTTAAAGTTACTCTGAATTCTTTAAGTGTTAGTCACACATACACATCTGCCCTTAATAGAGCAAAATGCTTCACTAGATTTGTGGGTCCTGTTTTTTTTTCATTGACTTCCATTATAATGTCAGAACTGTTTCCTGTTAGAAAAATATTTGGCCTCTAAGCCTAATAAAAGTGCACTTGTGCAGCTGATCTTTTAAAACTGCAAAGTTAATGGAAAAATCATAACTTTCTCAGTAAAATAGTAATGAGACTTTACATATTGGCAGTATAGAAACAACAAATATATAGAATCTTCAGGAAATGAATTTGTATGGCTTGCCAAGTTTTTAACTAACTGATGGTTTTTACTGCATAAAAACTTTTTTAAAATGGGAAGAAAATCTTCATAGGAAGTTGTTCTTTTACATTTTAAGATTAATATCTGACTAAAATGTGTTCCATTTTCATTCTTTCATGCTGTCTCATAAGGGAATAATTGAACATTAGTCTAATAAGTCCAGTGTCACATTTAAGACCATCTGATTATAGATACTTGGCTCAAAGTCCACTTGTACTTTTAATACCTGTTAATATCATCTGCCTAAAAGTAGATTGTTCTATAAATTGTGAAATAATCAGATCACCTCTGAAGTTGGGTTGGTTGCTACCCGTAAGTCAAGTGTCTTCCAAATAACCGGTTCCAGTACTAATCAACCATATTATTTAGATGAGAATAACAAATGAACTAGAATAATTCAGTTTACTTTTCCTTCTTAACATGGAAAGGAACTTAATTCAGACTTGTTGTGCAGCAATGATGTTCCTTTTTATTTTTCATTTTCTTTTCTTTTTTTTTTTTTTTTGAGATGGAGTCTTGCTCTGTCTCCCAGGCTGGAGTGCAGTGGCATGATCTCGACTCACTGCGACTTCTGCCTCCTAGGTTCAAGCGATTCTCTTGCCTCAGCCTCCTTAGTAGCTGGGATTACAGGCATGTGCTACTACGGCTGACTAATTTTTGAATTTTTAGTGGAGACAGGGTTTCGCCATATTGGCCAGGCTGGTCTTGAACTCCTGGCCTCAAGTGATCCTCCCGCTTCAGCCTCCCAAAGTGTTGGGATTACATGCATGAGCCACTGCGCCCAGACTAATTTTCTATTATGACATAATTTCAGTCTTTCAGAGAAGTTGCAAGTATAGTAAAAGATTTCCTGTATATTCTCCCAGAGTCCCCCAATTTTTTTTGAGACAGTCTTGCTCTGTCACCCAGGCCGAAGTGTAGTGGCAAGTGTAGTGGTGCAGTCACAGATCATTGCAGCCTCAACTTCTTGGGCTCAAGTGATCCTCCCACTTTAGCCACCACACCCAGCTAATTAAAAAAATTTTTTTTTTATAGAGACAGGGTTTCCTCATATTGCCCAGGATGGTCCCGAGCTCCTGGGCCCAAGTAATCCACCTGCCTCAGCCTCCCAAAGTGGTGGGATTACAGACGTGAGCCACTGTGACTACAAATTCTGACATTTTACTACATGCCTTGTCTTTCTTTTTCCGTTTCTCTTTTTCTCTATTTTTTTCTCTTGCACACACCTTTTTCCTGAAACGTTTGTAAGTTGCAGTTAACCCCTGAATGCTTCAGATTTATTTTCTAAAATCAAGGGCATTCTCTTCTCAAAAGACGTTTTTCATCATCAAAATTAGGAAATTAACATTGCAGCAATGCGATTATCTAATCAACAGGCTTTATTCCGTACCCATTAGTGTCCTAATGATGTATTTGTAACAAAAAATACCTTACAAATCATTGTTGCATTCTTCAGGTGTCATTATTCTGTAGCCTCCTCTAATCGCGAGCAATTGCTCAGTCTTTGTCTTTCATGGCATTGTTAGTTGAATTATTTTGTAGAATGCCCCTCACTTTAGGTTTGTTATGGCCATTTTCTTAATCACCTCATTTAATAAGTCAACCATCAAAACATTCCTCTATTATTATTTTGGCTGTAGCTTAGACAGCTTGGCCTGCAGAGACAACTTTATTAATATTTTATATCAGTTATTATTTTTTCTTTTTTGAGACAGTCTTGCTGTCACTCAGGCTGGAGTGCAGTGGCATGATCTTGGCTCGCTGCAACCTCTGCCTCCCAGGTTCAAGCAATCCTCATGCCTGAGCCTCTCCAGTAGCTGGAACCACTGGCGTGTGCCACCACACCTGGCTAATTTTTGTATTTTTAGTAGAGATGGGGTTTCAACATGTTGGCCGGGCTGGTCTCAAACTTCTGGCCTCAAGTGATCTGCCCACCGCGGCCTCCTGAAGTGCTGGGATTACAGGTGTGAGCCACTGCACCTGGCCTATATTGTTATTTTGAAAATTCTGTTCTAATTACAAAAGCCATCTGTATGTTTTATAGCAGGCTAACCAAGGTAACTGTTGTTAAAAAATGTTTATGCTTCCATACATATGAAGTATGTGCTTATATAAAAATAAAACATGTATGTGTATGTATATACACACACATACCATTATAATCATTTATTTTTTATAAATTGAATCATATAGATACACAAAAATACTGTTCGGATATTTAATTTCTTCACCTGCCGTTTCTTTTTAATGGGTACATGGTATTTTGTTTATGGATGTTCAAATCTGTAATATATTTAAAGAGTCTCTATTAAGGGATGTTTAGGTTGTAAAAAGATTATTGCTTGGTGGAGTATTTTGGTACTCTATTATGGTAACATTATAGGTAGTGACGTTATAGGATTGAAAGGGTATACACTTGAACTATTGCCAGGCCATGCAGAGAAAATCTGAAATGCTTTTTAGTTTTATTCCCACCCTTTTGGCATTTGTTACACGCTACACTAAGGCCTGATCAAGGTACTACAATGCTCAATAATAGACAAGCATTTCTATAAACTTGGCGATGCACACATTCTTTCAAGGTACTTTTCTCAACTACTTCTGGACTTCAGTTATTATAAATGTTAAACAAAGGAATTAGTTTTCTCTCCCCCGAGAAAGGCAACTAGGATTGATCATTTAAGAAGCTTCTCATTACTGAAAGTACAGGGCATCTCTCTGATATAAGGCTTTTTAATTTAGGAGAGCGTATTGCCCTTTGTCCTTCAGGGCTCCAGGTACATGTGTGTGTTCTGTGCTGTGGAGTGATAGCCAGCAGGCTGTTCAGCCCAACCCTGCACTTATCAGTACTTTGCTTCAGTGTGTATTTATTTTTCAGTACTTCTCCATCACAGGCTTTGTAGCCTGAGGGCCCAGTGTCTATGAATTCAGGAGTTTAGTCCAATTGGATCAAACAAGTTTTGGTAAACTAGCTTTGAAACCTGGCACTCAGTTATCCTTTCAGTAGGAATCCAAGGTAGGGACGTCTGCAATAAAACACCACCTTGGTAAAGCAAATATCATTTCTAGGATAAACCATACCCAGAAGATTCCATTTGAGTTAGGATAGTTGTTTCTAACCCTGACCTTATATTAGAATCACTTGGAAGGCTTTTAGAAAACACAGATGCTCACTCTTGCCCACCAGAGATTTGGATTGAGTTGATCTGAGGTGGAGCTGGGGCATAATTAGATGATTCTAATGTAGATCAGGGGTCAGAGTCACTGGTTTAGAAGTTGGAGAGTCATGGTCTCCCTGAATGTGATAGAGAGCCTGTTAGAATATGCAGCACACCTGGAATATGGGTAATATTGGCTAAAAACAATTATGCACAATAAAACTTTGGTAAACATGGGAACTTAGTTGTGGTGTTTAGTTTTCTTTTCTTTTCTTTTTTTTTTAACTCTTAAAGAAGGCAAAAGTATAGGACTGGACTGGCGATACCATTGAACTGTAACCCTGAGAAAGTAGGAAAGTAGCTATTAGTAAGGATGGTAAACTTTCTCTTTTGGGGCCAGATAGTAAATATTTTAGGCTTTGTGAGTCACCTACAATCTCCGTGGCTTATTCTTCTTTGTTTTGCTTTTTTTCCAACCCTTTAAAAACGTAAAAACCATTCTTAGCTCAAGGGCTGTCCAAAAACAGGTGGTAGGCTGGATTTGGATCATGGGCCATGGTTTGCCAGCCCCTAGTCTAAGAATTGTCA
Organism: Homo sapiens; assembly: GCF_000001405.40. Lineage (NCBI taxonomy): Eukaryota > Metazoa > Chordata > Mammalia > Primates > Hominidae > Homo > Homo sapiens. The sequence goes on along the minus strand of NC_000008.11, from coordinate 27,765,323 downwards.
CTTGTTTTTCACATGAAACAATTTTGTTGGTGATGAAGTTACTAATTGTTTTTTATTTTTGTTTTATCTTAGTTAATTCATCTGCCTACACTATTTACATGGGAAAAGATAAATATGAAAGTAAGTTTTCAAAAGCATTTGATTTTGAAATTTTCAGCAGGTAAGTGTTATCTCTCACTCACCACCTTCCATGCCCCCCACCCAGTTTGTTGGTTCTGAGTTTTCACCTACTTTGATAAACTAGCTTTTGAGAAACAGAACAAGCTCACATAGGGAGACAGCAGCACCTCCTAAGCTACATAAGAAAAATGCTTTAACTATCAATGTTACTTGTGATGATTTATGGGTTAGTAGGAGAAATGTAAAACTCAAGTGTTAATATGCTGCAGACTGCTTCACCATTAAATCACACCCAAAGTTAATGTCACAACTTTATTATCATGAAAAAGTACTAAGGTCTATTTTTTAAAAAGTATAGACAAAATGAAGTAACATGAATAGTAAATGCTGTCGAAGTAGACAGATCAGAGATAGTAAATGTGATTGAAAGCTGAGAAGGCTTTGTGGAGGAGTGGGTTAGGATGGACTAGATTGTGGAATCCTTTGAATGTCTATTGTAGGAATATATAGATACAAATCTAGATACATAATTTATGTCACAGATATAAATTTAGATGATATTTTTAGAGCCCTCTGGAGTGGCATTTTGCTGTCATTAAAAACCTTTGTAGAAAAAAACGTAAGAGGCCAGGCATGGTGGTTCACGCCTGTAATCCCAACACTTTGACAGGCTGAGGCGAGAGGATCACTTGAGCCCAGGAGTTCGAGACCTGCCTGAGCAACATAGGGAGACCCTGTCTCTACAAAAAACAACAATAAAAGAAAATATTAGCTGGGCATAGTGACACACACCTGTTGTCCTTGCTACTCTGGAGGCTGAGGCAGGAAGATCGCTTGAGCCTGGGAGGTAGGCTGCAGTGAGCTGTGATCATGCCACTGCATTCCAGCTTAAGAGACAGCGAGAATCTGTTGTCTGAAGTAAGTGAATGTATGTATGTATGGAACACTTTTTCCCTGGGAACTCTTAGAGTCATTTGGAGGTATCAACTTTTCCTAGGTTGCCTTGTAAGAACGGACATTACTTCTCTAAATCACCCCATTGTCTGGCATTCCTAGCCCATTACATTTATTTCTAATAGTGTTTATGACTTCAGACCAAGAACTCGATAGAAACATCAATTTAAGTGGAATGATTTACTTTCACTGAAAAGCTTTCAGGTCTGTTCTTTTTATCAGCCAGCAGGTGTCATCAGGGAGCCAAACTTTGCCTGACTGAGGGAAAGAGATTTTTTAAATTTCTCTTTCCTTTTTTTGCTTACCTTTTGGCTATTTGCTCAGTCCTACTTAAAGCATTAGAAAGCCTTTCAGAAAACTCATAGTGTCTACGACTGTTATGAGTGCCTTTACCCAAGATGTGTCTTCCTTTTGCTTTTCCTTTTCTGGATGGTAAATACCCCATTCAAATTATATAGACCATACTTTCTTGGGTACATTTTAAATCATCACATATGAATCATTCACAATTTATTTATTTATTTATTTATTTGAGACAGTTTCCCACTCTGTCACCCAGGCTGGAGTGCAGTGGCGTGATTTCAGCTCACTGCAACCTTCACCTCCTGGATTCAAGCAATTCTCCCACCTCAGCCTCCCGAGTGGCTGGGGCTACAGGCACGTGCTACCATGCCTGGCTAATTTCTGTAATTTTAGTGGAGATGGGGTTTCACCATGTTGGCCAAGCTGGTCTCAAACTCCTGACCTCAGGTGATCTGCTCGCCTCAGCCTCCCAAAGTGCTGGGATTACAGGCGTAAGCCACTGTGCCCAGTATTGTTTATGATTTTTAAATTGGCATTTAATACTTAAATAATTCTGTATTAAACAGAATTATTACTAATTATTAATATGGCTGTAGAAATATTTATTGATATAACCTTTATGTAGTGATATATATTAGCCTTAAAAAATGTGCATTCACTTTGAGCGAATACTTTAGCTTTTAGAAATATACCTTAAGGAAATAATCAGAAATATGGACAACTTTACTTAAAAAATTTATTGAACCATTTATAATTAGAAACAAACCAAGGGCCAACAATAGAAAAGTTTATTCATATAAGAGAATTAGGTAGTCATTGTTCCCAAAGAACTTTATTTTTATTTGTATCTAACAAATACATAGTTTAAAAAGTCAAGTAGTAATAGAATGCTTAGAATTAAAAAAAGAATCCTTCTTAATACCCATGTTCCACCCCACCTGCTACCTCCCCAGACAATTACTTTTCACTCTGTTAGCTATTTCTTCTGGTGTTTTATTTCCATGTGTGATAGAATTTAAGGTGATTTTTATTTTCTTTTTATACTTCTAATGTTTGTTTTGTTTTAAATTTTCTGTAATTTTATAATCAAGTTAATTTTTCTTAAAGAAGTAAAATATTTCTTTAAAGTTTCAGCCAGTTCTTTTTAATGTTTAAGTATTATTAGGTGAATTGATTATCTGAAACATCTGAACTATTGGTTGCTTTGTTTTGTCAGTGTTAGTTTTATTATCTTCATATAGAAATAATATCTGAGCTTTAGATTAGAAGTATTATATAAATTTATAAAAATTATAAAGTTCATATTGTTCAATTATGAAAATTATTATTTTTTCTGTATTTTCAAGCATCAAGGCCTCCGAATTACTCTTCTTCATTGAGGGAGAGAGAAATTTGTGGGAGGAGCTGACATTTCTCCCATTCTTATAAACCCTGGCATATCTTCATTTGACAGTTTTTGTTTCTTTCGTTTCTCATATCTCATTGCAGATGAAGATCTGATCAAGCATGGCTGGCCTGAAGATATCTGGTAAGTAACAATTTTGGTTCTGCCCTCTGTAGATCATCATTTCCTTTCTTAGACTTGGCCAAGCATTCAAACTAGAATCATGCTTTGTACTGTGGTTTATGGGTCTTCAGGGTTAAACAGCTGACTGCCAGTTCCTTCATTTCTAATTACCTTGCAAGTTGGAAATGATGTTTTTGGGTTTGATCTCAGGCTTGAGAGCAAAGGCCTCTAGGACACAGGCCTTCTTTTTCCTCCTTTTTGTCTCCACGCCATAGTAAGTTACTGAGACCACACCTCACTTAAATATTCAGACCACTGTTCTTGAGTGGAAAAATGAAGACTTCACATGAAGCAATGAAGAAAATAGATACAAGCATCCATGCGGATGGAATAGACGGAGGTTCTTACTGGTCCAGCTTTAAAGGAAGCACACTTGTTCCCCTTTGTCTTCTAAACTCCCTGATGAGTTTAGCTCTGTCTTGATCCAACCCCGACGCCTTCTTTCTAAAACAATTTATGTGAACTGTTTTAAATAATAACATATACTTTCTTAGTCTCCTTTTGAGATCATTTATTTTGCTCACAAAACCCAGTCCAAAAAAAAAGAATACCAAACAAACAAAAAGACTTCATTTAAGCTGAATTCTTTTCTCTGTCTTAGAACACCATATAGACTTCTACCATTCAGACCTGGGGCCTTTTATGAATACATGGGCTTCTGTCCTATAACACTGTCACACCCAGTCTACTTTCGTTTTCTTCATCTTCAGCTTCCACCACTGACTCTGACCCTAGTATTGCCTCTCTTCTAGAGCACAGTCCTGCCTATGGAGTGGGATATCATCTTCCTGACTCCTCATACCTCCTACCAAATGCTATCCCTGAAGATAAAGGCACCTGGGTCCCGTTTGCTTTATTATGATAGTGAATATCTGTCAAGCACTTAACTATATGCCAAATACTACTAAGTGTTTACCTCCATTAATACATTTAACTTCACAACAACCCTGTGAAATAGATATTAATATTTATGCCCATTTTTTCAGATGAGGAAATTAAGGTTAAGAGAAACTGACTGGGTCTGCTCTGTCTGCTACTGGCTCTGGCTCTGGTTCTAAGTCACTGCTTCTGTCTTCTCCAGGCTGCTGCTCTTTTGGCTTCAGCTCCTTTCTTCTCCCAGGCTGTTGCTGCAGCTCTCTCTGGACCTCTTTTCTCCAAATGTGGACACAGACCCTTCACTTATTTCCCTCTAGTGATAGAGTTGGGCTACTGCTTTTTAGAAGAGTTGATTTAATTTTCTTTTTTTTTTTGAGACGGAGTTTCGCCCTTGTTGCCGAGGCTGGAGTGCAATGGTGCGATCTCGGCTCACTGTAACCTCTGCCTCCCTAGTTCAAGAGATTCTCCTGCCTCAGCCTCCCGAGTAGCTGGGACTACAGGCACCCATCATCATGCCTGGCTAATTTTTTGTATTTTTAGTAGAGACTGGGGCTATCACCACATTGGCCAGGCTGGTCTCGAACTCCTAACCTCAGGTGATCTACCCGCGTTGGACTCCCAAAGTGCTGGGATTAGAGGCGTGAGCCACCGCGCCCAGCCAGAACAAAGGAATTTTAAAGGCTTATTTAAATCTGGTCCCTATTCCAGCACAAAAACCTGTCTTCTAAATCCAAATATGTCATCAAGTTAAACCCTGCTTGGTGCTCTTTTGCCTCAAGTGGGCAGTGTGCAATGCTGAAAACATCCAGACTGGGGCTGCCCGCCTTCCTAGGGCCTGAGACAGTAAGCTGTATGAGGACAATGATCACCTATTTCATTAACTACTATGTCCCCAGTACCTAGCATAGGTCCTGGCACATAGTAGGTATTCAGTAAATATTGGTTGATTTCCTAATTGACTCCCTGCCAGCGTAGAAGCAGTCTCCATGGACATTTCCCTACAATGGCCACATCATGGTTATCTCCATTTTGAGCTCCTGCCAACCCCAGCTGGATGATTTTCAGTTGTTTTTAAAGATCTCCAGACTCTCATGGGAATAAGAATGGCTGCACCTGTTAGGCAGTTAGCTGATGGAAATTTTTAACCTATCAGGTTTGAGGCATAAAAACCTGCATAGAGAAGGTTACATAATCAGATGCAGCCTGAAAATCAGTGTACCACAGCCTTCTACCTGACTTTCATTTGTTTAAATAAATGGAAGAGAAATTTCCAGTTTACAACCCACATCCAATAAATTATGACCTCAGTTTTTCATTTCATTAAGGTTAGTACTTCCCAAATTGGTCTACAGATACCAAGAGGCCTATTTCGACCCCCTTTAGTAGTCTTGAGATGAATGACTGTTGTTGGATGTGATTGGCTTTTACCTTCAGAAGCTACATTTGAGGTGTGATGTGAGTAGGTGTAGACCTCAAAACCCATTCCAGCTGTCAATTTTGGACATATTCCAGGGAGTGCTAAGAATGATCCTGAGTTGATCACCATTCCAGGGTGGGGTGTTCACCTGCTTCACTTTGTGGAGCTGTTGAATCATTCATTACCTCTGTGAATGTCAGCATCTGGATTTATCCCGGAAAACCTCCTGAGGCTCCTTTAAGCAAAGGGTTTTCCTAGGAATCAGTGAGAATGGAACTAAATTCATCTTTTTTTTTTTTTTTTTTTTGAGACAGAGTCTTGCTCTGTCACCCAGGCTGGAGTGCAGTGGTGCAATCTTGACTCACTGTAACCTCTACCTCCCGGGTTCAAGCTATTCTCCTGCCTCAGCCTCCCAAGTAGCTGGGATTACAGGCATGTACCACCACACCAGGCTAATTTTTTTTTTTTTTTTTTTTTTGAGACAGAGTCTCGCTCTGTCTCCCAGGTTGGAGTGCAGTAGTACCATCTTAGCCCAATGTAACCTCCACCTCCCGGGTTCAAGTGGTTCTGCTGCTTCAGCCTCCCAAGTAGCTGGGACTACAGGCTCCCGCCACTGTGCCTGGCTAATTTTTTTGTATTTTTAGTGGTGATGGGATTTCATCATATTGGCCAGGCTGGTCTCCAACCCCTGACCTGAAGTGATCCACCCACCTCGGCCTCCCAAAGTGCTGGCACGACAGGCATGAGCCACTGTGCCCAGCCCTAAATTCATCTTTAAATGTAGGAAAATAGAAATAGTGTGTATTTACTGTGTCCAGACCTCCTAATGATTAGTATTTCCACAGACTCTGCTTTAAGTCGTTGGACAGCCCAGCTCCAGGGCCCTGAATCTGTATCCTCAGACAGTTGATGCTTATTTAGTGAAGCTTCTGGTCTCTGCATTCAGGAAAGGGTAACAGGGAGAGGAAGATAACAAGGATAAGAGGGAACTATGGCTGTAATTTAAACTTTGAATAAATGTTTAGAAAGATTGGAGAAGTCGTTTGCTTCTTTTTTAAGGAAACTCGCTCAAGATAGTTTGTTTATAGAGCTGGATTTTTTTTTTCTCTTATACTTTCATCCATTCTCCCCTGCTCTTTGTAGAGGTGTATCTATCATATACAAACCTGAAATTGGTGTATATTGATAAAGTTGCTGTATTTTGGCAGTGATATTCCTGTGTGTGTTTTGGTTCTTTCTCTACTTATGTATGAATATCATTAAATATATATTGAATTATTTGGGTATTTCTTTTGACAAAATTCTACATCAGAGACCTTTAAGAAAAATCAGAATTCAATCTATTATAGGTACATAGGGAAGAAGATGTTGTAAATAGAGAACTGGCTTAAGGCAAATAAAAGTTGGAATGGGTAAAGTTACTTTTCAGTTATCTTGGTTACTAGTGTGATATTTTCCTAAGATTCTGAAAGAGGATAATGAGATATGTAATTTTTAGATTTGCAAAAAGCACAGGTTTTTCTGGCTGGAAAATGTCCAGCTGAAGGTGATAATTAGTATGAATCTCTCACATGGGAATGCAAATGAGTAAGTGAACCACTTGGAGAAATGTAAGTCAAATAAGATGTTATGTCCATTTCTGGCTATCACTAATGATTAAGAGTAAAACCTCGAGTCATCATAAACTGTGTGCCAAAAGTGCCTAATATTTTTCTGTATGCATAGTGAATAGCAAGATGACTAACCTCTTTAAAGAGGGCACTTTTATATAGAATCATACAGTCTACATCTTGTACTAGGTGTGAAGGTGACCATTTTCACCTCTAAAACATTTATTAGTGCTTAAGAAAATGGCTAGAGAAACATAATGGGATGTAATGATGCCTCTTTAGGATTTTCTGAACATTCTTCAGTCTGGAAAGGTAAGGACCAAGGAAGCAGTATGACTAATGTATTAGTCCATCTTGCATTGCTATAGAGAAATACCTGAGACTGGGTAATTTGTAAAGAAAAGAGGTTTAATTGGCTCATGGTTTGGCAGGCTATACAGGAAGCATGGCAGTGTCTGTTTCTGGGAGGCCTCATTCATAGAACTTTTAATCATGGCAGAAGGCAAAGGGGAAGCGAGGCGGCTTACATGGCAGGAGCAGGGTGCCGGGGCTGTGCACTTTTAAACAGATCTCATGAGAACTCTATCATAAGAATAGCACCAAAGGGATGGTGCTAACCCATTCATGAAGAATCCACCCCCATGATCCAGTCACCTCCCACCAGGCCCCACTTCTAACGCTGGGGATTACAATTCGACATGAGACTTGGTGGGGACGCAAATCCAAATCATATCAACTAAAGTTAACAGAATCACGAAGTGGCGATAGTGTTACCTTGTTTGTTGTGTGATGCTGGGATGCGGAGGGGGCATTTCTGGGTATTGGAAAGAGAAAGTCAAGTTCATTGGGTGAATTGAAAACATGAAAATCTCATATCCTGAATGTTGCATAGATTTTAAAAGGTTTAATTAAATTGATAGATGATAGATCCATCATGAAAGGTAAATTTAAGGGGTGGGGGACATTCTGAATGTTTTTAGGACAATGTCAGTAAAGGGCAGTGCTCACCCAAGAGACATATATTGGTATCACTGTCAGAATATAGGGCCGGATGAACTGTTGTGCTTGTGAATTATTGGGTTACATTATTGAATTGTGACCCATTTAATGACGTGTTCTGCTTAGCGTCTTTAGGCCCCACCTAACTCTTCCAGCTCTCTATTCGACATTCTCTTTGGATTGTTTTGCTATAACTTGAAATTTGGGATGTCACAAACGAAACTGTCATCTGTTTCCGCCAAACTGTGGTTCTGCTAATCTCCCAGGCTGGCAGCATTGGAGACTTGCTGACTTCTTTCATCCCCCACTCTTTTCACCTGAAATTCCTTTCCTTGGTTTTGCTCTAAGTCCTATGCTTCAGTCAGGGGCCAACCAAATCTCACTGCCTCCTTTTTATCATGAAGCCTTTGATCACTGATAGTTCTTTTTATATCTTGAAAAATCACCCTTCCCAGTACAGTTAATATTTAGTATCTCTACTCATCTTGGCACTTACTCACAGCTCCATAATTCAGTGTTTCTCGTACCTCTTCATGGTGATGGGGAGCCCTTTGGAGGTGGTGACTGTGCTTTATACTCCTCATGATGCTTCACATGTGGCAGGCATGGAGTGAAGACTTTTTAGAACAGAATGCTTTAAATGGCATGTGGCCTGAGGAGATGATTGTCTTGTACCTCTTGCTAAAAGTGGTTTTCATTCTTTGTAGGTTTCATGTGGACAAACTCTCTTCGGCTCATGTATACCTTCGATTACATAAGGTAACTGAATTTAAACATGGATTCTTGACTTTTCTCCTGATGATGCATCATATCTTGTTCTTTATCCTTTGCAATTAAATTGCTTACAGTAATAAGTTGGTACGCAAATCTAAAAGTTAACAAATGAAGACGTGTCTTCCCTCTGACCCAGAAAATCACTCTAACATTCTAGATGATTTTTGAGATATAGAAGGAGGCAGTGTACATATTTCCCAGCTAGATGCACTGCTTATCCTGTCACTTCCGGTGTGCTGTCTGTCATCTCTGCTTTCCTTTTCTTTCAATTCAGTTGACACTCCCAGACTTTCTGTCTCCTCCAGTGGATATCATGTGTGGCTCATGTGATTCTCCTGCCTCAGTGAAGGGCCCGTGTTCCCAGTTATCATGGGCTTCTTTAGGAAGTTTAAAAGAACATGCTAGTAATAAAGGAAAAAAATTTTTAGTGGCCCCTAGTAATACAATACCACTATTTTTCCAATCTATCTCTATTCATATATTTTATATAGTTGAATCATAGGGTATATATGCTTGCGAGTGTACTGCTTTCTTTTTGATAAACTTTCAACTTTGGAAAAATGTTAGATTTCCAGAAAAGTGGCAGAAGTGATACAGAGTTCCCATCTACCCTTCACCTAGTTTCCCCCATCATCAACATCTTATATTACTATGGTAGATTTGTCAAGACAAAGAAACTAACCTTGGCACATCGCTGTCACCTAAACTCTGGACTTTATTTGGATTTCACCAACTTTCTATTAATGCCCTCTTTTTGTTCTAGTAGCCAGTCTAGAGTACCATATTACATTTAGTTGTGTCTGCCTAGTCTCCTCTAGTCTATCACAATTTCTCATTCTTTCTCTGTTTTTTATGACCTTGACAGTTTGAGAAGTACTGATCAGGTGTTTTGTAGACTATTGCTCAGTTTGCATTTATCTGATATTTTTTCTCGTGACTAGACGGGTTATGGGTTTAGGGGGAGAATATCACAGAGGTGAAGTGCCTGTCTCGTCACAGCATATCGGGTGCGTGTATTACCGTGACTTATCATTGATGACGTGAGCCTTGATGGCCTGGCCAGTGTAGTGTTTGGAGGTTGCTCTACTATAAGGTTGCTTTTCTCCCCATTTCTGTATTCTTATTTGGAAGCAAGTCACTAAGTCCAGCCCACACTCAAGGAAGTGGAGGATGGAATTAAGCACTACTTCCTGGAGAGGGGAGTGTCTATATACATTATTTGGAATTCTGGAAGGAACATTTGTCTCTTTTCCCCTATTTATTTATTCAGTCATTTATTTGCATCAGCCTAGACTCCTGCGTTTATTTTATCCTTTGAGATATGTTCTGTAACCAGGTTATTTTACTCTGATATTGTTGCAGCTTCAGCTGGAGCTCTTTCAGCGGGCTCCCGTGTGCTCCCATGTCCTCTGACATGCTCCCATCCTTTTGTTCTTTGAGCACATCCTTGCTTTCCGGCACTACAGAGAGCTCCAGGCTCGTCTTGTATTTTCCCTGTCCCAGCTCTAGAATGGGGCATTTCTCCAAGGAACCCTGGTTCTTTTCAGTGGTAATGGTGTTTCGAAATCAAGATCTAGACCGATCCTTCTGTAGTTTATGAGTGTGATGATTGGCTGTTCATGTGCATGTATGAGATGTGCCACCCTTGAACCTTGTCATGTCTGATGTGAAAAAATTTAAAAAGATCTGGGCTCTGGGTGCGCCTGTTACTACTGGAGTGTCATCACTTTTCGGCCCTCTGAGCTGACAGAGAAGGAGATACATGTATGTGTACTAACCCATGTATATGCACATATCTGTAATCATTTCTGTATCTTTCCATCTGTATTTATATTAAGCTAAACATGAGCTCATGGGGATGGCTCTGATTGTCATCCTTTGCTACAGGTTGTCTTTTTGCCTTAAACCATTTCCAATCAAAACATTGTTTTCCATGCTAGCATCTGGGGAGGCTGAGCAAGGAGGATCACTTGAGCCCAGGAGTTCAAGACCAGCCTGGGCATCATAGGGAGACCCTGTCACTACAGAAAATAAAGAAAATGTAGCTGGTTGTGGGATACCCACCTGTGGTCCCAGTTACTCGGGAGGCTGAGGTAGGAGGCTCACTTGAGCCCAGGAGGCGGAGGCTGAGGCTTCAGTGAGCCATGATCACATTACTGCACTCTAGCCTGGGCAACAGAGCAAGACCCTGTGTCAAGAACAACAACAACAAAAACACATCATTTTCCACAGTTAGCTGTAAGCTACTTTTTTTCCCCACCCCTTTCAGTGACGTGATGTCCTATGTTTGTAATACAGTTAAATTATCTTGTCCACATTCCATCTTGACATCCCCTGGTTGATTAGATTACCTTTTAACATGACATTTTATGAACTCTTTTATGTTGCTATATAATTTTCATATTTGTTATTTTGACTGGCTGCATTGAGTTAATAATATGCTGCAATTAATATGAAACTCTTTTGTCAGAATATAGGTTGTTTCCAATTTTTCAGCATTATGAATCACCAAGAAATAACTTTTCATGAACTACCTTCTGGTTTTATTTTTTGTTTTTTGTTTTTCATTATTTTCTTAGAATAATTCTTAGGAATGGATTTCCTGGGTCAAAAGATGTACATAGTTTGCTAACTGCTTTTTTGCCAGATTGCCCTCTGAAAGTATTGTTTAAAATGCTCTCTACTATTTATAGGTTTTCCAAAACCCTTTTGGGTTTTATAACTTAAAAAATAAAAATAAAACCTTTTGACCATTTTGATGAATATAAGATGCTACTTCATTATGGCAATAATATTCACTTTTTAGTTTACTAGCAAGGTTAAACAGTGTGCCCCATCTCATACTATTTATGTTTTTGAGGACTATATGGTGAAGGAAAAGAGGATTATGAAGTCTGTGCTGGAGCAAAATTCTGAATTCTTTTAGGCAACTTCTTGCCATTTTGGAACTATTAGATTTAGAGAAAATAAATTATGGTGTTACCAAGTTTCATTTTGGGTCAGATTAATGTCTTCTTTGGGGGATCTGCTGTGTCAGAAGATGGAAAATACTGGTGGTAGTCCCAAGTTCTCATTACCACCAATTATTTGTTTGAATACAAGTTCAATTTCACTTTCTTTTGGAAACACATAATGAGCTCAGTTTAATTTTTTTTGGTAGATATGGGATCTCACTGTGTTGCCCATGCTGGTCTTGAACGCCTGGGCTCAAGCTGTCCTCCTGCCTTGGCTTCCCAAAGTGCTGAGATTATAGGCACGAGCCCCTAAACCCAGCCTAATGTGCCCAGTTTGAAAGTGTATGCTCCTTGAGGAACTTTTACCTGATTAATTTCCTGCAGTAAATGACATAGCCATTGTAATTAGTAGGTACCAAGGAAGTTGGAAATGCAGTAAGACTAAGGGATTCATTCAGACCCTGGGGCCAGACTGCTGGCTTTGAATTCTGGTTCTGCTGCTTACTCACCACGTGACTCTGAGCAAGTTACTTAACTGGCCTGTTTCTGCATCTGTAAAAGGGGCATCACCTCACTTATTCACCTTTGATTTTGATACAAATTTCTATAGAGAAAAAGGATCAGTGTCATTTCTGTTATTTCTTCTTTACAGTGAATGGTTGAGATCTACACAACAATAACTTTTTTCCTGATTAAAGCTGAGGATAGATGACCTACCAGATGTCTGAGAACTAAAACTACACGTATTCTTTTGAGAGGAAGGTCATAGGGACCTCGGCCACGAAGACATCCAGTTGTCAAAAATAGGCACCATTTTCCCACAAGGTTTCTAGAAGTCAGAATGAGAAGAAAGAGAATAAAAATTACTCAGACATAATTATAATTAATATTCTGGGAGTTTTTTTCATTTCCTGTTTTTTTTTGCTTTTTTTTTTTTTACTTATTAAGTGTCAATATTTTCATATTACAGCCTTCTCTTATTTTAAACAAACATTCCCGTAATGCACACAGTAAATTTACTTTTCAGTGTTCTGTAACAGTTGAAGAACCTCTGCTTTTAGTAAAATCATGCCTAGTAGGTAAGGCAGCAAATGCCCTTTGAGTGCTCCAGTGTCAATGGATAATGAGGTAGTGGACCAATTGGTTTATTTTTGTGTTTCAGGGAGAGAATATAGAAGACATCCCAAAGGAAGTGCTGATGGACTGTGCCCACCTTGTGAAGGCCAATAGCATTCAAGGTCAGTTTTCCTAGAGGTGTTTTTAGAATTAGCACGGACTTTCTCTGTGTCTGAAATGGATTACATTTTAGTGAGCATGCTGTTGACTTTGGCCTCCATCAAAGAATAACATGTGCTGTGCCTTTGCCATGTTTTGTTCTTTAAGATGGATGGCAATTTTGGTACCTGTCAAAGAACTAAAAACTGATCTCCCCACCCTTGTCATTTTGACCGTCCTGTCTAAGTCTCGGCTCTTTTTACTGTTTCCTTACCTTGAATAGAAGGTTGTCTAGATCTGTCTGTACTTAGTGTTATTATAAAAAGACTTTGGGAAATTTGGCAATGTTGATAGCTAAGCAAGAACAATGTGTTTTATGGCTTTATTTTTAATGTTGTTTGATATCTTTATTTCTATTATTTGTCATTAGATTCTAGAATTAAAGTCCCCAAATCATGCTTCTCTACTTTTTCTTTCCCTCCTCCTCTTACATACTTTTTCCCTCTTAAATTGCGAAGTTGTCAAGTCAGTTGATCTTGTTACTTCCCCTCCCCACCAAAGAGAATCTTATTTAGTTTGTCTGGGGTGATTCCCAAATATTACTGCTTTTAAAAGCTCTCTGGGTGATTCTCCTGTGCAGCATGGGTTGAGAACAATTAGCCTAAGTATTTTAGATGGGGCCTGGCATACCGTGCTTGGTCATTACCTGGTATTTATTTCTGCTATGCAAGATTTCATCTCATAGTCATGAAGGGTCAAGAAGGATGATTATTAGGGTAGGGGCGGGGTTTAAGAAGGGAAACCAGGAGGTGGTGCTCTGCTAATAATGAGCCAGTAGATCCGATTTTAGGGTGTAGAACACAGGTCTAGATCGGGTAGAGGTTATTGTGGCTTGAGATGGAGTGAAGGGATGCTCCAGAGGGTTGGAAAGCAATCATGGTTTGGGAAGAAGATAAACATGGGGCGGACCCACAGCTGATAACAGGTACCAGGAGTTGGCAATTACAGGACAAGAGCAGCGCAGCATTCCCCTTTCCCCGACTGCGCTTCCCACACCTTCACTTAGGCTGCCTGAATGATGCGTCAGCACCTAGCCAAAGAAGGTAGAACTGTTGCTTTACAGAGCCACTGATTTTCAACTCTATAAGTTAACAAATTGTAATACATTTTGGGACATTCCATTGTATGAGGAGAACAGAATTTTCTAAGATTTTCAGCTAAGATCTTCAGTTACTGAAATAACAAGAAGAATTGAAACAATCATTATATTCTTTCCTTCTGTGTTCCAACTTCCTTCACATGTCCTTATCCCTTCCATTGCTGCTGGCTAGCAGACATGTCTTTGTTAAAAGAGCTTTGGAGGCCTTATTCTTGGCCCAGCTGCTTTCTTCTTAATCTCTTCATAGTTTACTAATTCTAGAGAAAACAAAGAGGAGCAAAGAGTCATGACACTGAATTACTGTTTCTCTCCTCTTCAGCCTTCTGCAACGATAGCTCAGCTAGCAAATAAGGACCTATGCCCAAGGGTCTTGCTCTTGTGAGTCAGTAGAAGATTATGTGCCGAGGAGTGGAGAAAATGGTCGTTGCTATGAGATTTCCAGAGGACACTCCACTTGTGGCACTTTGTAGGGACAAAGTTTTCCCCCGGTTTACCATCTGCAGTGCTCAGAACCAAGGGCTTTGGGGCTAAATTTGTTTGTCGCTATAGAATCAGCCTGTTCTGGGTCATAGGTCTAGAATCTTAGGTCAGCCTGTTCTGTGTTCACCCAGTGAATCTTTCCAGATTAAACTTTTAGAAGTTTAGAAACTGTCTTGACTCTCCTCGGCCTAAACTGTTCAGTCCGGACTTCTGAAACCAGCATTTAAGCGTCTCTCATTTGACTGCAGACTTCTTTCCCTTCACGTATTTCACACTACAGCCAAAGCCAATATTTGCTGTTTTCTGACCTTGCACCTGGCTTGTATTGTTCCCTCTGCCCTCAGGTTTGTCTTTGTCAGTCATCAGAGTCCAGATTCAAGCTAAGGTTCAAGGTCCACATAGTAGGTGTAGTGGTGGTAGTAATTGCTAACACTGATGGAGTGTTAATTACATGCCTGGCCCTGTGCTAAGTACTTCATAAATTATCCACCCCGTTGAGTTAGATATTATTTTCATTTTATAGAGGAGGAAACTGATCTTAAAGAGAATTAAGGAACTTGTTCAAGGTCTTAGAGGTCTAAAGTGCAGTAGAGACTGGATTTGATGTCAACCCATTTGGCTCAAGTGTTCTGCCGTAACCCCTGAGCTCTGTGAGCCTCCTCGATGAAGCCTTTTCCTTCTTCAGCTTTGAGTGGCCCCACTTTCTCTGTGCTGTCTTAGCAGTTTCCTGTAGCTTTCCAACAGCATTTGATCAGTTCTCCTTTTGATCCAAGTTATTGATGTGCTTACCCTGCTCCGTTAGAGTCGTGGAGAGCAAGATTCATTGTCTGGTCATGTTTGTGTCCCCCACAGTGCCTTGCACATGGAGATTTTCTAAAGAAATTTTATTTTGAAAAAACTTTCAGGTATACAGAAAAGTTGCAAGAATAGTACAGCTACCATATACCATTCACTTAGATTCATCAATTTTTAAATTTTTCCATATTTATTTGCTTTATATATTGCATACTCATTAACCTTTTTAGCTGAACCATCCAAAGCGAAATTGTAGATATCATGACCCTTGAACATGTCCTTCTGAAGAACATGGACGTTGTCTTAAATAACTGTATTACAGTGGTAAAATTCAGGAAGTTTAACATGGATAGAATACTGTGTTCTGATATACAGTCCATATTTAAGTTTTGCCACTTGTCCCGCTACTGTTTCTTTATAGCTTTTTTTTTTGGATCCAGGGCCATGTGCTGTATTTACTTGCGCTGTATTTACTTCTCTTTAGTCTCCTTTAATCCAGAGATACTGCTTTGTCTTTCAAAAAGTACAGACCAGTTGTAGTAATGGGATTACTAACCCACAGTTGGGGTTTGTCTGATGCTTCCTCTGGATTAGAATCCCATCATGCACTTTGGAGCAGGAATATTACATAAGTGAAGTTTTGCACATTATAGTCAGGCAGCACATGATGTCATTTTGTGCCATTTTTGGTGGTGTTAACCTTGACCCCTTGGGTAAAGTGGTCTTCCAGCTTTTTCCAGTGTACATGGGGATTTAATAAGCATTGAAATCCCTTGCCATCTAATTTGGAAGGACCAGAGAGAGTGTCAGACCAGTGATTAAACTGCGATTTCCAGAGCTGCCAGGGAGGGTATGAGTGGTGGAGGAGGCGGTGAAGGGGCAGGAGGAGGAGTGAACAGGGTACCTGGCACTCCTTCCATCCAGAGCGCCTCTGCTTTGATGACTTCTGTGTTTTCTTTGGTAAAAGGGTTCCACTGCTGAAGAAACTATAAGCAAAAACTCTATTAAACTAGTCCAATTTCCTCACATTTCATATGAAATTCAGAGGGCCAGGGGACTTCTCCAGAGAGGCTCGGCTAGCTCGTGGTAGTCCCGGATAGAGTCCAGGGCTTGTGAGTTCCAGGCCATGGCTTTCCGTTGCTGCTTAACCTTCAGAGTCAAGGACTTCTTTGAGAATCTGAGGAAACATATTCAGTCCTTTTCTCTTGAAAAAAAAACTCAATGATAAATTTTGCATCCAATTTTAGAGAGTCCTCAGAAGTCCCTGAAGCTAATCCATGGACTCCTACTTGCCATAGTAATACTTCCGTTTGAATTTTGTCAGCTTTACCATTTGCCTTTTGTGGGTGGCTTTTGAAAAAGTATTGGTGGTTTAAAACAAGGGGTGGCCTGTTCGTTCTAAGCCGTTTCCCTTGTTGGCTTATGGCAGTTTGCCAGTGGGTAAGGGAACACATTGCTCAGTCTCATCCTGCCTGCATGTTGAAGACAGTCTCTCTTGGCAGGCTGCAAGATGAACAACGTTAATGTGGTATATACGCCGTGGTCTAACCTGAAGAAAACAGCTGACATGGATGTGGGGCAGATAGGCTTTCACAGGCAGAAGGATGTAAGTGTTTTGTGCCACTGAAGGAGGCGGAGCCCTGATACTGAATGGAGTATCCTATCTTTTCTGTCTGACACCATTGTTGTTGAGGGCTGAGCATGATATATGTTTTCTAAAGGGAATTAAACTGGGTTGCTAAACCCCTGGAAAGCCTCATCCCTCTTCTGGGAGAAAAAAAACAAAAAGATGCAATATCTTTTCTCCTATCTCCCTTAAAGGTAAAAATTGTGACAGTGGAGAAGAAAGTAAATGAGATCCTGAACCGATTAGAAAAGACCAAAGTCGAGCGGTTCCCAGACCTAGCAGCAGAGAAAGAATGCAGAGATCGTGAAGAGAGGAATGAGAAAAAAGCCCAAATTCAGGAAATGAAAAAGAGAGAAAAAGAAGAAATGAAGAAGAAGAGGGAAATGGATGAACTTAGGTATGTCGGAGCTGTGGCATTGAGACTGACCTCAAAGATTATTCCCTGATGATTTTAATCATGTATTAGCCATTAAGAACGATATATTGGTGGAAGGAGGGACATGTAACAAGCTCAGCTTAAGCTCAACCTTAAATCAGTTTTTTAAAAAAAGGCATTTATATTAATGTGTTGGTTAAAAGAATTGCTTGTTTATGGCAGCAGGATATGAAAGTGGATGAAATAAAATAACTAATTTTATTCATAGAGAAACCTTCATAGGTTATCCCTAGTTTGGTTTGGTTTGTAAAGTTCTTCTGGAAAGGAAAAGGTGCTGTGGGAGGTATTTACTATTGACTAGCTGTGCTATTTAAGTAAAGTTGTGTTGGCTCTAAAAACCAATGCTAGTAACTCTCAAAGCTGTTTTTAAAACTCTTTTTTACATTTTGAAAGTTTAAAGTAATGTAGTGAGGTCTGCTTCAAAGCACTACATTTTTAAACAGCTAAATAGTTCAAATACAATTTGGCTCCTGAAATTCTAGTGAAGAAGGCCATGAGAATAATGATTATGTTAGTTTTCTATTGCCATTGAAACAAATTGCCACAAATGTAGTAGCTTAAAACAACACACATTTATTGTCTGTAGATTAGAAGTCCAGCAAGATTCTCACTGGGCTAAAATCAAAGTGTCTGGAGGCACTAGGGGAGAATCTTCCCTTTCAGCTTTGAGAGGCACCCCCATTTCTTGGCTTGTGGCTCCTTCTCCAAGCTTTCCATGGTCACAGCCCCCTGTCTGACCACTGCCTTTTCTGCTTTTAAGGAACAGTGTGATTAGATTGAGTTAATCCAGATAATTCACAATAATCTCTCCATTTTAAGGTCCTAACTAATGACATCTGCAAAGTCTACTTTGCCATAGAAGATAACATATTTATAGGTTCTACAGACTAGAATGTGGATGTTCTGCCATACAGTGCTGTACCCGCAGAGCCCCTAGTTGTTCTAATTAAAGGAAATTAATCCTGCGAATTCTCATCACAGAACTCCTAGATTTTTCCATGTTTGTTTATTTGCAATACATATGCCAAAAAGAAAAAAGAGTTACTTATAACATATATTGCCTTTGGAAATGGTGTAGAATCAGAAACATGTTGCTTAGGCATGTCCTAACCCAGTTTCCTTGGAATGCCCTGGATTCTTAGAAAGATTGTTGGGTCAGAATGTAGGTATAATGAACACGTACTGTTATTTATTATTCGCATGCACGTGTTTCTGGTTGGGGTTCTGCTAAAACAGGCTTCACTTAAAATACAGTGTTCAAATGGAGAGCTTCAGAAATGTTACCCTGAGTTACAATCTGCTAATATGAGGCCAACTAACATATATGTTTAAGTATTTGGTATGGCCTAGAATTCTGAGTCTGCTTTGTGTTTGAAGTGAAAGAAACGGTATTAACTCCATCAGTGAGGTAAAATTTGTGAAATTCTGAGTGATGCAGGATTTAGAGCAGTTAATTCTTTTTTGTTTTGAGTTTGGAGTGGGGGGAAACTGAAAATATGCCTTTTAGTGCCCTTTACGGATCGAACATAATTTTGTTTAGGAACATGATGGAACATATATTAGGAACATAAGATCACCTAATTTACTTACAACATTGAATAAGGAAGACTAGCTAACCCTTCTGAACATTTTCCATCTGCCAAACACTGCATTGCAAAGTGCTTTACTGCATTCTGTCATTTAATTCCAACAATAGCCATAGTAGATTTTTATCTGCATCTTATAGAAGAGGAAACTGAGCCTGAGAAGCAATCAAGAAACTTGTTATAAGCTCATTTGGCTAGTTAGTCTCAGTCTGATTCTCAAACCTACACATATTACTTACTATACTCTTCTTCCCTTTGTTCAATTTATTCCATTTTAAAGTAATTTTTATTCAATATAAATCAATCAAGTAATTTATAGATGTCATAATTCAAATTAAGCTGCATGCTACTAAAATTAAGGACATTAGTATGATTTTTATGAGTTTCAAAAATTACAAGCATTTAAACAAAATTTGTCCACCAAAACACAGTTTCGTATCTTCTGGGCTTTTTTCCATAGTGTCATCAACATATAAAATACTCCTATTAACTGAAGGGAAAACTCAATCTTATTGAATAAGATTTTTCCTTCAAAAGTTTAATCAGTCCCACTTTCTAAGTTGTCACTGGTCATTTGTATTTTTTAATAATCTCCATGGATCTCAGAAAACCAAAAACAATTGCTATGTTTATTTCCGTTAACCGTGTGCCACACAGACAACTTTCTGTCACATGCTGCAGAAGACAGAAGAACGTGGCACAGGGCTGCAGTGCCGGGAATGGAACGCGGTGACATTGCAAGTCTTTGCTTGGCACATCCAGAGCTGCCGTTTGCTGTGTTCTGCAGCATCTGTGAAATTCCAGCAATAGGCTCTAAGCTTCTGACTTGTTTTGTAATGTGTTTTTATACATTTTGCAGTGCTAGCATTCACTTTAATTTCTGTCTTTGAATCTTCCACCCAAGATATAGAAATCTGTGTCTATTACCTGTTTTAATTTTGCATTCTTTTATTTGGCTTTTTGTGTTACTGTACCAAACATTTATTACATCAAAATTAAGTCAACCCATGTAGATGTCGAAACCAGAAGAAATAAGCAATAGTCAGGGAAACGTCATAAAGAGGATGGGTGAATAACAGATGAGAGGTTGAGGCAGTCAAAACAAAGGGTAAGGACTATGACTACCTGAGAGAGGGATATTTAAAAGTTGAGATGCGGCCAGGCAAAGTGATTCATGCCTGTAATCCCAGCACTTTGGGAGGCTGAGGCAGAAGGATTGCTTGAGCCCAGGAGTTTGAGATCAGCCTGGGCAACAAAATTAGGACTGTCTCTACAAAAAATCAAATAACTAGCCAGGCGTGGGTGGTACAAGCCTATAGTCGCAGCTACTCTGGAGGCTGAGGTGGGAGGATTGCTTGAGCCCTGTTGGCTGAGGCTGCAGTGAGCTCACTGCATTCCATCCTGTGTGACAGAGCTAGATTCTGCCTCAAAAAATAAAAATAAAAAGCTGTGATAGAGACTGGGAGATCAGAATTGGAACCCAAAGCTCAGGTAATTGGAATGAGAGAAGTACAAGACCCAGGTGAAATGGTAAGTCAGTAAATATATCATCAATTTGAACATTGACATGAACTTGATTTTCATGCAAAGATTACTTCAGCATGGAGGATAATGTGGAAAGATTGTAGCCTGTAACTGACAAAGCAGGAATCCAAACTCAAGTCTAATCCTGAAGCCAATAGTCTATCGTGCTTCCTTTGAGGCAAGGAATGAACAAACTGGCAAGGCCAGAGTCAAGGTCACACATAGGCAAGTGAAAGAATGAAAAATTAGGTACATTGTAGAGTGACTTAAAAGGTTTAGTCCAGAATTTCATGTTGTAAGTGATAAAGAGCCTTTATAGGTTTTGTGGAATATTGGGGAATAGACTTACAGGATGAATGAAGTAACATGTAGGAGAGGAAATGGTGAGACCAGTAACTAATTAAATGGATGACAGTCTCATGAAGAACCAACTTCTTTGTACCTTTTTTTGTTTATCTTATACACACTGCCACTGCCTTCTACTGTAAATAATGCTGTGTGTGCTGTGCCTCTTCGTGTTACCTGTGAGGTCCTTCAGGGAAGCAATCGTGCATCCTTGCCTCCCCTTAGAGGTGACAGAGTGCTTTGTCTGTGCAGTGAGTGACTAGTCATACGTCATGAATATACTGAGATTAGCTTCCCTGGTATGGTGATTCCTTTTTTGTTTCAATTTTAAAGTAATTTTTATTCAATATAAACCAAGTAACTTATATATGTCATAATTCATATTAAGCTGCATGCTACTAAAATTTAGGGTGTTAGTATCATTTTATGAGTTTCAGAAATTACAAGCATTTAAACAAAACTTAAAAACTAAAACACAGTTTTTATATCTTCTGGGCTTTCTTCCTTAGGGTCCTCAACATATAAAATATTTGTATTAACTGAGGGGAAATAATTCCCAGTCTCATTGACTACAATTTTTGCTTCAAAAGTTTAATTAGTCCCCCTTTCTAAGCTGTCGCTAATCACTTGTATTTTTTAATAATCTCCATGGATTCAGAAAACTAAAAACAATTGGTATGTCTCTTTCTGCTAAACACATGCCAGACATATCCCAGGCTGAATTGCTGGGGTGCCATCATAGCCCACTGCAGCCTCCAATTCCTGGGCTCAAGCGATCCTCCCACCTCAGCCTCCTTAGTAGCTGGGACTACAGACTCACTCCACCATGCCCAGCTAATATCTTTATTTTTTGTAGAGATGGAGTCTTCCTATGTTGCCCAGGCTAATCTCAAACCCCTGAGCTCAAGTGATCCTCCTGCCTTGGCCTCCCAAAGTGCTGGGATTAAAGGCATAAGCCACCACACTTGTCCCCTGATATGGTGGTCTTGAAGCCAAGATCAAAACTCTGATAGCTAAAGAGTTGGAAGGAGTGCTGTAAGCAGAGGGAACTATGTATGCAAAGACCTTGTATGGGAGCAGCAAGGCAAAATGCAGGACTAAAGTCCCAAATGTCTGAAGCAGCAGAGGTCAATGGGCACTTGGATCAAGGGGCCAGTCCATGCAGGCCCTTGCTGGCCGTGTTTGTCTTCATCCTAAGAGCACTGTGAAGCCATCAAAAGGCTTTAAGCAAGGGTTGATACAATGAAGCTTGTGTGTTGAGAAGGTCACTTTGCTGACCTGATTGTAAAGGGAACCAGAGTGGGTGTGACTAGGTTAAGAGCATTCCACATCACAGATGGTAGCTTAGAATATGGTGGTGACTTGGGGTGGAGAGAAGTGGATTATTGTTTTTCTAGGTAAAACATTAGGATTTGGTGATAGTTTGGATTGAGGCAAAGGGCAGGGAAAAGGGGGCTAAGAATGACTCCTAGGTTGCTAGTTGGAAATGGAATGGATAGTGATGACATTCTTTGAGCTGGAGAACACTGGGAAAGAACTAAACTGGTTTGGTAGGGGGAAGACCATGAGTTGGATAGGGACTTAAGAATCTGAAAATACCCTTGAGATCTCCAAAAAGATGTCAGGGAGGTAGTTGGACTAATGGAAATTGAGCTCAGAGGAAACTAAAGAAAGGTAAATTTGTTTTTGTTTGTTTTTTTGTTTTGTTTTGTTTTTGAGACTGAGTCTCACTCTGTTGCCCAGGCTGGAGTGCAGTGGCACGATCTCGGCTCACTGCAACCTCCACCTCCCGGGTTCAAGCTATTCTCCTGCCTCAGTTTCCCAGGTAGCTGAAATTACAGGCATGCACAACCACGCCTGGCTAATTTTTGTATATTTTCAGTAAAGACAGGGTTTCACCATGTTGGCCAGGCTGGCCTCGAACTCCTGACCTCAAGTGATCCGCCTGCCTTGGCCTCCCAAAGTGCTGGGATTACAGGTGTGAGCTACCGTGCCCAGCCCAAGAAAGGTAAATTTGTGCATCATTGTCACATAGATGGGAATTTTGACCCAGTGATTCTTCAGCCTGGGTAGATCCCCACAACTGGGCATATGGATCCAGTTAAATCTTCACAAGTGATTTTCAGATGCAGTCAGGACTGACATTCTCTGTTCTCACCACTTTTGTTTCATCAACATGTCTTTCTCCTCCTGCTCATGCAACCTGTTGATCTTGTCTGTTTTTTGTTTGTTTGTTTTTGTTTTGTTTTAATTCCTTGTGGATACCACTTAACTCTTACAAGCTTACAAGTCTCTCCAGAGGGAAAGACTTACTGGTCTCTCCCTCTGGGTGTCTCCCAACTCATTATCTTTGACTGTGACATTTCTCCTTCCCACTGGTCTTCAGTTTTCAGTTTCTACAGTTCATATTTACTTGGGTATCTCACTATGACTTCAAATGCGGCATGTCTCAAACCAGGCACATCTTCTTTGCAACATTTTCCCATTTCTCCTATTTTTTTCAAATTGCCCAAGCTACAAACCTTGATGTCATTGTTGTTTCTTCTCTGTATTCCTTCTTACCATTACAGCTGTTAACTCCAGGGATTCATGCCCTCAAATTGGAGTATCGCAATAAGCTGTGGCCTGATAAGAGTATAAGCTTAGGAGTCTGACCTGGGTTCAAAACCTGGCATATCTTCTTATCTCTAAGACCTTGAACAACTTACTTAACCATCCTGACTCTGCTTTCTTATTTTGTACAATGGGCTTAAAATACTCTGGTAAATACTGTTATTGTGAATGGACCTTCTTGTCTTAACCACCTCTCTAATCTTGTTTGCTACAGATTATTCTTTTCAAAACATTGGTATTATGTAGTCTCACTTTCCTTTGTCTCTTGGTGTATTTGTTGTTGTTGTCGTTTGAGATGGAGTCTTGCTCTGTCGCCCATGTTGGAGTGCAGTGGTGCAATCTCAGCTCACTGCAACCTCCACCTCCTAGGTTCAAGTGATTCTCCTGCCTCAGCCTCCTGAGTAGCTGGGATTACAGGTGCACGCCACCACGCTTGCTAATTTTTGTATTTTTAGTAGAGATGGGGTTTCACCACATTGGTCAGGCTGCTCTCGAACCCCTGACTTTGTGATCTGCCCGCGTTGGCCTCCCACAGTGCTGGGATTACAGGCGTGAGCCACTGCCCCCAGCCGTGTATTTTTTAATAGTGCTTTTCACCATAGTTATTGATGAATAAGTCTTATTTCCCCTCCCAGTAAGTTCTGTGGGTCCAGGCTTTGTGTTAGTCATCATTTTCTGTTTTCTTCTCATCCGATCCTCTACCCAGGCTTAGCACAGGGTCTTATGCACATGGATATTTAATGAATGCCCATTGAACCTCATTATGGCTTTACTCAGTTGTGTATTATGGCTTCTTGCGGAACACATTGTGTTCAGTCGTGCAATCAAGACAACATAATTGGGCACCACATCCAGCCTGATTTCCCACTACTTTATTTGAGAACCTACCTGAGTTAGCTGGATATTCAGCAAGTCATTAAAGATACCATCTCTGTCTCTTTGCTCATCCCACTCTCTGGATCTGAAATGCCCCCTCACTCATCCTGCCCACTTGATTGGCTTGGTTTGGGTTCCGCCTTGTCTGTGAAGGGTGCCCTGACAGCTCCTGCCCACACTGATGTGTTTCCTCCTTTGAATTCCTGTAGCGTTTACAATCTGAGCTGTATACCTCAGCTGTGAATCTTATCAGATCTTGGCTGTAGGTGAATTTCCCCATCTGAAAAGTAGGAATAATGCCACCTGTCTCGCCAAGTTATTGTGGAGGTGGTGACATGAAACAAGTAGGAGAAAGCACTTTGTAAATTATAAAGTGCTGTGCACATCTTTTTTATTGTTTATAAATATTCATCCTTTGAATGTTGCAATCTCCTTGAGTGCAGAGATTATATCTAATAGCTCTTGTGTTTCTTCTAAAGCCCCTGAGCAGTGCTGGATACACAGGAAATGTTCATCAAATATTTGTTGACTGGATCACCATATTTTAAATGTGTGTGTGTGTTTTTTTCCTTCTAGGAGCTATTCATCACTAATGAAAGTTGAAAATATGTCTTCAAATCAGGTATGTTCAAGTGGTTTGCATGAATGTTTGCCTTGAAATAATTCACTAAGGGTTTTTAATAATTGTGTTACTGGCCATTATTGCCTTACATGTTGCAAATAGCTAACCATGATTTGGCAACCAGGACACCACTCAGGCTGGATTCTTTTAGGCACTGCACCTCCTTCCCTGTGGACTTTCTCATTTGTGTTGTTAAGTAGGTCATCTCAGGGAAAGAGATTGTCAGAGCTTGTCTACTGTGGCGTACAGGTCTATTCATTTTATATTTACAGGACTTTATTCTTTATTTCCCCTCTTTTCTGGTTGCAGGCATGCAAAAGTGCCTTTATTTATTAGTGTTCTTTATCACTGTGACTGTAGAGTCCATATTATAATTGAATGAGAACAAAATTATCACCTTCAATTAAAATAACTTACCCTAAGATCTTATGTGACTCAGTGAAGCCTAAGTGACAAAATTGTTTGTTTTCATGTTCCTTAGGACCTGGGATAGAAACAGATGGTGACCTATGACATAGTACTGAAAGGATCTTCTTAACATTGCGTCTAATTATTTGATTGGAACTATGTCAGAGAATTATTGTCCTTGAGGGCTGTCTTTCCCAAAATTTATCTTGAAGTGTCTAGAGATAGCACAATTTAGCTGCTATTGAGCAGTCTGCAGAAAATGGAAACTGGGTGGATGTATTTGGGATTTTGCATGTTTTATAGTATAGTTTAAAAATATAGTCATCCTTCAGTATTCATGGGGGATTGGTTCCAGGACTCCCCGAAGCTACCAAAATCCTAGGATGCTTGAGTCCCTTGTGTAAAATGGAGTAGTATTTGCATATAACATATGCACATCCTTCCATATACTTTATCTCTAGATTACTTATAATACCTAATTAGTGTAAATGCTATGTAAATAGTTGTTATACTGTATTTTTTTAATTTATATTATTTTTATTGTATTTTTTTAATTGTTTTTTTCCTCTAAATATTTTTGAGCTGAGGTTGGTTGAATTCACAGATAAAGAAATCAAGGGCCAACTGTAACAGAATTTAAGATCCCTTACAAGTCATCTAGTCAAACCTCAGATTTAGTGCATGAATTAGAAGTAATAGGATTTTACATCTTGTTTATATCTACATATTCTTCTAAAAATTTGTAAGAACAACATTCTTATTCCCATCTCTATGAAGAACTAAATGTACGAGGCTCCTTTATGAATCAGAGATGTTTCTTTATAATTTATTCCTGAAAAATTCCAGAATAGCATTATTAAATTAAATAGAGCTTTGAATTTGAAGTTTAGAGACTTAACTGTCATGTGCTAATTGAGGTGGGGGGGATTAAACATCCCTTGGGCAAGGGAACGTTGTCACAGTGGTTGGGTTAGATCCTAATAAAGTCATTTAACCTCTCTGAGGGAGTATTCATCATCAGTAAAATGGACACATATTATTTCACAGGGCTGCTTAGAATTGAAGCAAAGACACATCGATGTGAAAGTCTTCCTTGACCTACTTTGTAAATAGTCATACCTTATCCAGATAGTCTTTGGTTGCTGTTTTTCCAGAATATCATTATGAAAAGAT